>NC_000017.11:79038850-79339261 GCF_000001405.40 Homo sapiens | reverse complement strand
CAACACAGCAAAACCCTGTCTCTACAAACAAATTTAAAAATTATCCGAGTGTGGTGGTGCATGCCTGTAGTCCCAGCCACTCAGGAGGCTGAGGCGGGAGGATTGCTTGAGCCTGGAAGATCGAGGTGGCAGTGAGGTATGATTGCATCACTGTACTCTAGCCTGGGCAACAGAGTGAGACTGTCTAAAAAAAAAAAAGAAAAGAAAAGAAAGCAATCACCTGCACAACTTGGTAAATAGATTTTCTATTCCCCAGAATTCAGAATTCAGAATTCAGCAGCCCTAAATCTGAATTTTTATAGAACCGCCTCCTTCCCTCTCACTAGTGGGTTTGATGCAAATGTTCTGATCACACAGCCAAACACAAACAATAGCCTAAGGATTATGGGAAGGAAGAGTAGAAACAGGGCCAAGCAAGTTTGAGCTAGCTCTTTATTTGTCTCCAGGGCTAACAAGGAAAAGCAACAGTCATCAGAAAGGCATCCTCTGGAACACACAGCTGACTGCATCTCACGCCTCTCCTCCCTCTGTGGTTGTTGAAGCACTTGGGGACATGTGTAGCAATGCGAGTTCCAAAAAGGACAGGGAATGGTAAACTCACAGATTCTACTCCTGGGGGATGTATGTCGACCCCTTAAGTGAGTATAGTTTGCTGAAAACCAATGCAGATGACAGGAAGTCTTTAATAAATAAGTTCTCAGGCTAATAGCAGCGGTGCGGTGCCTCAGGGAGTTGAATTATGGGGGATCCAAACCCAATTCTGGAAAAGCTGTTTCACAGGGACTCTTCCCATCTCACCAGCATCACCCTGAAATTCCATGGAAAGACAGAAATTTCACAAACTACAGTCATAGAAGGGTTGCAATACTCTCCCTGTCTGCTGATATTCTCGGCTCAGGGCAGCACCACGGAGAGCTACACAAACCACAGCCCCAGTCTGTGTTCCCACCATTGCAGGTGACAATTGGAAGGATCAAAAAGAAACCCCAGTTCCTTCCAGCCCGTTAAAAAATATCTGGAGAAGGCCAGGCGCGGTGGCTCATGCCTGTAACCCCAGCACTTTGGGAGGCTAAGGTGGGTGGATCACCTGAGGTCTGGAGTTTGAGACCAGCCTGACCAACATGGTGAAACCCCGTCTCTATTAAAATTACAAAAATTATCCGGGCATGGTGGCAGGTGCCTGTAATCCTAGCTACTCGGGAGGCTGAGACAGGAGACTCACTTGAGCCCAGGAGGCAGAGGTTGCAGTGAGCCGAGATCGCGCCACTGCGCTCCAACCTGGGTGACACTGTGAGACTCTGTCTAAAAAAAAAAAAAAAATCTGGAGAAGTATGCCAGCAAACACATGAAACAGAAGCAAAAATTTAAGAAAAAGAGACACATGCCTGCCACTTCTCTTTCAGAGGTAGGCTATAAGAACTCTGTGTGTGTGTATGTGACATATATATAGTAAACTCAACTGTATTTTCTTTTCTTTTTCTTTTTTGAGACTGGGTCTTGCTCTGTTGCCCAGGCTGTAGTCCAGTGGCACAGTCTCACCTCACTGCAACCTCTGCCTCACGGGTTCAGCTGGTCTTTCTGCCTCAGCCTCCCAAGGAGCTGGGACTACAGGTGTGTGCCACGAGACCTGGCTAATTTTTGTATTTTTAGTAGAGATTAGGTTTCACCATCTTGGGCAGGCTGGTCTCGAACTCCTAACTTCAAGTGATCTGCTCGCCTCGGCCTCCCAAAGTGTTGGGATTACAGGCGTGAGCCACCGTGCCCGGCGCAACTGCATTTTCTTGATCCGATTTGTGAATGGGCTCTTCTTGTACACGCATGTGCCCACGGGGACCTGAGGCATGCATGTCAGTGCAAACACACGAGAGTGCATTTGTGCCCGGATGCAGCTGTGCTGTGCGTGGGCTTTGAGAGATGGTTCTGGAAATAGCAGTGGTGCCAGAGATGCCAAGGAGAAGTTTGTTAGGATGTGTGGCTCCATCCCACCTGGGATTAATTTTTTTTTTGTCAGGTAAGCACAATGTTTCCTTTGAAAAGTCCTAGCCTGGAGTCTGATCCTAGGAGGAGCCAAGATGACGTGGTCCTTTCCCGTGGTGTGAGAGTCAGGACTATCGAAATAAGAGCACTCACCTTTTTTATTTTTTGAGATGGAGTCTCTCTCTGTTGCCCAGGCTGGAGTGCAGTGGTAAAATCTCCTCTCACTGCAACCTCTGCTCCAGGTTCAAGCGATTCTTCTGCCTCAGCTTCCCAAGTAGCTGGGATTACAGGCGTGCACTACCATGCCCAGCTAATTTTTGTATTATTAGTAGAGACAGGGTTTCACCATGTTCGCCAGGGTTGTCTCAAACTCCTGGCCTCAGGTGATCCACCCGCCTCTGCCTCCCGAAGTGCTGGGATTACAGGCGTGAGCCACCTCACCCGGCCCACTTCACTTTTTATTGTGCCTTTTTAATTGCCTCCTGAAGGCCATCAGCCACCAGTAAAAGCCCCAAAGCTCTGGAAGATTCTCTGTTGGTATTCACTATGTGCACCTCCTGGTTCAGAGCCACCCCCCTGTTGTGATCCCCCTGAATGAGCTGCCCTTGGTTGAGCCAGGGCTGGGATCGGGCCTGAGGACAGCACCGTCTTTACTGAAGGTCCAGTGTGGAGGAGAGAGGACGAGGCCAGGGACCTCACCTGTGGGTCTCACTGATTTCTGCCCTTGTGAGTCCAGACAGCTGAATGTGACCCAACCCTTTGCACAGTTCTGTCTCCATGCGCTGCTGGACAGGGGACTTCAGCTTTTCAGAAGCTCGGTTGCCCCACCTGGAACAGTGGGATTTATTTTTTTTTTCAATTTATTTTATTTATTTATTTATTTATTTATTTATTTTTTGAGATGAAATCTCACTCTGTCGCCCAGGCTGGAATGCAGTGGTGCGATCTTGGCTCACTGCAACCTCTGCCTCCTGAGTTCAAGTGATTCTCCTGCCTCAGCCTCCTGAGTAGCTGGGAGTACAGACGTATACCACCATGCCCGGCTAAGTTTTGTATTTTTAGTAGAGATGGGTTTTCGTCATGTTGGCCAGGCTGGTCTCGAACTCCTGACCTCAGGTGATCCACTCACCTTGGCCTCTCAAAGTGCTGGGATTACAGGCGAGAGCCACTGCTCCCGGCCAGAACAGTGGGATTTAAAAGAACGGGTGTGATGGGGTGAAATGAAGGAATGTGTGTGAAGCTATCTGGAGTCCATGGCAAACAGCACAGAGGGAGGGCGGTGTCTACGAAGCGGCGCAGGCAGACCGGCAGGTGTGAGAAACAGCGAGTTTTCTTTTCTGTAGAAACCCATTGAATAGGATAAGGATGACAACTAGGGTAGCATTTCTGGAAAGTTCCAATATTGAACAGGAAAAGCTAAGATGGCTGCAGGCTACGTGGAGTGCAGGGGCAGGTGAGATTGCCTGAGTGTGCGGTGCCAGGGAAGGCTTTGGGGATCTGAGATGTGGAGGACGAGAGGACGGGAGCAAGTGGGGCCTGGAGGGGCTCAGGTGGAGCACAGCACCTGTGAGCATGAGCACGTGGGAGCAGGGCCAGACCCAGCGTGGTTGTAGATGTCACTGGAGGAAAACCAGGGCAGAAAGCAAGAGCCAGATGGCGGAGGCTGGGGGTTCTGCGCCAAGGGGTGTGGACTCATGCCTGTGTACACGGACACTCCAGTGTAGCCTGGGACCTAGAGATGAGAGGCTGGCTGGAGTCCTGATTCTAGAGGATCCGTGCATGGCCAAGTGTCGGACCTCAGCCTCCTCCACTGTAAGACGAGGGTGATGACAATAGTGTCTGTGCGTGTTAAAGTAAATAATAGCAAAACGTGCATGTGAAAACATATACATACATATATACACACACATATACATACACTTACATGATGTTTCATTTCTCAGCCCTCACAAGGGTGAAAGAAGGCACATGCAGGTCCCCCAGACTCTGTCCTAGGCATCTCCTTTTGGTCGCAAATGGACATCTCCATCTGTTTCATTTGCAAATCAAGCATACTCATGTTGGCCACCTGCTGTGTGCTGGAGTCTGTGCATCTGGGGGCAGGAGAAGCTGGAGCCAGCCAGCCCCATCCTCTGGCAGCCTCGTCTACACAGGGAGAGGCCCACATACGCCCCTCTAATGAAGCACCTGGATGCAGAGGCAGACACAGTGTGATGACAGTAACTCTGGGAGCCCTAGTGAGGCTCCAGGCAGCAGAGAGGAGGTGGCATCTGAGCCAGGTTTCAGAGGGTAAGAGAGGGTTCCCTGGCAGAGAATATTCTAGACAGAATGTCCAAGGTTTGTCAAGGGAAGGCCCCCAGCATGCTGGAGAAATGCCACTGTGTCTGTGCAGGGTGGGCTGGGCTGGTTGGGGGGTGAGACACTTGCTACGTGCCAGGCACAGGCAACAGGCACAGCTCGATGTGGTTTTCACTGCATCTTCAAGCTCACAAGCATCCTCTGAGATGGGTCCATTACTGCTGTCATGTGGCAGACGAGGAAACTGAGGCTGGAAAGATGTGTGGGAGCTGGAGTGTGATGGTCCTGGTTCCCTGGAGAGCTCAGTCTTGGGCCTGCAGACCTAGGCTCCTAAACTGTAGGCCTCACAGATGGGCTCCAGTTGGCCCATGAGCCTCCTGAAATGGTTGCAAACTTTTGTGCACATATGTGCCTTTTCTGGGAAGAGGTTTCCTAGGGGCCCCGAAGGGTTAAGAAGCCCATCTCTAGGTAAGGAGGAGATTTTGAAACAGTGGTTCCAGGATCTGAACACTAAGGATGCAATTCCAAGAATCCAGGCCCAGCGTCAGAAGCAGTGGATACCCAGAAAGGGACAGGTTCCGAGACACCAACAAGTCCCTGTAACCTACGGAGCATGAGGAGTGGGTGACCATGATTCCACTTTGTTGTCTGGATGCCATGCAGCTGGCGATGCCACTGTCTGAGATGGCAGATGCAGGAGAAGCATTGGGTGCCAGTGAAGCCACCTGGGGCACATCTCTGGGTGAAAGTGTCTACTAGGACACAGGAGTCTCGAGAGAGGGAGGCCCAAGCTAAAGATTGTGATTTAGGAGGTGTGGGGAAGGAACTGGGGCCCTAGGAATGGGTGGATGGTAGAAACAGGAAGAGGTGATGGAAAAAGGCAGTTTCAAGGATCATCAGGTAAAAGCAACAGAAACAAGAAATGGGGCAGGACTGAGATGGATTGCTGGATTTGGCAATGAGGGGATCGTTGGTGACCAGGGTGGGAATTCCCAAGGGAGGGGTGGGGACATGGGCAGATTCCAATTCCTAGGAAGGGACGATGTGGCAGTGTAGACAGAGTCTGGAGGAGACAGAGGAGACACCTCGGCATCTGGGAGAGGGGGAAGGTCCCAGGATGATGCCTCTTGAGGATGTGGAAGCTGTGTGTGCTCGTGGGGTGAAGGGCAGGAATGGGGGCAGAGGCAGAGTGGGAGGTATGGAGGGAGAGGAGGATGGGATCAGGGAGCTGGGGGAGACTCAGCCCTTGCTGAACTCCCATCCAGGGGCTGACTGTGGGTGTGTCTTTGGGAAGAAGCTGTTTGCCATCAGACAGACCTCTCTGGGGTCATGGGACATTCTTCCCCCAGGACTTTCCTCTCCTGCACCTGCTTCTCCAGGTGCTTTTGTTCTGGGAGCCAGGAGACCTGCAGAGCCAGCTGGATGATGCTGAGGTTGGGTGGCTCTGAGCGAGGTTTTCACTTGCAGCCTCTGAAGCAATGATTTCTGTCTCCTCTCTCTCTTTATACTGTACTCGGTCTCCATTTTTCTCTGGTGTAAAAATAATGGCTTTGGATGACATGACACCAGGTATTGATTGAAGGGATGAGAATTAAACAGTTCTGTGTCTCTGGAACAAAAGAAAGCAAGACCATTGCAGAGCACAGTACGCAGGAGGCCAGTGTGGAGAAGCCAGCTCGGCAACTTTTTTCTTTTAATGAAAATAGTTCAGGAAGCGAGGACACCTTCCCCCAAATCCTTTGATGGGTGCAGGCCTCACTGAGGCTGTGAGCTGGTCTGCTGCGTGTAAATGTGGTTTTGGAGGGTCAGTCTCCTCCCTGGTAAAGGCTGGCAGGGTCTCCCCTGGCCTGTCCTCCTCTGTCTCTGCCTGTTTCTCTCTCTCTCTTTTTCTCTGTGTCTGTCTCTTTGTCTCTCTCCCTCCCCTTTCTCTATGTCTCTGTCTATCTATATGTCTCTCCCCCACCCCATCTCTCTCTCTCTTCCTCTGTTTCTCTCTCTCTGTCTCTCTACCTCTTTCTGTCTGTCTCTTTCCCTCCCGTTTCTCTGTGTCTGTCTATCTGTCTTTCTGCCTCTGTCTCTCTCTGTCCCTGTTCTCTTTGTCTCCCCATCTCTGTTTTTCTGTCTCTCTCTCTCCCCCACCCCATCTCTCTCTCTTTCTCTATGTCTCTGTCTCTCTTTTTCTCTCTGGCTCTGTCTCCCTCTCTGTCTCTGCCTCTCTTTATCTCTCTGTCTCTCTCTGTGTCTCTGCTCTCTTTGTCTCTCAGGCTCTGTCTTTCTGTCTCTCTCTCTCTGTCTCCGTCTCTCTTTGTCTCTCTGTCTCCATCTCTCTTTGTCTCTCTGTCTCCATCTCTGTCTCTCTTTGTCTCTCTGTGTGTGTCTCTGTTCTCTCTGTCTCTCTGGTTCTATGTTTCTGTCTCCCCACGCCCCCACACTTCTCTGTGTCTCTGTCTCTGGCTGCCCCTCACTCATGTGCTCCCCTCCCCTCTGCACCCCGTCTCTCATCTCTTTTTGTTCATTGACTCAGGTGCTCACGTGGACCCCAGAGCCTGCCTCCTCTCCAGCATCCTAGGGCTCCCTATCTATCCCTTTCCCTCTCCCACCCCGAGCAGTTTATTGATTTATCACAAAACACCACCTCCCTGGCAGCTGTGCTCAGCCTGATCCCTGCTTCGCTCAGCAGCATAAAAAAAGAAAAGAGCTACAAATGGTCCCTTCCCCTCCCAGGGCTCAAATTCCAGTCCTGAGGGCCTGGAGTGATCTCCAATTTGGAGACAGAATTCCAGCCCAGACGGCAGCAGACAAGGAGCAGGAAATGGCAAGGGGTGTGGGGAAAGAAGGCAGGCAGCCGCTAAGAGGGGCTAGTTCATGGCTGCTCTGGTTTTCGGATGACCCTGTAGGTGGGACCAGAGCAGACCTGCCGGGAGCCCTGGGTCTGCTCCTGGAGCCCCAAGGAGTCTGGACACGTGGTTGCTCAGACCTGAGATAGAATGGAAAAACAGAATAGTCTAGAGCAGCAGGAAGTGACTGTCATCGTGGGGTGCACGTCTCTACCAAGAGGACCAGGCTGGCCCTGTGAGCCGCACAGGAGGGCTTCACACTGGGTGGTCGGGACCCTCCGTGCTTCCAGGGGCATTGAGAAAAATAGTCGAAGAAAACTGGGATTCTGTGCTGTCCCCTGTAGTGTCACTAAAGACCAGAGCTGTGTGGCCTCACTTCCAGTGGGAAGATGGGGGTGTTAACAGCGGGCAGGCCACAGCACGCTTTTAGTTCAGAAAGTCCTTGCGGTGTCAATTACTTGCCCAGCCCCGGGGCAGGTGCAGCAGAGAACAAAAGTGATTGTGATGGGGTGCCGTCTTCTGGGAGTGCCGTCTTCAATCTCTTAGGAGATCTAGAATCTGCATTTGTGAAAACGTCTAATAACAACACTGAGCAGTGCAGGCTGGAGCCACGGGCAGGACATTCTCCAGGGGTCCAGGGGGGGCAGAGGCCTCTGGAATGAAGCGAAACATTTGTGTTGGGTCCCCAGGTTCAGCTTGGGGTGGGTCTTGACACCCACCCTGACAGTGATGCACCCCCCAGAGGCTTTGG
The DNA here is from genome assembly GCF_000001405.40 of Homo sapiens. NCBI lineage: Eukaryota > Metazoa > Chordata > Mammalia > Primates > Hominidae > Homo > Homo sapiens. The sequence continues at coordinate 79,331,398 of NC_000017.11, read as the reverse complement.
AGGCAGGAAGGGGCTTGTTGACTCTGGTAATGTGAACAGAACGGGACAGGGGAGAGGCAGTGTGGCCATCCCAGACATGTGGCGACCAGGGACCACTTGTAAGGAAAAGAGTGAGAATGAAGAGGAAAGGCAAACGGCAGGGGAAATGCTTCTGGGCTGAGCATGGGAGATGGTGGCCGAAGGGACAGCAGGGCTTGAAGTCCATGAGGCTCAGGGAGGGGTTGTCAAGGAACAGAAATAAATAGGGTGCCAGGAACACAGCTTTTGCTTTTTGCCCATGTTGAGCTGGGCGGTCTGGGAGGGGACAGAACCCATAAATACTTGGAAAGAGATGCTTAGAGCCTGGGGGCTGCAGATATACGTTTCTTTAAAATCTAAGCATACCGGTCAGTTAGCGGGATGGGACCCACATTCATGAAACAGGAGCAACATAGAGTGAAATGACACAAGGATCCGAGACCCAGTGTGTGTCAGAACACAGCGAGACGTGGCCGACGGCTGCCCCAGGCTGTCAGAGCCCTGAGACCAGAAGCTGGGAGAGAAGGTCCTGTTGGCCACAGAGTCAGGGAAGGCTTCTCCGAAGGGAGGGTCCATCCTTGGCTCAGAGTGAGTAGGACCTGGTTGATCAGGGAGCGGCCCAAGGACCTTCAGACCCAGAGAAGACCCCCCAGGCACAGCCCCACCACGTGACTTCATGATCCCCAAGCCCACATGGTGGCCGTGGGGCTGGATTTTGCCCGTCCCAGAGCCAGAAACTGGTGAGAGTCAGGGGTGTGGGAGAGGCCTGGGGGAGACAGGAGTGGGACCACTATCAGACCCCCTGCCACCCTGAAAACCCCGCCTCTGTAAAACGGAGAAGCGTGTGGAACCTGAATATCCCCTCGTCTATTTCAAGCATCTGCAGGAATGACCCAAGATTCTGCAGCGTGAAAAGAAAAAAAACCACAACAGGTGGCATCGTTGTGCTCGGTGGAGGGGATTTTGACCATGACAGTGAGGGTCTGAGTGGGAGAAAACTGGGGGGACTCCTGTGTAGTCCTAGGGCAATTCCAGAACCATCCAGGGCAAGAGGGGAAGCCCCTGCATGGCAGTGAAACCAGCATGATACCCCAAACCCTTCAATTTCACCTCAATGAGGGTGACACTCCCCAGTGTCTACTCTACCGGGGGTCAGGGGGCACAGGGGAAAGAGAAGACATTGCTGTGTCCCACAGCGGGGTTAAACTCATCTGGAGAAGCAGTGAAGACACGCAGGTACACGCGCGCCCACACGCACCTGCACACACACATGCTCACACACAAGAGTCTCTGGAGTTCATGTGATGGTCAGTTTTTCTGCCCAGCTTAACTCTTCAGCTCTGAATGGAGAGCTGAGAGATGCAGGCCTGGGTGGGTGTTGGGGGCTGTTTTCTGGCTGTGACTTAGGGGTGTGAACAGAGGTGCTCCTGGGATGAGTGATTTCTTCCACTCTGGACAGATCAGCACGAGAGGTCAGGGCTGAAGGGTCTGAGAAGGAGCCGGACTCTGCGTGGGACCCTTGGTGACACCAGGCTAAAATGTGCGACCAGCCATTTGTTTAAAAGAGAAGCCCGGTGAAGAGGAACCGGGATGGGAGCCATAGATGGAGATCTCCTGGGAGAGCGAGGGGTGAATCCAGGACAGGCGTGGGCCAGGGTGCCTCTGTGTCTTCCTGAAGATGCACCGGGGCTGGCCATTAGGCCGGGGTGGGGGGCCTACAGCTTCCCTAGACTTTGCAGGTGAGAGACATGGACCAGAGGGTATTGCTCAGAGCCCCCACCAGGCATGCAGAGCTCCTTCCAGGGAAGGAGGAGAGGGCACGGTGTGGAATAATTTCAGGTTATATAGTGGCCCTTTAATGAAGGAAGTTCTCACGGGTGATCTGGGTTGATGGCGTGGCCACGTAACACCATCAGCAGGAACTGCTACGGTGGGAGAAGAGGCTGGGGGAGCCACTTCCATGCCTTCCTCCCCAGGGTGCACAGGATCACCGGCAGGAGTGTGGCCAGGATGGGGGACAGGTTTGGGTGAAGAGCCCTTGATAGGAGCCCCAGGATGACCATGACGGGTACACTGGACCAAGCACTAGTGAAGATGATGATGGTAATAATGGCGTGGGAAGGGAGTTTGTTTCCATACAGAGCAGAGTTGGGTTGGAAATGTTAGGGATCCCTCCATTCTCCAGTGTCTGAAATGGGAGGAGCACCATGGGAAGCTCAGAGCAGATGTGAATGGTTCCCTGGAGAGGCCTGGCCCTGCGGGAGCCAGGGCTGGGATTTAGTGGGTGGGGTGGGGACTATCTTTCTGTATCCAGCCTCCTCCCTGTCCCTCCTGGCCACGTGGGTCCTTTCTTGCATTTTTATTCTTTACTTCTTCCCCTCTGCCTTCAGCCCATACCTGGGGCACCTGCTGATTCAGCTCTCTGCCTGCATGATCTCCCCCACCCCATGTGTGGCAGCTGCCAGGACCTCGGACCCTGAGTCCTTTGCTGCCCAGGCTCCCTCCTGATGCCCCATCCCTATCCCTGGGCAACCACGGCTAACCCTGCGCTGCTTGGTCCAAGCCAAGAATTTAATTTTACAAAGTGCAGGAAACGGCCATTCATCAAGTGGATGCTGTTTTCACAGGTGAAGCCAAATGTCTCCGGGTGGAGAGAGATACTCCCCCTTCCATCGCTCTGTTGCCAGCAGTTTGCTTGGGTCTCAAAGCCTGGGAACATGAGGGTCTTGTCAAGAAGTGCACTCAGCCAGTGCCTGCGAGGGTCAGGCTGTGCAAGACCTGGGGGCTGTCAGCAGCATCTCACCACCCAGACCTGTGCTGTTTGCAACGGTGGCCACGGGTCATGGGTGGCCATTTCCATTGAATCAAATTAAAATGAAATACAGTGATGAATTCTGTTCCTCAGGCATGCTGACTCCCAAAAACCTTCAAGTGTTCAAAATCCACATATGCCAGTGGCTATGGGGCCAGGCATCTCAGCCACAGATTGTGGCCAGGGTCACCCCAGCTACCAGATAGCCCTGCCACAATGGACGGTGTGGTCTGCACAGTGGATGACCCTGTCCTGAATGCTCAGCAGAAAGTGGCCAGTTCTGCAGAGTAAGAGGCTTAGGGCAAGGTTCTATCAAAAGGGGTCCTTGCCCCTGCTCCCCAATCCAGCCTCACGCCTCCTGGATCTATCCCATCTCCGTTCCAGACACACAGAATAGTATGCCATGAGTCCTGCCCGTGTTTGCACCCACGGGCTCTGCCCTCCCACTCTCCTTCTACCTGACCACCTTTTCCACTGCTCAGCAGGTGTGACCTCCTGCAGAAAACCTTTCCTGATTGCCCAGAGCAAGGTCAGGTTTTGTCATCAATGTTTGTATAGATAAGAGAGAGAAGGAAGGCCAGGTGCGGTGGCTCACACCTGTAATCCCAGCACTTTGGGAGGCCGAGGTAGGTGGATTGTGAGGTCAGGAGATTGAGACCAGCCTGGCCAACATGGTGAAACCCTGTCTCTACTAAAAGTACAAAAATTAGCCAGGTGTGGTGACACATGCCTGTAGTCCCAACTACTCTGGAGGCTGAGGCAGGAGAATCGCTTGAACCCAGGAGGCGGAGGTTGCAGTGAGCCAAGACTGTGCCACTGCACTCCAGCCTGGGTGACAGAGGGAGACTCCGTCTCAAAAAAAAGAGAAGGAATAAGTGGATGACTATAGCAGGCTTGGCAAAACCAGAAGTATTTTCCCAGGTGAAAAAGCCACAGGTGAGCTCCCAGGTGAGGCAGGTAGGACTGTAGTTTTTTAAAACATAAATAAAAATAAAAGCAACAAAAGAAAGACACCTTGAGCTTCTGCTGCTCTCAGGTGCAGCCTGATTTCATCCCGGTTAGGACCTGGCTCTGGAGCATTCATCCGTGGTCGCTGCTGCTGAGCTGGACACCATCGCTCAGGCCACCGACCCATCATCTTGGAGAACACCAGGGTCCTGGCAGGAGGTGGGGTGAATTTCCTGATGTCCAGGGCCTTTGACTGGAGTCTCAGAGCTTGTGCCAGGGTGAGGTTGCCAAGGACTCCCCATGAGTTGGAGGACTTACCCTTCCCAGGGAGGTGTGAACCAAGGAGACCCTCAAGGGTGTGATCATCACTTTGCATGACTTAAAATCCAGTCTTCTCTGACCTGGTAGTGATTCGAGGGAAGGGAATGGATAAAGGAAAGAAGATCTGGAACCACAGAGGGAGAGCCTTGTGGGGAAGGTGTGGGGGGTACCCAGCCCAGGCTGGTCCCTAGGGAAGGAAATGCTCAAGGGTGACTGTGCTCAGAGCAGCCTGCTGGGAAGCAGAGAGTGAGGTCAGACAGGCCTGACTGCAGAGCCAGGAGGCATGGGCTTGGTTCCAGATCGGCTCCTGGTGTGCTGTGCAGCTTCAAGGAAGCCACTTAACCTCTCTGGGCCTTAGTGTCCTCATCTTTAAAATGGGGTTAAAATTATCTGTTTGGGCCCACCTCAGTGGGCTGTGGTCAGGTTCAGTAGTGTCAAAATGCTTTGTGAACTCTGAAGTCCTGTAGAAATGGGAGAAATCTGTTTGTAGCTGTCTTTTCTAGAGGGCTGGGGTTCAAGTAGACAGGGCCTGAGGGTTCACACTGAGGCCACATTAGAGGGTGGGAGGTCTGGGCCCAGAGGAGACATGTCGGGAGTAATGCAGCTGGAGAGGAGCTGGGGAGCAGGGAGCTCGCCACCTCTGGCAGGGAGTGCCCAGGGGCACCTCTGCACTGCCAACTGTGCCTGCGGGTTGTCTAGAGAGGGTTGGGCAGGCCTGGGCTGGAAACCTGGCACCTCCTTGGGCCTTTGTTCTCTCACCTATAAAGTAAGAATAAGATTATGGTGAAAGAATATATAGACGGCATCCAGTGTAGTGCCTGACCCCAGGCCAGCATCCCATGGAGATTCACTCTCTTCCCTTCCCCTGTGCACATCAGTGTCAAAGTGCATGGGCGACCAGGAAGAACCAGATATTTTCACTGCAGCCCTCTGCGTGATCCTGGGTTGTCAGTAAATCTCAACTAGATCCGTGCAGGGCGAGAAGGGAGGGACATCCTGGCGCCTCCTAGCTTCTCAACCAGTTGCAAGAGATCAAGAGCAGTGGTGTGACGGGAGACGCTAGGAAGTGCTGATGGGAAGCCTGCTTTGGCAGGTGGAGGGGCCCACCACCATCCACCCCCATCCCCGGCCTCCTGATGCCCTTACCCCCAATGCCACAGACAGTGATGCTCTGGAAGAAACCGCCCCAGAAGTATGTAATTGATTTCCCCTCTTGCTAGTTCTTAACCTGCGCCTTTCGGTGGTAGGAAAGGATGCCTGATTAGAATATCTCTGAAGAGGGCAGTGAGTTATAGTAATGGACACTCTTCTAGCTGTCTCTTCCGCTCATAAATCTATCCCCCTCTGAAAGTGCAGTTGGTCCATAATCGTCCATCATGCCGGAGTTCAGCACCGGACAGCTCCCGGGTGGGTTTTTCCTAGGAGGCTCCTTTTTCTGCAAGCTAAACGGAACTGCGACTCCGCACAGCCTCGCCCTGTAATGGAGTGTGAGCAGTCCAGCCGTCAGGAATGATTTAGGAGGGAGCGAACGATAAATATCCAAGAGGTTGGAGCTCAAAGCAGGGAGGCAACGGAGGGGGAGGTAGGGAAAGGGAGAGAGGGAGGAGCCACTGCAGCTGTACTTACATTTTGGTTGTGCTTTTTGTTTTTTATTGATTGATTATTTTTTCAGGGTGAGGAGGTGGTAATGTCCTAAGAAGAGGTGGCTTTGAGTGACCTTTTAAAGACATTCTCCCTTGGCCTCCTTTTCCCTCCATTCCAAGGACAAGTCTCTATCGGGTCTCCCACATGGAGGATTGAGGTCAATGGGGCCGTTTGGTTGGGAAAATGTAACTAACTGGGTAGTTGACATTTAGGGATAAGTAGATTTCCCCACAGTGCTGCCGGGCTCCTCAAATTAGTCCCTCTGATGCCATAGCTCTTTCTTTCAATGAGATGACCCAAGTCCTCAAATTTCCCACCACATTTGAGCCCAGGGAGCTATAAACTCCTCATCTCCAGGGAAGGCCGCACCCCACAGGCTGCCCTCACCCACCTGTGGAATCTCCAGGGATGAGCCCACCCAGGGGGCTGGGGATGCAAAGGGGGCAGCTCCCTGCCACCATTTGTCCTTTGGCTCAGTTTCCTCCGTCTGCTTCTCCCTGATGCAGGGCCCAGCACATAGCAGGAATGGGCACAGGGGTGGTGTTGCCCAGGGTTGGGGGAAAATTGGCTCAGGCCTCAACATTTTTGAAGGGCTTGGACATTTTCTAGAGAGTCATCAAGGCTGGGTATGCCCAACGCTGAGTGCGCTAAACTTCTGCAGTTCCTAGACACCCTCCTGCTTTGATACACTCCTGTCTTTGCACACAAGCCTAAAGAAAATCCCAGGCAGAGGATAGTCCTTGGGATGGTGACCCCACCTTGGACTGTGGGCAATATTTCATGGCTCTTCAGCCCTCTTCCTGCTTCTCTGCCTGCCCAGAGGCTGAGGAAGCAAGGGCTGAGCTTCAAGGGTGATGAATGAGCGTCTGCCTCCCACGGGTGCAGGTTGCTCGGCCAGGTGTTGGCTTGTGGCCGTGCTGCAGCAGGAAGGCTGCCTGCTCTCCCCTATCCAGGCTCCCCACTCCAAGGGTCTCCCTTCCCTCCACCCAGGAGCCAGGTCCTCTGAACTCCAAATGGGGCCGGGAGGCTTTCTGAGGAGCAGAGCTGGGGGCCACCTGCAGATTCATCTTCATAAATGCTTTGCCCACGTCACCTGCTTGTCTGCCCACCAGAGGGGCTACTGCCAGGATGTGAGGATAAGCTACATGCCCTCCATCGAAGAAGGGGCACTGCCAATGGGAGGGCTGTGTGCCAACTGTGACTCCTCACTAGCCCTTGAAAACAGAGTTTGCTTCGGAGGCTTCCTGAGCCCCTGGGGTCTGCCCAGAAGGGAGCGTGTACACTCTGGAAGCTCAAGCTGCATCCCACGCTCATTTGCCAGATGTCAGCCAGCTTTGAGGCTGCCACTGGGCCATGGCAGATTGCTCTGGAAGCAGAGGGAAAGTGCTGCTGCTCCTCCTGGCTGTGACAGTGACCCAAGCCCCCAAAGCCAGTTCCTTCCCAGATGCTTGCAGGCTGGCAAGTGACTCCCTTCTCATCCCTCAGCCCTTTCCTATTGCAGGGAGGCCCTGAGAGGGTGGCAGTCCCCAGGCCTGACCCACTGAAGGATGCAGAGCTAAGGTGAGCTGTGTGGCTCTGGCAAGCTCCCAGGAACAGTAATGACCCCTGTAAAGGGCTCAACAAGAGGAAGCGGGCTTCCCATCTCCCACCTGCTGCACCCAACACCACAGAAGCACTTGAGTGATGCTGTTCCTCCTAGAAATGGGCACCTGAAGATTTGCAAAATAGCCTGGAAATGCAAGATCCTGAGTTCTCATCATGCCTCTCTAGCTAGACAGTAAGCAATCTGCCCAAACAATTGGTCTCCATTCGCCAACTTGGATCTGCATGGTAATGAACCCTCACTGCGGGCTCGCATTGGTGCATTGCTCCACACACCACCGGCCACGGGCAGAACATGCCTCTCTCGCCAGCTCTCGGCACGCAGCCATCTCTGGCCAAGGCAGAAGAGAGCTGAGCAGGACATTACTTCTTCAGTAATCCTGGCAGCATCAAACAGGACAAAGGTCAGGACCGAGCCCCCGCTGCAGGGAGGCTTGGGGAGGAGGTCCAGCTGGGTGGGCAGGTGGAGTCACTGAGTACTCTGCATCTGTTGGTGGCCTCAGCTGCCATTACAGCCCTTCTCCTGGCTGCAAAACGTGCTACCGTTATCATCACCCAGGGTGGCAAGGTGGGGCTTAAAAACTCACTTCACAAAACAGTGGACCTCTCGCAACCATCTCTCGTGTCTCCATCTCCAGGAAAACTGCCCTGGGATGGTTATGAACTTGGGAGAGCATCCATCCCACATCTCTGCCACAGCAATGGCTCAGCACAAACACTGAAAGAGTAAGTGGCTCCTGGAAATAAACTCTCCAGACCCAGGGAGCTTTCTTGAGATGCCCTAGCTCAATGTTTTTCTTGATATTGTGGAAAACAATAGCAAATCTGCTCCTGTTGCATGCCAGTGCTGTGTCTTTCACCAGCATCATTTCCAATCCCAGTGACAGTGGGATCAGAATATCAATAATCTTCCTTTGACACCTAAGACAATGAGGCTTAGAAAAGCTGAAAGCTTTGCAGGAGCCCCCTCCTAATGAAGGCTTTGAGAAATCTGTCTAAACCAGGCCTGCTTGGTTCCCAGCCTTCATGTCCCCCAGCACAATGCCCCCACGTACTTCTTACTTGCAAACTAATGCTTGTGACAAGTGAGCTCAGGGCCAGCTGGCCACATGCAGTGCCAGCAATCCAATACGCTTGTCTGGGTGCTTTGCAATTGAGCTGTGTAGACAGTCGGCTGTGTAGACAGCTGGGAAGGCAACTTCTGGGCAAGGGACTTGGGGAGCTCCAGTGCTGCCGGTCAGCTCACTGAACATCCCAGGCCCCCCTTGAGAACCCAAAACAAGCCTGGTATCCTCCCTCTGGGGCATGCATATATGAACACACAGGCCCAGAGGGGGCTTCCCAGACCCCTAGAAGCTGCTTGGTCCGTCCTCAACCCCTGCCTAGGAGTCCCTGTCTCAGCGGCTGGGGACCCAGCTGTGTCTCCTCTGTACCCCCTCCCTTCGGGGTCGTGCTTGGCCACCATTGCCTTTGGATGCTGCGTGACACATGTTCCATCTTCCCTGTGAAAGCGAGCTTCTCCAGCCAGGTCCTCAGCTCTGCAATCTACTAGCCCAATCTGTTACACTTGACATGGAGAAGGGAGAGGAAGAGAGCTAAATTCTACTCAGGGCGTGCTTGGTGCCAAGCTCTGTGCTTGGAAGCTTGCCTGGGCACCCCACCTGTGCCATCTCACTTAATGACTTGGAACTCTCCCCCAGCCCATCAGCATTCCAGTTCGGAGTGCGTAGCCCCAGCCTCCGCTGAACACCAGGTTGCTCCACAGAGCAGCTTCTTGCTCTTCCTCTCTCTCTCCCTTCTTTCCTGAGGTGCCCCTCTTCTCCCTGCCACCCACCCCCCTGTATTTTTTACTGTTTATGAATCACAGCTCAAAACCCACCCTCACCTGCAAGTCCTCTTGCCCCTCCTCATCACACCCATCTCTTTTTTCCTGGCCCTGACGTTTCTCTGTGTCACTTTTTATATTTATTTCATAATTGTTGGTGTGCAGGTAACATTGAGAGTAGTTCAAAGATCAGTTTCTGCTCCTGCATTAGAATCCAGATTCCTGGCTGGGCATGGTGGCTCATGCCTGTATGCCAACACTCTGGGAGGCCAAGGCGGGTGGATCACCTGAGGTCAGGAGTTCAAGACCAGTCTGGCCAACATGGTGAAACCCCATCTGTACTAAAAATACAAAAATTAGCCGGATTCAGTGGCGTGCACCTGTAGTCCCAGCTACTTGGGAGGCTGAGGCTGGAGATTTGCTTGAACCGGGGAGGCAGAGGTTGCAGTGAGCCAAAATTGTGCCACTGCACTCCAGCCTGGGTGACACAGTGAGACTCCGTCTATAAAAAAAAAAAAAAAAAGCCAGATTCCTGAAAGCCCGGCTCGCAATTCCAGCTCTTTGGCATCCTGTACTGTGCACCTTATGGGGTCCTCTGTGCCTGCTGAAGACTCACTGCTGCCTTCCCTCTGCCTCTAACATCTCTCTTGTCTGCTAGGACACTGGCGATGGTAGAGCTCCCACATCACCACCGTTTGGATGAGAACTTTCTCACCTGCGCTCCATGGGAAAATTAGATGTCTGTGTTTCTGTGTCATGCTCAGAAGGGCTTCTGTGTCTCGGCTCCAGTTAGGAGTGGGCGTGTTGGGGCCGGACCTGGAGGGGTCTAGCTGAACGTTTAGCTCAGGGACCTGGCTGCCATAGCCTCTCTACGTCCTGCTGCCATTGCAAGAGTGTCCTGATTTTCTGTTCTTTTTCTTTCCCTGACACTGAGAAGTTGGTGCAGACACAGGGAAGACATGAGGTAGAGACCCCAGCATCACTGTACGTTGTAGAAGGGAAATGAGCCCATAGAAGACTGTGGTGTCCCTATGCCCTGGGCTCCTGCATGGTCTTTGAGCCCATTGCAGTTCTCATCTGACCTGTGCTTTAGACCATCTCAATCTGCAACATAAAGGCCACCAATCCAATCACTGAGCTGCCTCGTGGCACATGGATATTGGCAGTGGCACGGGGGCCTCTAGGATCTGCTCTGTTGGGACCCTTGGGCCTCTGTGAATGGCTCCAGGTGGAACCACCAGTTACATTTAGGATCCAGTGTTGCTGTGACGGGAGCTTTTGGCAGAATGTGCCGGACTCTGAATGTGCAGGGAAGGTGGCTTCTCAGGAGGCTGAATAATCTGTTTTCCCCCTACCTGTTAGCGATGGTGACAGACGGACTCTGATTCTGAGACCTAGAACAGCACCTCAAAGTTGTTTTTGCTGCAAACAGTGGCAGTTCTGCTCCAAGGTTTTAGGGGGAAGACAGACTCACACCGAGAGCAGGCGGGCAGGGCTCCTGCGTTGAGGTGCCTGGTTTTAGTTGAGGGCTCTATTGGCAACGCCCAGAGGGTGGTGAGCAGCCACTCTCCAAACAGAATGTGGGGACAGACTCGTGGTTTCGTTGCAAAGGATTTTGGAGGGATGGGAGGAAGAACTCATTCTGGCAGTAGAGCTGGTTAGATATGGGCAGGGTTTGCCAAGGGAGGGCAGGTATACGGATTTCCCTGCTGGGAAGTGTTTAAAATAGCACTGATCCTCACAGAACCAAAAGCTGTTAATGAGGGCTACTGCCTGAAGGCAGGAAATGACCAGATGGGCATTCTCCAGTCTGTGCCCCAAGTGGCACGACGTGGGATCCTGCTGCATGGCCAAGGTGTTCAGATCTGTCTCTGGCAGAGGCTGCCAGCACTGGTAGGGGTCTGGACTGCCAGCAATGCCCCTCTGGTCCTGGGAGGTCCCTCTGGTGGCTTGGGATCAGGGTCAGCACCAAGAGCGGCTCCATGCAGGAGTGAATTCCAGTCACTCCCTCCAGGAGACACACCAGCAGTGGTCAGGAAGCAAGTCCACCACAGCCTTCTGGAAAGGTCTCTAGTCTCAGGAGACACCAGCCACTCAAGCCTCCCACATGCCACCAAAGAAGATAAGCTGGCCCAGAGAAGACCAGCAGCCCAGAGAAGACCAGCAGCCTGGACAAGACCAACAGCCCAGACATAGACCAGCAGCCCAGAAAGGACCAGCAGCCCAGACAGGACCAGCAGCCCAGGCAAGACCAGCAGCCCGGACAAGACCAGCAGCCTGGACAAGACCAACAGCCCAGACATAGACCAGCAGCCCAGACATAGACCAGCAGCCCAGAAAGGACCAGCAGCCCAGACAGGACCAGCAGCCCAGGCAAGACTAGCAGCCCGGACAAGACCAGCAGCCTGGACAAGACCAACAGCCCAGACAGGACCAACAGCCCAGACATAGACCAGCAGCCCAGACAGGACCAGCAGCCCAGACAAGACCAGCAGCCTGGACAAGAACAGCTGGCCCAGCAGCCCATACAAGACCAGCAGCCCAGATATAGCCCAGCAGCCCAGACATAGCCCAGCAGCCCAGACAAGACCAGCAGCCCAGACAAGACCAGCAGCCCGGACAAGACCAGCAGCCAGGATAAGAACAGCTGGCCCAGCAGCCCATACAAGACCAGCAGCCCAGACATAGCCCAGCAGCCCAGACAAGACCAGCAGCCCAGACAAGACCAATCTGCCCAGGCTGCTCTTGGAGGGGGTTCTCTCAGGATTCTCAGGCTGAAAGTAGGCCGAGCCCTGGGTCATCACCACTCCGGCAGCCCAAGTGGGACCTCCTGGGACAGGGCTTCATCTCCGCACTTGCAGGAGCCCCCGTTCTGCCTCTTTCCTTTCTCTGCATCTCCTACCTTCCTCGCCTCTTCCTTTCTGCTGTGGATCACTGAGCCCCTGGGTCCCCTACTTCTTGGTGATACAGTGCGACTTTTCTTCCTTCCCGGCTCCAATATGTCAAAACTTTGTAACAGGAAAGAAAAGCAGGAAAAACCGTCTGGGAAGTAGGTGACCTAAAAAACAACCACCTGACTATAATGAAATCCGCTTTTCCAGTGGGCTGCCTCCGGGAAAGCCACATCCGGTGCTGGCTTCCTTTCCCTCCGCCCACCCTCATGTCTTCCCTCCTTCCACAGTCAAATTTCTTTTTTTTTTTAATTATTGTACTTTAAGTTTTTGGGTACATATGCACAACGTGCAGGTTAGTTACATATGTATACATGTGCCATGTTGGTGTGCTGCACCCAGTAACTCATCATTTAACATTAGGTATATCTCCAAATGCTATCCCTCCCTCCATCCCTTTTTTTTTTTTTTTTTTTTTTTTTTGAGATGGAGTCTCGCTCTGTCACCCAGGCTGGAGTGCAGTGGCGCAATCTCGGCTCACTGCAAACTTTGCCTCCCGGGTTCACACCATTCTCCTGCCTCAGCCTTCCAAGTAGCCGGGACTGCAGGCGCCCACCACCACACTCAGCTAATTTTTTTGTAATTTTAGTAGAGACAGGGTTTCGCCGTGTTAGCCAGGATGGTCTAGATCTCCTGACCTCGTGATCCACCTGCCTCAGCCTCCCAATGTGCTGGGATTACAGGCATGAGCCACCGCACGTGGCCCCACAGTCAAATTTCAACATCCAACTCTTAGTATGAAATTTGCCAGTAAGACCTCTCATTAGGCAAATCATGAAACCCTCACCACTATGGTATGGCTGAGACCGTTGCTCAACTGCATTGCTGAGAGGGGGAGCCATATGGTGTAAGGGGTGGTGGCTATGAAGATAAAGTGGGGAGATTTGCTGCTGTTTGTATTTCCCAGACCTCCCCAGCTCCTCTGCCCCCAGCAGTTTCATCTCCTGGGTTTTGGCTCAGCAGCATCCTCCGTGCTGGAGTTTTGGGTGAAGCACACAGACCTCCTTCTCCTCTTCCCTCCTTGCTGGACTTCTTGGCTGCTGGCTGAGCAAACACCACCCGGAGCATCCAGATCTTCAGGCCCAAAATGCTCCTGTTCCACTCATGATAGGAATCAGCCATCACCATGGCAAGGGCTCCGGCTGACACCTCCCCAGTTGTAAGCTCTGTCTACTCAGCAACTTTGTCAGCAGCAGCCAGGCAGTTTAGGAGATGAGGCCTGAGTAACAAGGGGCTGGAGGTTTTTCCCAATCCACAGACAGTTTTTTTAAAGGGGGTAAAGACATTTCTAGAAATGATGAAGCGGCAAGCTTAACTTCCATTCCTAGAAAAATAATCATGAAACCGACAACTCAAGATAGGGAAGTTAGCATGTTACTTGAGAATTGTCCTGCTCACATAAAGAACAAGATTTGCCAGCCAGATCGAATCTCTTTGCCTGCCGAGTGATGGCCCAGGTAGACAAGGTGGCACCCTTAGGTTCACCATGGCCTCATCGAACATTGCAACTTTTTTTTTTTTAAGATTGTGATTCTTACATAACAAGTGCCTAAAGTACCTACTAGTTACCTGGAAAGCAGCTAGTTAATTAGTGGAAGCCAGAGTTTAGGGATTCCTTGCCAATTTGCAGACAATTTCAAGTCTGTGTTTGTCCCCTTTGAGTTTGAGACCACGTCCAGGGGAGAAACATCCCCTTCACTAGAAGGCCCTGCCACGGGCATCGGTGCTGCTGCCAGTGCCTGCTCAGGACTCAATTGCCAGCAGAACCCTCCAGGGTGGACCCAAACCACCAGCCTCTGTGTGGAAGCCAGATGTGCTCACCCTGAGCCCCACAGGTGAACCCTGGTGAGGCTGAACCCGTGGGGGCTTCACCAGCTCAAATCTGCGTCTTTGTTCTGAGGTCCGTGTGGGTCTGAGCCAAGGCCATTGGCCTGACTGCAGAATCAATAGCAACTTCCTTATGGCCGTTCTGTTTGAAAAGAAACATCTAAAATTTGATGTATTGGGTCTGGTTTGGTGGAAAGAGTGCAGACTTTGGAATACGAATGAACTGGGTCTGCAATTTCAGCCGGGCCATATGCTGACTGTGTGGCCTTGAGAAAGTGGCAATTGGAGCCTGCACCTCTTTGTCTGAATGAGGGGGGTGGCCGTGGGGGAGATGGGAGGAGTGTTCCATGAGGGAGCATATGGGAAATGCCAGCTCCTTGTCGGTCTTCATGGAGGGTCAGCTCCTTTCTTTGAAGGATGTGTATGTGCACGTGTCCGTGCACATCTGTGTGTGTGCGTGCACATGCACATTTGCGGGTGAGTGTGCATATCTTGTGTGCAGGCATATGTGCACCTGTGTGTGTTTAGCCTGGGTAATCAGGCAGTTGGAAGCTAGGGCTGCCAAATAAAAACACAGGGTGACTGGTTAAATGTGAATATCAGATAAGCAATGAAAAATTAATATAAGTACTTCCCAAATATTGCATGGTATGAACTTATACTAAAACAATGAAAACATTATCTGTTATCTGAAATTTCTAATTTAACTGCATATCCAGGGGTTTTATTTCCTAAATGTGGAAACTGTCACTGGAATGAGGTTTGCTATTTCGGCTGTAAGATTAGGCCCACAAAAGCAGATGTGCAGGGGTCTGGGGCCGTGGTGGCCTTGTGGGGAGGGGCTCTGGGAGGAAGGACACAGGCTGTGTGGCCCAGGCTCCTCATTTTGCTCAAGACCTCCCTTCCCTTTCTCACGTTTGGAGCTCCTTCCATTGCATTGAGCAGAGCGACGAGCTGCCCACATCCTGAGTAACAGTCCCTGGCTGGGAGCAGAGGTGGGAGCCATCGCCCCTGCCCAAGGAGGGCTGCCCACAACTCAGGTGGGCCCTGAGTCTGTACTGAGCTGGACAGCACCGACCACAGCCTGCTGGCCTGGCCCCATCTACATGCTGGCCTGGGCTTGGGGTGGTGTTCTCTGGAAACTTCTCTGTTTGTTTCATGGGTGACGTTCGATCTTCCCGAAACAGGATCCTGCAGAGTTCAGAGCACCTGCCAGACAGTCACAAAGCCACTGCATGGCCTCGTCCTCAGCCCCAGCCCCTCCACCCTCCACCATCACCAGCCACCCCTTCTCCTCTTCCGCGCAGCCTCTCCCGCCCTCTCCAATTTTTACTTGGCAAATTATACCCTGGTGCTCCCAGCCTGCTCAGTGGGTGCTGTCGAGCCTTGGCAGATTCCAGTGCCAGCAGCAGGGGGCACAGATACTTGCAAAGGGGAACTAATAGGGAATGAAATAGCTTTCCTCCCCCAAAGACCCCTCCCAGAGCTGCTGGCGGACCCACCCCTTGCGGAGTGAATTGTTTCCAATCCAATCTCGTGTTTATTGAAGTTTCCTCCAGGGTTAGCTCGGGAGGCCTCTCCCCAGCCCCTTCCGCGTGGCCTTATTTACCAGAATCCCCTCGGCGCGCCATTTAAGCGTCTCCATTAACATTTCCTGCATCTTGCTCATTGCAAGCAAGGCCCTCAGAGACCCCCAGGGTGGCGGCACGGGCGGCAGCCCGCAGAAACGCCAGGCTTATTTTAATTGGTTTGAAACTGTCGCTGTCGACCACAGAGGGGTCCCTTTCCTTGAGTAATGACCTGGAATTTGATCACGTGGCTTTTATGAGCTTGTAACACTGAAAGTGTAACCGTGTGAGATCAAAGCAAGGACCAGGGTGCACATCTGTCTGGCCGCAGTGGCCAGCAAGTGTGAAGGCGCGGCCTGGGAGACACCGCTCTTCCCCTACCCCTGCGGGTCCCATCTGTCGGGGGATGGGAGAGGTGGCTCTTTTCACGTCCCCTCTGACTTCCTTGTCGGCCTGCAGATGGTGGTGTGAGAAGAGGGAAAAGCCGCCTCTGCATCCAGCACTTTCTGGCCTCCTTCTCGGTATGGAGAATGCTTTGCTCAGAAGACCAGGGTCTGGGTCCCCAGAGAGAAGGATGCAGGGGAGCCTACCTCCTGGAGACATGGATGGTCTAGAGTCTGGAGGCCATCACTAGGGATGAAATGGTTTTACTTCCTCTTGGGAAGTGGCTCCCTCCGGAATCACTCCATCGTGTACGTCATCCATTTACTTGGTCGTCAGGCCACCAGCCGGTGAGATTCTACAGAGCCACTAATCATAGAAAACACTGTGCTTTGACACCAGCTTTGTGTCACGCATGTATAATCAGGGTCTCTCACTCCTGCAGCGGGCCATCAATCTAACCATGCTCGTCTCAAAAAATTTTTGGAGAATTTTTATAATTAAGGTAAAAGATAAATATCTATCCTCCTCTACCTGCAATTAACAATAACTAACACTTTGTTCTCTTGCATTAGTCTTAAAAAAAAAAAAAAAAGGAAGGATCACAGACAAAGTCCAAGTCCCCTCCAGCACACCCAGCCCCGTTCCCCTCCCCTACACCCAGAGGCCGCTCTGAGCATCGATTTGGCATCTATTATTTCTGTCCCTTGAGAAAAACATTTATACACACATGTAAGCGTGGACCAGAGCTCACACTGTTTTATGTCTTCTTCAAATGCACATGCATGGCCTCTTCCTGCAACTCACCTCTTTGACTGAACATGGTTTCTGCAGCTCTGGTGTGTTTCTGATACGTTCCTTTTATCTACTGTGGAGAATCTGACTTAGAAACCTGCCCCATTTTCTTTGTCCACTCTTTCATTCATGAAACTCCCAGTGGTTTGCAAAGTGCAGCTATTTCAGAGAATGCCGAGTGAGAGTCTTGGTGGCTGTCTCCTGTCTCAGGCGTGGACCTGGCTGTGAGTGGCCGATCTTGTCCAGGTCCTGCGAGGCCATCTGCACCTGCCTATCCCACCAGCTCCGTATGCGATCTCAGTCTCCTCCCAGCATCACTGATGCTGAGGCCGATCGTTCTCACTGTGCCCACGAGAGAGCCCAGCTCTGGTGTGTTGTGTTTGTTGGAGCTGCCTGACTGCCATGCCTCTCTCCTCTGCTTCTCAGCAGGTTTGGGGGTCCTGCACACTCCCAGGGAGCCATGGTTACCCCAGCTCCTACTTTGTCACTCGGGAAAGCAGCCTGCACCTCAGAAAGATTTAGAGCAAAACGTAAAGCCCTTTTAGTAAAAAAACAACAAGAGTGACCCATTCAGAAACTTTTGGGCTTTCTTGTTAGACCCCATTGTCTGTAGCCCCCTCCATGAATGATCATGAGCCTGTGACTGAAACACCATGTGGGGGCTGTGACCACTCGCTGCCCTCTGAGGCCACCTGGCTACCTGAGCCCCCAGGCCAGTTTGCAGGACCCTCCCAGCAGTTGCGGGCAAGAGCCGGACATGCAAGTGAGGATGAACAGCCTCCCTCTTTTCAGAGGCTGAAGGTATTTGGTGCAGCCCCACAGTAGCTCCTGGAGGTGGGAGGACAAGCAGGGGAGCCTCTTGTCTTGTGGGGGTTGTGGTGGGCTCAAGACCTGGGCTCTGAAACTTGGGAGCAAGCGGCCCCCCACCCCGAGGCAGAGATGCTGCTGCCCCAGGAGCCTTGCTGGGAGGTCGGGGCTGAAGCCACAGCCCCCAAGGATCTGGGGGTGGGAAGGGGAGGCTCTGAGCAAGGGGTACCCATGACGGAGCACAGGCCTGGCCTGGCCTCACTTTATCTCCAGGAAGAAAAGATGAGGTCCCGCCCCGCCCATCTCTCCCTTGCTCCCCTGAGTGTGTTACTGGACTCTCGTCAGGATTGTAGGGGTTCTGTGGCTGCTCCCCTACACTGACCAGAGCCCTGGATGGTTGGGCCTGGGACCTGCAGGGGGGTCTGGGGTGAGACCTCAGGGTGGAAACAGGTAAACAGGCCCAGCACAGCTTGACTAAATGAATGAGTACATGAATGAGTGAGTGAAGAAGTGAGGCATGGACCCAGGCTGCTATATTCACTGTGCTTCACTGGGAGGTCCGTGCTCTGGACGTTTGTGAGGACATCCATCCCATCTTTGGCACTTCACTAAGAAAGCCCCTGGAGCCAGGTCGAGCCTCCCCCAGCCCTGCCTGCCCTACCCCTTTGATAATTCCCACCCCAGTGGGGTATGCAAGAGCCTGGAAGGTGCCAGAAGCAAGGGGGGCAGCTATTAAAGAGTTCACATTACAGATGGGGAAACTGAGTCTGCAGCTGGCTGACCTTAGTGAGAGCAAGAGCAATGTAGAGGTGCCGCGCTGAGCTCTTGAGCCAGATGCCCTGGGTTTGGGTCCCAGCTCTGCCAGCATGCAGGCTGTATGCCTTGGAGTAGACTCTCCCAGCATCCTACATCTCAGCTTCCTCCTAGGGTCACTGGAAGGGTTAATGAGTTATACTGCAGAAAGGGCTTCCCTCGGTCCCACTGTGGCCCTGCAGCCCTGTCTAAGCTGCCTGTCCTTTCTCTCCCACTCCTGCCAGCTCTCTCCCCCTCGAGGAGATTACAGCAGCTACAGAGAGCTGCCCCTCCATCCTCACATGTGCTCAGGCCAAGGAAGACCTGCGGGCAGCAGCAGCACAGTTTATTAAGCCAATAAAATCTTAAGTGCATGAACTCCAGAGACCCCTGAGGTCTTTTTATGTGCATGAAGGAGCTGGAGGGTTTCCTGGGCCTGAGTCTTTCTTACTGCTTGGAACAGGTGGGTGTACAGCAGTCTGCCCTCTCCCCTGTGTCCCCTTCCCAGGAAGGCACCTGTCACCTGACAGCCAGCCCCACCACCTGCCCCCACCTTGGGGACCCTGGTCTGGTCTGGCCTAGTATCCTCACTCAGACATTCCGAGAGCACAGGACAGCGCCTGGCAGACTCATGCTCCTGCCCTCACAGTGCATCTGGTGGCCTGCCTCCTGCCTACCACACCTCATCCCATCAAAAGTGCTCAGACCACAGCCCCTTCCTCATCTCTGCTGCACCCTAGAAAGGTGGGTCAGGCCATGGCTTGCTGCCACCGGCTCTCTGTCTTGTTGAGAATCTCCCTTCGCCCTCTTTTTTTTTTTTTCTTAATCTGCTGTTTTCCTTGTCTCTCCCCTGCCTGCTCCCTTTTTCTTCCCAGCCCTCTTCTTTGTCTCCTGAAACTTCTCCTGGTGTGCCTAATTCCTGGAGGCTGCAGAGGCTTTGGAGATGCAGCCCCACCTCGTTGTGCACACACAACCCTGAGAATTGATTCAGAAAACGATTAGTTACAGTACGGTAGCGCTGCTAACTGTGGCATTTTGCTTTGCAGTTATTGATACATCATCAGAATTGAGAAATGATAGTCAGGAAGGGGGAGGAGAAGGGAGAGGGCAGATGCCTGTCCTGAAATGTCAGCTCTGACGGGGAGGGATTTTCAGGCCCGAGCTGAAGCTGGCACCTGGGTTGTCCTCATCACAGCCGCGCCTGACCTTACATTCAGGAGGGCCGGTTTGTTCCAGGTTCGTGAGAATGCTGTCCTTGCCCCCAAGCAGACATGAGGCTTTGGGCTGCCTCCTTCCTGTTCCCCGTTTCTGCCATCATGGGGGCACTGCTTCCCACTCCACCAGCCAGAACTGCATGCTGGGCAGAGCATGGGGAGGTGGGATGTCTGGTTCTGTTGATGGACAGAGTCAGCTCCAGGAGCCCAACCTGCGAGAGACCCCAGAGGGCCTGACTCAGAGTTCTCCAGGTAAACAAAGTCAACAGGACCTAGGTAGGTAGGTAGATGATTGATTGATTGATTATTGATTGATTGACAGATAGGACAGACAGATTTTAAGGAATTAGGTCATGTTATTGCGAAGGCTGCCGAATCTGAACTCTGTAGGATGGGTGGACAGGCTGGAACCTCAGGCAGGAATTGGTGCTGCAGTCTGTTTTTTTTTTTTTTTTTTTTGGAGATGGAGTCTCGCTCTTCTTACCCAGGCTGGAGTGCAATGGTGTGATCTTGGCTCACTGCAACCTCTGCCTCCCAGGTTCGAGTGATTCTCCTGCCTCAGCCTCCTGGGTAGCTGGAACTACAGGTGCCCACCAACATGCCTAGCTAATTTTTGTATTTTTAATAGAGATGGGGTTTTGACATGTTGGCCAGGCTGGTGTTGAACTCCTGACCTCAGGTGATCTACCCGCCTCGGCCTCCCAAAGTGCTGGGATTATAGGCGTGAGCCACTGCGCCCAGCTGGTGCTGCGGTCTTGAGGCAGAATGTTTTCCCCAGGGAACCTTAGTTTTTGCTGTTAAGGCCTTTTAACTGACCGGATGAAGCCTTTCGACTGACTGGATGAAGCCCACCCACCCACATTAAGAAAGGCCATATCCTGTGCTGAAATCAATTCATTTTAGGCATTAGCCACACTTACCAAGTACCACCCCAGCAACACCTAGGTACGTGCTGGACTGAATCCCAGGGGACGAGAGCCTGGCCAAGTGGACGCATAACACTGACCATCAGATGCCCCGAGACCCCAAGAGCTGATGACCAGGGTTCAATGGATGGGCCTAGAGGGCAGTGAACTCCTGGAAACAGCAATGTTTCTGTGTGTTATGGAAAATGGGCTCCTAACTTGCATTAGATGTTTAATGCCGAGGCAGCGCTGGGGGTGACTTGTCTGTGCCATCGGTGAGCAACAGAGCGGTGCTCCCTCCACAGAAGGGCCCGGGCAGAGGCTGGGGAATGCGGGAGGAGGGTGGAGGTCCTTCTCCTCTGTGAGCCTGCAGGAGCTCCACCTCGCCGACAGGACAGGACCCTCAGCAGTGGGGAAATGGGCAGCCACTGCTGACTGTCCTAGAAGCAGGACGGGGCTGGGGAGCAGGTAGGAGAGAAAAGAGAGGGGTGGGAGGGGCCCATGGGAGCCTCTACTGGGAGGAGTGCAGAAAAAAGTCTACAGGAACCTCGAGCTTGGTGACAGATTGCTCTGGGGACACAGAGGAGGTCTCGCCCTGGTCTGGGCAGGCTGGCAGGGCTGAGGTTTGCACCAGTCATGGGGAGAGGACCCTGGGAAGGAAGTAAAACTGACTGTGAAGGGCCTGGACCCCCAGGCTCAGGAATCTGGACTTAACCCCCAGGCCTTCAGGGAAGCTTCAAGGGATTTTAAACAACTTTGTGCTTTAAAAATCTACTCTAGGGGCAGGTTGGGGAATGCATGCTATGGAGGCCATGCTGCGGGCAGGGAATGCAAATAGGAGTTGGAACACCGCGTCCGGGGTAGCTGTGCATTCACACATTCATCCCTCATTCCTCATTCCCTGAGCACCTGCGGCTTGCCAGGCCCTGCTCCGGTATGGAGACCACGCAGCAGCTCCACGTGTCCTCGGGAAACTTCCGTTTTAGGGCGTTGTGCACAAATGAAGACAATGATGGCACTACTTTATGACTGTGGGGTATAAAGAACTACCTGAGACTGGGTAACTTATAAAGGAAAGAGCTTTCACTGACTCACCGTTCCTCATGTCTGGGGAACTTACAATCGTGGCGGAAGGCGAAGGGGAAGTGAGGTGCGTCTTACATGGTGGCGGGAGATGAGAGTGAGGGGGGAACTGCCAACCACTTTTAAACCATCAGCTCTCACGAGAACTCACTCACCATCACAAGAACAGCATGGGGGAAACTGCCGCCATGATCCAGTTACCTCCCACCAGGTCCCTCCCTCAACACATGGGGATTACAATTCCAGATGAGACTTGGGTGGGGACACAGAGTCAAGCCACATTATGATGCGACAGGCCATGAGTAGATGCGGCAGGTGATGGGGAGGGGGCTTCCCATACGATGGTTGGGGGCTTCTCCAAGGGGAGGCCTGAACATGCAGATGTCACCCAACACCTGGAGGAGGGGACAACATGTGCAAGGACCCTGAGGTCAAATCCAACCAGAAGGCCCCCATGGGTGGGGCAGAGGGAGCAAGGAGCAGGTGTGAGAAGCAGCAGGAGGGGGCGGGGCACATGCAGGGGATGGGGCAGTGCCCACGGGGCCAGAGCCACGGGGTGGGAGAGGAAGGCTCAGGAGAGGTGGAGGGAGGAAGAGTCCAAAGTTTCAGCGGAGACCCCAATCATGTGACACCCCCTTCCTGCCCTGTCTGCCTTCCTCCTTCCTGTGCAAAATCTACTCTCAGGTGCTTTGAGGAATACAAGCCACGTGAGGCTCTGTCTTAGTGGGCTGGGGCTGCTATAACAAGATGTCATACACTGGGTGGCTTAAACAACAAACATTTAGTTTTTTTTTTTTTTGAGACAGAGTCTTGCTCTGTTGTCCAGGCTGGAGTGCGGTGGTGTGATCTCAGCTCGCTGCAATCTCTGCCTCCCAGGTTCAAGCAATTCTCTTGTCTCAGACTCCCTGGTAGCTAGGACTCACCACACTCAGCTAACTTTTGTATTTTTAGTAGAGATGGGGTTTCACCATGTTCGTCAGACTGGTCTTGAACTCTTGGCCTCAAGTGATCCCCCCGCCTCGGCTTCCCAAAGTGCTGGGATTACAGGCATGAGCCACCACACCCGGTCCAACAAACAATTACTTCTTACAGTTGTGGAGACTGGGAAATCCAAGATCCAGGTGCCAGCAGATCTGGTGTATTGTCACTGGGGGTTGGGGGTGGGTGGGTGGAGAGAGAGGAGAGAGAGAGAGACAGACACTCTTATGAAGGCACTCATCGCATTCAGACAGCCCCACCCTCATGACTTTATGACCCCCACCAAAGGCCCCACCTTCAAATACCATCACATTTGGCCTTTGAGGGAACAGAAACACTCGGACCATGGCAGACTCAGTCCCTGCTCACAGCCAACACAGATCGGCAGAGTGAGCCGCTAAGAGGCAGAAGCCAG
This sequence comes from Homo sapiens, assembly GCF_000001405.40. Taxonomy (NCBI): domain Eukaryota; kingdom Metazoa; phylum Chordata; class Mammalia; order Primates; family Hominidae; genus Homo; species Homo sapiens. Next base: position 79,308,512 of record NC_000017.11, on the reverse strand, counting down.
GTGCCCCCTTGACGTTGCCCCCACCCAGTGTCTAGCAGGGAGGCCTGGTGGCCAGAGGCCTTCACACTGTCAACCCCAGAGAAGCCTAAGACCAAGAAGGAGAATTCACAGCTGCTCGTGGTGACACTGATGGGGTCTGATGAGAAAACAGCCTTACTTCCCATCGAGGGCCTAGCTAGGCTGCAAGTACAAACCACGAGGGCTGCTCAACCCACGCCGGCCGTTACAATTTCCTCTAGGATGCAGCCCAGCGCCCAGGAGCTGGGCCTGGTGCTGAGGATTCATCCCCAAGGAGGCTCTGCTGGCATGAGAGACCTGGGGCCCGGCTTGGGGACAGGCGACTCGGCCATTCCCCCGTCAGTCCAAACTCCAGCCTGACCCCGTCACCTGCTGGCACTCTCCCCTCTGACCCCAGCTTCGGTTTTGATACCGTGAGTCTCACCTACAATATCCAGGGCTGCAGAGCTGGGAGCATCTTCTACCCATGAGGTGGTGGACAGGGACACCTTCTTACAGCTTCTCCCAGCCTAACGCATTCCTGTTTGTATCGTTCAAAAGACATAGTGCCCGTGACACTCTGTCCTGTAATATTTTCAATCAAGAGTGCGGGAGAGCATGCGTCTGATGCACTCTAGATATTCAGAGATTGAACACCGTTTTGTTCTCTTGTTTTCTTTTTGAAATGCAGCTTGAAGTCACAGCAGCCAGAGGAAATTCTGCCACCATTTTCCCAGGTCTGCAGCCCCTCCAGCTGGGAACCTGCTCCTGGAGCCATCCCTCTGCAAACAGGTAAGAACCAACCTCTCTACGCAATGCTTTCTGCTCCCCCCGAGCTGGTTCTCAGATGGGGGCTTCTCCCAGGCCTCAGGGTGGCCCACCGCCATGGGGAACGATGCGTGAGGGTGTCTGCAGGAGGAGCTTTGGTCTGCAGAGAGGAGGGTCCCCACCATGGGGTTCCCTAACTCCTCTGTGCTTTTCACCTGCCCTTCCCCAGTCCCTTCACTAAAATGCAAATCAGCGAGTATATAATAGATAATTAATAGACTGATCAGCAAGCAAGGGAGGTAAGTAGATAAATAATTTTAATTATCCTTGGGTTGCCCATAAATTCCCTCACTGCCTTTTTATTAAACTCTCTGTTTACAGGAGTCATTAATATAAATGAAATGTCATTTCGCCTCCCCTGCCTCCTGGGTGGCTCCCACCGGGGCTGACCTAGGGTGGAACAGGACCGTGTGACCGCAAGATCTCCCGGTGGAGCTCGTCCCGGGCACAGGTGTCAAAAAGCTTTGCCCAAGTGGCCAGCTGGATGGCAACAGGGCGGACACGCTGCTCATGCGAGGCCCTCCTTCCGCGCCCCGAGGTGGCCGCAGCCTATATTTAGGCCTGAGTCGGAAACCTTTATTATACTTGGCACCTGTGCTGTAGGTATGAGCTCATTCTTCTCCCCAGGGATGGCCTTAGCCTATTAATAGCCTTGGCTGAGTTTCCCTCCTTGCTCCGAGTGCCAAGAGAGAAAGTGGGTTAATAAATATCAAAGAAAACTCCCTCAGAGGGCCTGGGGCCAGACTCTCCAAGAGTCGTGGATGTCGGGCCCCAGACCAGGAGAGGGGTTCCCTTTTCCCCCAGCCTCTCATCTTCCTCCTGACAGAGGCCCAACGCCCAGGCTGGCGGGTCTGAGGATCAGGCATGGCAAAGCTCTCCCAGGTGCCCGTGGAGCTGGGGGTGGAGGAGGACACCCGGCACGGGAGGCCTAGGAGGTTGGCTCAGGTGGGGCTGTTGGTATCTGGGCAGCCAAGAGAGGGAGGTAGGCAGGGCACCCTGGACCTTCTGGCACCTTCCTTCTTGCCTGCACCCTCTCACATCCTTCTGCCAACTCAGCAGCATGGAAGGGAAAGGGAGGAAGTGGCCTCGGGATGGCCCCTGAGGAAGACCCCACCCTCATCCTCTCCCAGGCTCAGAGGCTGCGGCAGGAATTGTTTAGCCTGAGTTGGAAACAGTAAGAGAAGGGAGCCCCAGGAACAAAGCAGGGAGGGGAGGGGCGCTCCTGAGGGCAGGTGTGCCAGGGTAGGCTGGCAGCAGGCTCCGTTGCACTGATTCCTTTGATCAGCCAAATTCCAAGAGAGTCACACGCGTGCGGGCCATGGCTGGCGCTCTGCATGGACGTGTGAGCCGCCCTGGCCTGGCGCGTTGTCAGCTAGCACTGCTGAGTGCCGTGGGCCGGGGAGATGTCTCACAGCCCCGTCTCGTTTATTTTCCGCCATTGCCGTGCATGGGTGCTCTTAGCAGGGCTCAGGGAGGTCACGGCCACCCAGCTGGGAACTGGCAGAGCTGAGGCTCAGGCTGGCGTTATCTGGCTGCAGCAGCCGCCGCCTGCAGGCCTCGGGTCAGGATGTTTTCTGCAGAGCATGGAGCCCTATCGGCTAGATTCCGTCTGTGCTTTCTGGCTTTCACCCGCTGGACATAAAGGCAGACTGTAGACGCTGCTGCTTTTATGAAACTCGACTCTAGCTGAGCTCTAGCAGGGCAGCCAGTGACGGCAGAGTCTGGGCAGCCTCCATCCACTGGCTTGCACAACTGCTGCCCAGGGCTCTACGCTAGAGGCTACGGCAGGTCAGCCCTGGATGGTTAGCCAGGTTATGCACTCTCTGCTGGTTGTTCTGCTCTCCTTGGAGGGAGGCTGCCTGCCCACAGCGGAGAGGGAATTCAGCCTGAGCAAACGGAAAGTCCTTTTTAAGTTTCACTCAATGCAATTAAAGTCTGAAAAATGGCCCAGCGGAGGCTCCCTGCCCTTTCAGGAGTTTGTTCAGCTCAGAGCTGTGTAGCTGGTACAGCCCCCACCCCAGCCCACACAGGCTGTGTGGGAGGAAGACGCAGGGCCAAAGGAGAGGCAGAAAGATCTGACCGTGACTTCCCCAAAGTCTTTCTCCCCTGTTCAGGGGCTCACTGGAGGGGGCGGCCGAGCCCATTTCATGTCGGTCTGTCCAGAGGAGGCGGACAAGGGGGCAGGGCTCTGCCCTGCCTTGGGAAATGGAGGTGGAAACACGTGGCTCTGAAACCAAACAGCAAGCCCCACTGGGACAGCTGTGCGTCGTCTTGATTTTTCTGATTATTTGGTGGACCTTTTTAGGGTTTCTTATCTGATTCTGTTCTGGGGAGTTGGGTGGGTGGAAAAGAAAAACATAATGATTGAAAGGCAGGATGAAACTGATCCCAGTAATAGCTATGACGGCAGGGCTTGGCCGGCCGCAGGGTTCCAAGCCCCCTGCCCCCACCTCTCCCTTTCCCCCCCACACAGGCAAGAACCCTTTAGTGGCTCTGCTTCAACTGCCTGATCTTCAGGAACTGAGCCACCTGGGGCCACCATCGGAGGGGTTGATGATTGACTAAAAATAGCCAGAGCTGTGCTTCCTGCCCTGGCCAGGCGGCGGCCCACCCACCCTGCTGAAACAGCATCCTCTGAGAGCAGGGCCACAGCGGAGTCCACCCGGCCCTCTAAGCACGGGGCTCAGGATAGCGTCCATGGAAAATGATGGAATGCCCCAGTGTGAGACGCGGTGGGAGGGAGGGGCCAAGTGAAGGAGGTGAGGGATTTGGTTCTCCCACAGACACGAGCAGGTGTAAGCAAGACTCTGCCTCGAGAACACGGCACCCGTGTCACGGCCAGCTCTCCCTCATATAACCCAACAGCCACCAGCACCTTCCGAGAATCTTAGAGTTGGAACCAAGAACAGAGGCCCCGGGTTTGACTTCCATCCTCTTTCATTCTAATCCCATCATCTTTTCTCCCCTGGGGTTAGAAGGGTCTGGGGACTTTCAGCAAAATCAATAATTTTCTTTTTCAATTAAAGTCAGGTCAGTATCTTTTTATTATTACACAAGCAATAGATGTTTTTGTGGAAAATACAGACAAGAAAAACGAAGAAGTAACAATCTGCCAGAAATAACCACAGCTCACACCTCAGTGCGTGTGTGATGTGTGTGATCTTCTAGCAGTTTTTTTTTTAACACATAAGAGTATGAAAATCCTTCTGCAAAAGCAGGATCATGCTATATATTTATATATATATACACATATATATCAAAATATATATGTACATATATGCATATATTTACATTATATACAAATATATGTACATATATACCTATATATTTACGTGTGTGTATATATATACATATATATTTTTTGTTTTGTAACTTGCTGTTGTTGCTAGACAGTATTCTCAGGAACATATTTATAGGTTGCTATTAACCTCATTCTTCATGATTGAATATCATTCTGTTGCATAGAAAAACCATAACCAGTCCCTCAAGCCTGTTTGCAAGTACTAAGACAGGCATTAACCACCAACCCTATTTCCAAAACTCTATGCTACACTCTAAGAAACTAGAAGATTAATTTTCCAAACAGGAGTTAGAAAATGATTATTCACATTATAAAGGAGACTGCAAACATACACTCCAAAGAGCTTCTGTGAGAAATGGGCTCCCTGGGGCATTAACTTCCTATAATGGGTAAAACCCCAAGTCGCAGGCAGCTCCATAGCGGGTGGTGCATCTGGCTTCATGTTCCTTCCCTCATGGAGGTCTTTCCCAGGTCCTCCAGATGCATGTGTGGCCAAGTACACACATGCACACACACACACACACACACACACACAGGCAGACATGCACACATGCATACAAACACATGCACACTGTGTACCGCACACGCAGGTACATACACACACGTACGTGCACCTAGTGTGTGGAAGCTTCTCTTCATTGTCAGCTGGAAGGTGATGTTAATTAATTCATTATTAATCACATCTATTTATCAGATGGTCTGCCCCTAGCAACCATTCTCGGGGAGTAAACTATCATTTCTCTCTAAAAGATAAAGGGAAATAGATGTTGATGAGTCTGGGCAGGTCAGTGCCCCTAGCCCATGTGACTTATTATTTCAGGAGGCAAGCAGACAAACCTCAGAAGAGAAAATGCTCAGGGGACTTTTAATAAAATCAGGCTTAAAAGAGACCCAAATCCCTGGCCTGCAGGTTAGAGTCTGCAGGCTCCGCACCTGAGGGGGCACAAGGTGGTGAGCATCTTTGCCCTAACAAATCCAGCTGAAGACCCCTGAGACCCCCACTTCCCCAAGACCACTCAGACGATGCTGTCCACAGGCGAAGCATTTGTGTGTATATTTGTGCAACCATATACCGCATAATCAGTAAACATATTTCTGGTATATTTATATTCAATTTCAGGTATACATATTTCTAAAATAATTTGGTGAATTAAAAATCATAGCATAAATGGACTATTTGAGACAAGGTCTTGTTCTGTCACACAGGCTGGAGTACGGTGGTGTGATTAAGGCTTACTACAGCCTCTACCCCTAGGCCCAAGCGATCCTCCGACCTCAGCCTCCCAAGTAGCTGGGACCACAGGTGCACACCATCAAAACCATCTAATTTTTGTAAATCTTTTTTTGTAGAGATGAGGTCTCACTATGTTGCCCAAGCCAGCCTCAAACTCCCGGGCTCGAGAAATCCTCCGGCCTTACATACCCAAAGTGCTGGGATCACAGGCGTAAGCTTCCAGCCAAAATAGACCTTTTAAAGTGAACAACTTAGTGGCATTGAGTACATTCACCACCTCTGTCTAATTCCAAAACATTTCCATCACTCCAAAGTCAAACCCCTTACTTGGGAATAATTTAAATATTATTTTGTTTTAAAAGGCATCCCAACTACTACCAACCAAAAACTTTGCAAAACAAGCCAAGTTCAATGGTATATGAAGCCTGGGACTTGGTATCATTCATTCATTCACTCACTCATTTCTTTCACCATCTATTTTTTTTCTTTTCTTTTGAGACAGAGTTTTGCTCTTGTTGCCCAGGCTGGAGTGCAATGGCGCAATCCCAGGTTCAACTGATTCTCCTGCTTCAGCCTCCCAAGTAGCTGGGATTACAGGCGACTGCCACCACGCCCAGCTAATTTTTTGTATTTTTAGTAGAGAAGGGGTTTCACCATGTTGGCCAGGCTGGTCTCAAATTCCTGACCTCAGGTGATCCACCCGCCTCGGCCTCCCAAAGTGCTGAGATTACAGGTGTGAGCCACCACACCTGGCCAACACTGTCTATTTCTGTAGTGCTTGCCAGGAACCAGAAACATTTGGGTGGAACCCTGGCTCCGTCTTACTAGTGAGTGATCCTGGATCGTGTACTTAACTTCTAAGCCTTGGTTTCTTATCCATGAAATGGGACAATAATATGCTTCTTGAAGGGCTGCTGATGGAAGGGGAGGGGTATTTATTTATTGTGTGAAGGAATCAGCACAGTGCCCGGCATGCAGTGAGAGCTCAGTGGGTGCAAATGTCTGTTCACATTTGTTTTTCATTATATTAGAATACATAGAGCAAAAGCTAACATCTTGACCATCTTTAGTTCAGTGGTATAAGTGCATTTGCATTGTTGTGCAAACATCACCACCCTCTGTCTCCTGAACTCTTCATCTTGCAAAGCTGAAACTCTGTCCCCATTAAATAATACCCCACCAATTTAGAAACCACCCCCTCCCCCAGTCCCTAGCAGTCTCCATCCTGCGTTCCATCTCTGTGAATCGGATGACTCTAGGGACCTCACGTGAGTGGGATCACACAGTATTTGTCCCTTTGAGTCTGGCTTATTTCACTCAGCATAAGATCTTCGGGGCTCATTCACATTGTGGCCTGTGTCAGGAGTTCCTTTCTTTTTAAGGCCCTATAGTTTCCAACGTATGGGTGGGGGAACCGCATTCTGCTTCTCCATCCATCCCTTGATGGACACCTGGGCTGCTGTCCCCTTTTGGCCACTGGGAGTAGTGCTGCTGCGGGTGGGTCTGCATTGTCATGACTGTCTTGACACTGTGTGATGGAAGATAGACTGACTAGGAAACTCACTTTCCAGCGAGGTGCTCCTCCCCTGCTTTCTCCCACATAAAGGCAGAGCCTGTGAGACTGGCCTGTGGATGGCCTTTAGGTGAGCAGGGCCGGAGCCTTGTCAGGGCGACTCTGAGCGCCAGAATGTTTGGAGTACACCTCTGTGGTCTCAGTCTTGAAAACACACATGCCACCAAGGCAGTGTTCCCGCTGGTGCTGCACAAGGCTTATGGGAGCTGCATCACCCTGGGAGACTTTGTGTTCTATTAGCCGCTCACCCCAGTGGGGTTCCAAGTCCGGGTGTGGCCCAGATGGACAACTCGCAGCCCCAGAGGGCTGGACCTGTTAAAGGGCTTGGTCCACATGTGCAAAGTCCTTCTTGACATAAAGGGCTGGGACCCAGAAAGTCCCATACATTAAATGGGCTGGGACCCAGAGAGTGGCCTCTGAGGCTCTCCCAGGCCCATCCCAGCAGGGGAGCATCTCCTAGCCAGAGGCTTCTCCCTGGGGCCTACGTATGTTAAAACTGCCGAGGTGCAGTGACTGGGAAGGGGTGATCTGGTGGCCCGCAAGATTTCAGGAGGTGATGGTGAGGAAAAAGGGCATGTTCTCCCAAAGTCAAGGCCGGAGTCAGGGCCCTGCGTCAGCCCTGGCATCCATGCCTCCCCTGTTTGGGACTTTGTTTATAAAAGCTTTGTGGCCACCTAAGGAAGAATTTTCTGAAAAGGAAACACTGGAATGTCCATTTTCTCCCAAGACCCATTCATCTTTTCTAGAAACTTAAAATACAAGTGCAGCCCCAGGTGCCTCACCAAGGTCTCTGGTGCAGAGGCACAGGGTCACGTCTGGGTGTCCCCCAGAGTCTCGAAACGTCGGCTTGGAAACTAGATCCCCTGGGGAGTTCATCACATCAGGCAAAACAACAATAATAGTCACAGCAATATCATCTTTATCCGAAATGGTCTCTCCATCAGTTCCAGAAGAACACGCCAGTCCACGTTGCCCCAGCCTCCTGGTTCTGTCACTGACTGACTGGTAGATCTTTCTGTTGTTCACGTTTAAGCTTATTTAACCCACACAGATTCTCCCCTCCTCCAGGGTTTTCTCCCAAAGTCTATGTCTCTATTTCATTTTTATTAAGAAATCAAAGAGATTTTTTTTAAATTAGGGCAGCAATTTAATAGGATCACATCTCCCCACTTCGGGTGGAATCACCCACTTCCCTTTCTGATTCTTCCCATCTCTACTGGATTCTGGGTGCTTCCCAGGGCAATATTGAGTGCTTGGGATCCGTATCAATTTCTGGGGGCTGCAGTAACACAGCACAGACAGGGTGGCCCCAGCAATGGAAATTTCTTCTCTCGTGGCTCCGGAGGCTGGAAGTCCAAGATCAAGGTGTTGGCAGGAGTCGGGCACAGTGGCTCATGCCTGTAATCCCAGCACTTTTGGAGGACAAGTTGGGTGGATCACCTGAGGTCAAGAGTTTGAGACCAGCCTGGCCAACATGGCAAAACACCATCTCTACTAAAAATACAAAAGTTAGGGGGTGTGCTGGCAGATGCCTGTAAGCCCAGCCACTCGGGAGGCTGAGTTGGGAGAATTACTGGAACCCGGGAGGCAGAGGTTGCAGTGAGCCGAGATCATGCCACTGCACTCCAGCCTGGGCCACAGAGCGAGACACTGTCTCAAAAAAAAAAAAAAAGAGTGTCGGCAGATTCCTTTGGAGGCCTGTGTGGGGTACTGAGAAGCTGGCTAAACAGAGATGCTGGAGGCAGGGATGTGGCTGCTCCCCTTGGCATGTAGACGCCGTCTTCTCCATGTCCTTATGTGGCCATCCCTCTGTTTGCGTCTGTCCTAATCTCCTCTTCAGGAGAACAGTCACTTTGGATTAAGACTCACCCTAATTAACTCAGTTTAACCAAATTACCCCTTCAAAGTCCATATCTCTAAACACAGTTGTCCGTTGGTATCCTCAGGGGGTTAGTTCCAAAAACCCCACGATCTGACGATGCTCAAACCCCTGGTAGGAAATGGCGCAGCCTCTGCATGTAACCCACGTGCATCCTCCAGTACCCTGGAGATCACCTCTAGGTGACGCACAAGGCCTCATACAATGTAGATGCCACGAAAATAGCAATGACACTGTATTTTTTCACTTCTGTTATTTGTATTGTTGTATCATTATTTTTATTTATTTTTCTAATACTTTTGACCTGTGGTTGGTTTAATCCATGGATGCAGAACTCTAAGATCCAGAGGACTGCCTGTACAGTCCCATTTTAAGGAACCAGTGGTTAGGACTTCAACACAGGAATTTTGAGGGGACAAAACTCAGCCCCTAACCGAGCCTGATGCCATCCGGGGTTGTGTCTGGGTGTGCTGGCCAGGGTTTGCCAGGTTTACTTTCAGGAATGGGACCCGCCCTCACATCCCACCCTCTCTGGCCTCTGTTTTGCCAGCACCGAGATACCACACCTGGCCTCTTATTTATTAGTTCATTTCCCATGTCCCTCCCGTATTTCCGAGGCCAGCCGCATCTGCTGCCAGGGAGGATTTCAGCAATGCTGAATCCAAACAAACCTCTCCAGTTACAGACTCGCGCCCTCCCGCCTCCCAGCCTTGCATCAGCAGGCTGCCGCCCGGTGCTGCCACCCAGCCCTGATGGATCGTGCCACCAGCACAGTCTGTTTGCTGCTGTCTTGTCCTGCCAGCAAGGTCAACATCACTCGCATCCAGCAGCAGTGGCATGTTGCAGTGATGCCCACACCACAGCCCTCCACCCTCTTCCACTTCATTTGTTGAGAAACCACTCCAGCTCTCCTACCACCCCTGACACCTCAAACTCAAGGTGTGTAAGTGGGGGCAGTGTCAAGAGGTAGGACCCCCAGCTTCCCCAGCTGGGCCCTGCCGGCGAGATGACCCTCGGATCTCAGGGGGCACCTTCTGACACATCACTGGCCTGAGATGGCTTCCTCGGCAGGTTCTGGGGCTGCAATGCCCTGCTGTTCTCCTGGTGTGCCGTGTTCCACCAAGCATGGACTTGGCGACCTGGTGGCCGCAGAATCTTCCTGACCCTCTCCATCAAGTGAAGCGTTGGCTTGTTGACCGCTGCACCCTTGGTCATGCTGCATCTTGGCCTGGAAAACCCTTGTTAGTCAAAGGTTGCTTGTCTTCTGATATTTAATCCAGGTGTCCTCTCCCGGAGAAGCTAGCCACAACTCTCCCAGCACCGCCTCTGTGCTTTCTGTGCTCGCCCATCGTGAAGCCAGCCTATGCCTCCAGTCTCTTCTCTACCAGGAGGGAGCAGCTAAAAGCTGAGATTTGTTGCAATTTACTTTTGTCCCCCACCCATGCCTTCACAGTGCCCGGCACTTATTTGGTGTTTAATAAACTGCCCATTAAATGCAGACATAGCTCCTTTCCCCTGGGGTGTTGCTCGATGGAGTGCTGCAAAGTAGCTGCAGATGCTTTTCTGACTTCCAGAAGACATCTCCAGTGCTCCTGAGCTTGCTAGATCTGAACTGGCTCATATCTACCTTTAACTGTTTGCTCTAAGATGCTACTGAGTCCAATGACTTAACCCAAATGTGTTTCGTATTTGCTTGATGGCGAACTCTCCACAAGGAGAAGCTACCAGAATGGGACACTACCACCCGTTACATCTTCCCAGACACACGCGTTGTTGGTAATTCATAGGCTTTTTTATTATTATTATTTGACCATTTGGGTATAGTCAGACAAATAGGCTTTTCTGCTCAACTGTTTAGAACAATTTCTAAAGAGTAGCTGGAGTGAGGTGGGGAAACACCCAGTGCCTCAGTCACCCCATCTGCTCCTGTGGCCCAATTCCAAGGGCATAACTTCCTGAGGGCCACCCCCAAGTGGGCTGGGACCTATGGACTGGTCAGTGTGGCCGGCTGTGTTTATTATGAATAAACCATGACTTGGGCCTGACCCCCATCTCCCTGGGAAAGGCACACTGTGCCCTGGCCTATGGCCACCTGCTTTGTGGCAGGCACTGGGCCAGATTTCCAGTGTCTGTCCTACATCAGCTTTGCTTCTTTCTCCTGGAGGCCAGAGCCCAGCCTGCTCCTGGGACCCTGGGATTGCTGATTGGAAGGGGTCTCAGTGGTACCGGGGGATGGCCCGAGGAAGCCATGTCACCAGGGAGAGATGAATCTCACCTGCTCTACTAGTTACCCTTGGGGCTGGCCCGGGATGTGCAGCAGCACCCCAGCTTTGGTGCTTCCCAAAGGCACACGGCTCTCCACAGGGCTAGCTCACATGAGGGGCACCTTGGCCATAGATAAGCCTGCCTGGGAGGCTGGATCCCAAGGGGCCCATGGAAGGAGCACTCACTAAGTCCCTAGATGGGAGTCCAGGGTGTTAGCTGTTTGCTGGGAGTCATTCTTATTCAGCTTTTATGTGACCCCAGTCCCCAACTCATGGCTGCTCGGAGAAGAGGAGGCTCTGCCAAGCTCCAGACAAGGCAGGTAGTGGGCCTTGGGCATCACTTTAAGAAAATGAACGCACACAGAGCAAGACACTGGCCAAGATCAGGAGGAAAAAGCCAGAGCTGCTGGGGAGAGGAGGGGCAGGAGGAGAAAGAAGAGGGGATGGGGAGGAGGAAGAGGAGAGGGAGGAGGAGAGGATGAGGAAGAGGAGGAGGAGGGAGAGGGGGAGGAGAGAGAGGGGATGGGGAGGAGGAAAAAGAGGAGAAGAGGGAGAGGAGGAGAAGGAAAGGGAGGAGAAGCAGGAGGAGGGGGAGGAGGGGGGAGGAAGAAGGGGAGGAGAAGTGGGGAGGAGGAAAAGAGGAGGGAGAGGAGGAGAAAGACAGAGAGGAGTAGTAAAAGAAGGAGAAAGGACAAGAAGAGGAGAAGACAGGAGGAGGAGAAAGAGGAAAAAAGGAAGAGGAGGAAGGGGAGGAGGGAGGGGAGGAGGAAGAGGAGGGAGATGGGAGAGTCTACAGCTGGTGTGTGTGGAGGAAGCAAACCTCCCAGGCTGGAGGCCAGGTATGGACTCTTCCGTTGGGCATTTTCCTGGGAGCCCGGCTCCCCGGGGAGGGGTTAGACTGGGGCTACCCTCCTCCAGTCAGGGGACTGTGCCTGTTCTTCAGTGTGTCCCTTTTGCTGACAATCTCACTACACTTGTCATTTTTATATGCAGGTGTAACAAAGTCGGCCCATAGAGCGACAAAACACAGCCCGGCTCTGGCAAACAATGTGATTATTAAGTAATGAGATGAGTCCCTCAACCATATAAGAAATCAAAATCAGATTTTGTGTGTGTGTGTGTGTGTGTGTGGTGTGTGTGTGTGTGTCTGTTTGTGCCTTTTTGCGGGGTGGGGGTTAAAATTTTCTTTTAATTTTTTGCTGATGGCAGGCCATTTTTTAAAAAGTTCTTTTGTATTTTCCTTTTGCGTCTGTACACTGGGGAGCCCCACAAATTCAGAGCTGTGAAATTTGGCTGTGTCAGCAGCCTGCAAAATGAATTGATATTAAATGCAACAAAAGTCTCTAATTCACCCCGTTGCTCCCCTGCCCTCTTCTATCCCCTTCTTGACACCCCTCCCCCAAGCCCAGCCCCACCCTGTTGTAATTGGGAAATGGAAGAATGAAGGTGGCCATCAGTACTGCTGGGCCACTGGGAATGACGCTGGCTCATCTATTATTTAAGTCTCATCAATTAAGTATTATTTACAAATAACCGCCCTTCCCCATGCCCTGCCACAGACAGACCGAAACATACTGCACAGTCCCCACTCCCAATGCTGCCCTCACCCTTCCTCAAACGCACCCCATGCTTTGCAGCCAGGGAAGGGAAGGTACTAGATCCCACCCTCAAGCTGTGCCTGAGCAGCTTGGCTCATCCATCCTTGTGGGATGGACACAGGGTGCTGGGGGAGCAGGGGGAGCTGACGGTGGGGCAGGACAGGAAACCAAGTGTGATGTGGTGAGAATGGCTGAAAACTCAGAGAAAAACAAATCAAACAAAATGTAAGCCAACAACTTCTGATCTTTCCATCAGCACCTGACTTTGCCCGCACTCAGACCCTGAGTCAGGCATTGCTCATCCCAGGCTGTCTGTGGGAAGCCCCTGCCCTTCCCTGAGCTGGAAGGCGCTTGCTGGAAAGGAACTGGCTCCCACCCAAAGTGGACAGAGCCACCAAGGCGGCAGGCATCCCTCCCTCGCTCCCTCACCTTGCCAGGTTGTGCATTAATTTTTTCCTCCTGCTCTCCCTACAAAACGAATCTTGATTTAAGAAATCAGACCTGGCAGCTGTGTCTCATCCTTAACATGCTCCAATTGCCAGGGTATGGAAAATCTGCTGTGGGCAGGCAGGATTGCCTTTAAATGCATTTCTAGCGCTGTGGATTTAGTGAGGACACACGAGGCGGATTTCATCTGCGTGCTGCGTGGCTTATGGGCCCCAACCACTGGTGCCAGGTCAAACCGTGGCCTCTGAGAAGATTCCCAAATCCAAGCACATTCCCTGTGGCCGTCTTCTCTCACATGGAGTCTCTGACCCGGGCCGAGAGCGTTAGGAAAGGCAAGCTAGACTTCAAGCGACACAGAAACACATCACGATCGAAGTGGAAGACCACACTCCCTGAACTGGCCGCTGTTCTCTTCCATAACAAGGTCTCACCCACCCCCAAAAGAGAATCTCTTCCTCTTATGGACAAAACTTTAGAAAGCTCTTCAAATAAAGAGTTGGGAGGGAAACGAATTAAAGCAAGTGACAAGCAATCATGCTTTGGATTTAATGAAGGCAGATCCGCAATGGCATGAGCCTTCCTGAGCACTGGCCGCTGTTTCCAGGTGATAAATGTGTGTCCCGTGAGGCATGGGGCAGAGCTGAACCAAGGCCTCCTCCACGTGGCCCCCAGTCCGGAGTTCGGCCGCGTGGCTGGCAGCGTCTCCCACCCGCAGGTCGCTGTCCGTGGTGCTGAACTCCTGCCTTCCCCCATTCCGCATCTTTCCTGTTTCTCCAAGAAGCAAAGGTATCTAGCGGGGCGTGGTGGCTCACGCTTATAATCCCAGTCGCGGCAGGCAGGTCATTTGAGGTCAGGAGTTCGAGACCAGTCTGGCCAAAATGGTGAAACCCTATCTCTACTGAAAATACAAAAAATTAGCTGGGCGTGGTGGCAGGCGCCTGAAGTCCCAGCTACTCGGGAGGCTGAGGCAAGAGAATGACTTGAGCCCGGAAGATGGAGGTTGCAGTGAGCAGAGATCACACCACTGTACTCCATCCTGGGAGACAAAGTGAGACTCCATCCACAAAAAAAAAGCAAAAGGTGTCTGCTACCGGAGTCCGGCACAGACACTCAAGGCTAGAACTGGGTGAAAGGTATGCCCCATCTAATCTGACGAACTTGCTCTCCAGTCCAGGATTCTGCTGAGGGATCTTAAGTGCAGATAAACTGTTAGGGAAGAGCAGCGGCTTGTTGGAGAGGAATAGAAAACTGGTTCACTTTGCTTTTCTGACTCTGTAAGGCAAGCAGGTGGCCCCAGTTGAAGAGCATAGTAGGCTGCAGTATGAATCTGCACCTGCTCTGTATGAATCTGTACCTGCTCTGGAAGTCGGACAGGTGACTCTGTGAGACTATGTCATTGCTTCCCCTGCCCTAGTTGACCCCATGCTGGCCGAGGCTCTTTCTCGGCCCTGTTTCATCTCTCCATCCTGTAATAGCAGCTGGGGCTTAAATCCTAACCAGAATGAGTCCCTGACAGCCTCCCTATATTTCTCTTCTCCTTCATCTGGCTTATTTGTGGACCTTGCCGCTGCTACAGGGCAGCCTTCCTGCTTATCTGTCAGCCCCCAAAGCAGCAGGTTATCTAAAGCAAGAATGGCTCAGGCTGGGCAAGTGGCTCATGCCTGTAATCCCAGCACTTTGGGAGGCCAAGGCAGGCAGATCACCTGAGGCCAGGAGTTCGAGACCAGCCCAGCCAACATGGTGAAACCCCGTCTCTACTAAAAATACAAAAATTAGCCAGGCATGGTGGTGCAAGTCTGTAATCCCAGCTACTCAGGAGGCTGAGGCAGGAGAATCACTTGAACCCAGAAGGTGGAGGTTGCAATGAGCCAAGATTGTGCCACTGCACTCCAGCCTGGGAGACAGAGTGAGACAGGAAGGAAGGGAAGGAAGGAAGGAAGGAAGGAAGGAAGGAAGGAAGGAAGGAAGGAAGGAAGGAAGGGGTGGAGGGGAGGGAAGGGAAAGGAAAGGGAGGGGAGGGAGGGGGAGGGGAGGGAGGCAGGGAAGGAAGGGAGGGAGGCAGGGAAGGAAAGAAGGAAGGAAGGAAGCAAAGATCGGTCTTGATGTGAGCAGCAGATGAGTAACTTGGAACATTTTTGTTGGCCCCATGTGGGCTTGAGCAGGTCACTTTACCCTCTAAATTCTCAGTTTTCTTACCTGTTAAACGGAGATAATGAGATGTGCTCTGTTGACCATCTAGGTCTGATGGAAGGGTCAAATGAGGCCATACTTTTAAGTGGCTTTGAAAAACTATGAAATATAATATACATATGAGGCATTACTAACAGTGGCACTGTAAAATAGAAGCAGTTCTCAGACTTTGGTCTGTGATGTTCCAGCCAAGCAAACTCTTCAGGGGCCTCTTTTCAAGGGGGATGGAAGGTGGGGGCAGGTATAAAAACCCCATAAAACCAAAGCAAAACCTCCAGGGAGGAATTGTCTTTTATACCAACTCCCAAAACAAAGGCCAAATTCCAAAACGAAGTCTGTTTGCTTCTTACTTTCCTAATATAAAGGGAATGGGTGATTTTTTCCCCCAAATGCAGTTTCATGTTGGTGAAATCAGAATACAACAGTAGGGTCTCTAGCGGCAGAATTGAGCGGAGGAAAGAAAGCAAAAGGATCTCTTCTAAGCATTTGGCATACTGCTGTTCCCTCATTACACAGCGAAAGCAGCCCATGCTGTCCTTCGCAGCATCAAACACTTCTAAGGGCAGTGCACTGGGTCTGCATGTATGTGTGTGTGTGTGTGCGTGTGTGTGTGTGTGCATGTGTGTGTGTGTGTGTACAGTGCCAACTGTAAGTGTGAGTGTAAACATGTTCCATTATAGACTAACATTTTAATTCCTTTTTTCAACCAGTATTCATTGAGAACCTTCCATGTGCCGGGGACATGCTAGTGACTGGTGCCACAGTCCCCTTGTCCCCTGGTTGCTCTTGGTTAGTGGGGAGACAGCACTGGTCCCCTGGTTGCTCTTGGTTAGTGGGGAGACAAGGAAGGCACAATAGAATAAATTCTATACTGGAGGCATGCGGGGTCCTGACACTCGTGGGGTCTGTGAAGATGCACACGAGTGGGATTTTCTCTGCCCTTCCTTACCCTGGTTTTGCTCTTAGTCCTCACCTGAAGCTGTTCTTCAGGTCCTGTGAAGTGTCCTGGCACCAGGCATCTCCTGGCTTCCTGTGGTTTTCAGGCAACCCCTCTATTACCACAATATGATTACTGGAAGATTCATAGTAATTCAGAGCAACCCCAAAATACTGATCACCAGAGAAAGCCCTGGAATGAGGGGTGGGGTAAATTGGTGAGAGAGCTCCGTGGCTGGCTTTGGGGGTCCTAAGCTACAGCATCTAAGTAGGGGTGGAGGCTGGCTGTAGTTAAACCCATGCCTCCAACCCAGGATTGAGACTTGGGCGTTGTGAAATTCAAGGTTCAGCTCCGTGGTGAAGCTTTTGTGTTGGAATTAGCTAAATCATGTGGCGCCCTAGTTTCTCATAGCCAACCTGCAAAGGTAGTTCCCTTGCTTGCTCCTGAACAGAGGGGAACCACATGAGGTCATCTAGAAAGGCTCCAAGAGTTGCCAGGGGAGAGGGGCTGTGTACTCTCTGTGTTCTGTGAACGCAGGGGCTCTTCCACACTGCTGCCTGTCCCTGAGAACAGAGATCAAGGCAGACTTCAGAGAAAACTCCCTGTTTGGTCCTGCCTCCCTGGGCAGTGAGCCATTCCGGCTCTGCAGACCCTGTTACTGATGCAATAAGGGACTGTGAGGCTCAAGGGGTGGATGCATGACACAGGGTTCTGAGTGTGCCCTCAGCCCCATTCTTCCTGCCCAGGGGAGGAGCATCCCTGACCAAGAGCTTTTGCAAGACTTCAATAAATCCCCACACTTGAAGCCGAGGGCTGCAGATTCCTACTGTATTTAATGTCAGCTCCATGCAGACCAGCCAACTGAACACAGCCTCATAGCAACTTTCTTATCTCTCACACTGTAACCTAGCTGATGGAGCTACCCCAGAATCCAAAATGTGGCACCGCAGAGCGAGCTCTCGCTCTTTTCCCCACACCCAGGGCACATCTGAGAGAGAAAATAACCTCACAAAGAATGCTCCATTGATCCTATGGTTTAATGCCCTGGCCATCAGAGTTGACATTTATGCTATTAATTTTAAAACATGTCATTTCTTCTCTATAAACTTTGACTCATTTTTGACCCACTAAATAACTTTCTTCCTCAACTGCAGGCTGGCATTTTATCATGGTCTTTCTTTCCTCCAGCCCCCAACACCACACCTTTCATTTGCCTTTCCTCTCCCAAAGTCCCAGGAGAGGGGTGGGAAGCACTGGGAGAGGTTAGGCAAGCTAATCCTTCCAGAAAGGCAGAGAGCCACGCAGGCTGAGCTGAGCTGAGCTGCCTGCTGCAGCTGCCCCTCGCCCCAGCAGATTCCAATCCAAGCACACAGCTATTTCTGGGAGAACGCAGCCAGGGTGTCAAGGGCAGAGTGGCCAGGGCTGAGGGCATGGAAGAATTGATTTTGTGTGTAAGGTAGAGCCTCTCCAGCCACCAGTCAGCAAACCCAGAGGAGAAGCCTCTGGAGGCTCGATGAGATGTATGTAACTATGCCTGTCCGTCTGCCTTGTCAGAAATGATTGCTTCTCTGATTTTGGTAAACATTCATCCTAAATATCATTTATTTCCCTCGGGCCTGACCTCAGAAGGCCCTTAGCAAGGGTCACGTGGGTCAACCTCAGACTCCATTTGCTAACTGCTAGCTCTCAGAGCCCTTCCCTTGGCTATACCGAGAAGGGACGTGGCAACGGCAGGCATGTGTTGAACCACTTCCCAGGCACCAGGCATGAGGCGAAGAGCCACACATAGGCTGTGCTTTCGGGTCCTCATGGGAAGCCCATGACACCGTCACAGCATATGGAAAATCACGAATCTCTACTTTCCAGATGGGGAAAATGAGGCCCTTAGAGGCTCGATGGCTTACCCGGGCCCACACAGCTAGCAAGGACTCCAACCCAGCTGGCTCACCCCAGAGCCTGCATTCCTAGCCACGAGCCATCCTGCCTCTCATTCCTTCCTTCCCTTTTCCTTTGCCATCTTCATGGGCCTCCCAAGAGGCCTCCTTCACAAGGCTCTATGATGCCTCCTCCAGCTTGAGAAGGTTCCCCTTCCAGACATGTGTGTCTCACACTGGTATGTGAGGACCCCCCTACAGCATGTGCTTGTCTCCCACCACCTGCCTGCCCTCCAAGGAGCTTCCAGTGCCTGAAAAACTTCTGCTCACCCCTTCAGACCCCCTGGGCATCTTGCTTCTCCTCCACCTTCTGTCTGAACCCTCTGGGAACTCACCTGTTGGAGGTGTGTCTGTTTGGAGGCAAGGGCCTGTTTCCCTTTCATCCATTTTAGGGGTAGGGTTGGAGCAGTCCCTGGCCACCCAGTGTTATTAGTTATAGCCCAGTGTTATTAGTTATTTTTAGCAATCAATGTTATTGATGTCATGTTCACTACAGAAAGCCACCAGAGAGCTGTTCTTCCAACTCATTACATTTAGAGTTGAACTATCCCCTTTTTATATAAATCCTGACACATAAAGATAAAATACGCCACTTTCTGGGGGAAGCTCTAAACCAGAGGCCAGGAGCTGGGAGGCAGCTTTGAGTGCAGGAAGCAGCTTTAAAGATGATGCCAAAGGGGGAAAGCCCCAAAGGGCTGTCCCCTGAGCCAGGAAGTAGGACCAGAGAGTTAACATCGTGTCTGGAAAAAGCACAGTCCCTGGGCTGTCACCAACACAAAAGGAAGAAGTCAGGGGAAGCTGTGGCTTAAACAGAAAAGACAGATAATTTCTGGGGACCTCAGCTCTGAAGTCAGGGGCAAAGGCCAGTCAAGGGCTTGATGGGGACTGGGTACTGGGTTCCTTCTGTGGCTGCTGATGGCTGGCGAGGCTGCCGGGTCCCAGTGCTCACTGGTCTACAAAGCTGGTCCTGGGTGTCGACACTAAGGGCCGGGGCAGAAACAGGCCTGAGTTTTGGAGAATACTCTAACCTTCCCCATCTCTCTGGCTTGAAGGGACTGAAGCTTGGGCCAGCCACAGGGCTCCAGATGGCTCTTGCCACACCTAACCCGCCGACTCGGGCCTGAGACTACGACGTGGGCAGAGGCTGTGCGGAACGTATTGGAGAGGCCTGGTGTCCCTGGCTCTGCATAGGGGCGTGTCTTTTGGGATCTGGGGAGCAGCAGAAGGTTAGAGATGACAGGTTCTGGTGAGGTCACTTTCCAAATGTGATAATGACAGGAGGACAGCTGTGAGTGACTCCCCCCAGCTGTCCCCATGGATGCAAGATTCCCACCCCAGTCCCTGGGGCTCACCCCCTCATTCCCTGCTACTGTATTCCATCCATGCTAAACAACTCTGTCCCCAACAGGAGCCAGGTCCTTCCCTTTCAGAACTTGTGCTTTTCATGCAGTGTTCCTTCTGCCTAGAACACTCTACTTCTCCCTATTACCTCACTGATGAACTCTGAAATCAGAGAGGTTATTGGGGTCAGCTATATCAATTGGGGGGGTCATTATATTTTGGGGGACATGAAACGTGGAGATGGATAAGATCATCCCAGGAGAGCATGTCGCTGTGGGGTGAGAAGACCAGTGAACTGAAGCTAGGCCCAGGGGAAAGAGGCCCTGGGATTTCGCTGGAGTGTGGGCCACTGAAGCTGAGGGCAGAGCCTCTGGGATGACGGGCGAGGGATCATGCAGGAGGTGGGGAGAGACGTGGTAAGGACGGAAACTGCCCATCACGTTTTGCAGTGGGGGAGTCTCATGCCCACAGACTGACCAGGATGGAGGGGCTGGAAGCCGGGCTGGGGGGGGCTGCAGAGAATGGAAAGGGGCAGTGGTTATCGGGCCCCACTACCAGGAAGTCCAGCCTGCAGAAGAAGGCCAGGAGACTCCTCCAGTCATGGGAGGACTTTCTTTGAGCAGACAGATGGGATCTATCTCCGCTCTCTGATGGCAAGTATTTGTGTGCCCGTCCGTCCTCCCTGGTGGCCTGTGGTATCTGGGGGCAGGGATCACCTTTCTCAAAACAGACTTCCAAAGAAGCCCTGTCCTGGTGAGCTTCCCTGGCCCCGAGAGGGGACGGGCAGCCAGCAAGTGGTATGATTTGTCGCATATCAGGTGGGAGCAGGGCTGAGGCCCGGGGTGCAGAGAAGGGAAGGAGGAGATCAGAGGCTTCACTGAGAAGGTGGCATTTTGGCATTTGAGACTCAGAGGTGGAATCTGGAGGGTTCTGGGGCAGAGCAGGCAGGGCCTCGTGGGGACTTAAGACTTTGTGTGTGGGAGTGAAATGTGGAGCCCGAGAGGGGTTGCAGCAGCGCCCGGAATGGCCCGACTTAACTGGCAGAGCGCGTCCCATGCACAGCCGCACTCACTGTCTGCGACGTGCCGCAATGTGACAATCCTGAGAAACAGTGGGCAGGTCAGAGCACACGTCCCATGAGCCCGTCCATTCCAGAAGCAGGGAGGCCAGGCGGTCAGCACAGGCCAAGGTGTCCAGGAAGCTTCTGAGACCGGGGAGCCCAACCTGCCTGGACCCCTGTGGGCTCTGTCCCTCCAGCCATGGCTGAGCCCTTCTTTCTTTAAGCTTCCCTGCCAACCTCATCAGTGCCGGCACAGGGCACAGGTCACCTCAGGATCCCCGATTCTCAGGGTGGGGAGGGGCCCTGGTGCCCTGGCCTGGCCCAGCTGCCTGTTGGCCGGTCTCACATCAGTGGGTCTGATCCTGCCCAGAGCACTGGTTGGAGAATCTCACGTTGTGGATTTTGCTGAGCATGTCATGGAGCTCCTGGACAGCAGCAAGGGGAGACACTGAGCTGGAAGGTCAAGGCGTATGTGACAACCCCTCGGATCAACACCCCACTCTACCCCCCACTCAATGCAAACCTACTCAAGAGGAAAAACGAATCCATTGAAACCCAATTTCCCTCCCTCTTTGCACAGACATGCTGCACCCAGGGCCCCCTGTGGGTGGGGAGTGCTATGGGGGTCAGGGAAGATTGGTGCTTTCCAAGTGGGAGTGACACTTGTCAGCCCTTCTCGCACCTGGGAGCAGTAAGGCAGGGGGTCCTTCGCCTTAGCGAGCAGAGGGTCTCAAACACACTCAGAGCACCAGGGTGAAGAAGCGATTGTCCCCTTAAAAAGAGCACCCTTTGCTCCACAAAAGGCTCTGTCACTGGTCTGCCAACAGCAAGTTGTCCTCTGGGTAAAGCTATCCTGCTTGCCCCGGTGTGAGCCCCTCGAGCTGCGTCAGGGCCGCTGTGATGTGGGGGAAGCACCGCTAGTGAACTGTGCCTGGCTTCATGCTGCTTTCTCAGAGTCTCTGGCCACAGGACCTCACTTGACACGCACATAGGGTGGATTAGGGAACCCTGACCCTACAGCGTTCTCAGCCCACAGTGTGGGACCAGGCTTCTGACAGTGTCTGAGGAGGGCACCAGGGCGTCCTCAGCAGGCACCTCCTTGCTGGGCACCTCCGTCTTCCCTCAGTGAGCAGGTCTATGGGTGGGACCTCCCTCTCCAGCTTCTATGTTAACGCACAGCCTGGCTCCATCCTCTTTAGGGCCCTACCCTTTCCCATTCTTAACACCAAGGGAGAAGAACCAGAAAGTCACGGAATCAGCCCAGTAGGGGGTTAACAAAAGGCTTGTGAAATGCAGCTCTCTCGGGGTGGCTGGCGAGGCTGGGAGCCGCAGCGTATTAAGCTCTGTCACATATCAGGAGGAAGCCAGCCCAGGGATGGGCAAACCCTCCCTGCACAGTTAATAAGCATCAGGGGCCGGGCGTGAAGCACCCCCATCTCAGCGTTTTCTGTTCAACAGGCTTTGCTGGTCTTTGGGAGCAGGCTGCAGGGGGAGAGAAGTGCTGGGGTGATTTGGTGATGGAGGAGGGGATGGGGACAGGAGAGTCATCTCTATACTTCTGGGGCAGAACTGCAGATGGCAGCCGGGGGCGTGGAGAAAGTGGCCTCACTCCACTGAGTCCAAAACCTGCAGTGAGAAGCCAGGAATTACCAGGCTCTCTAAGGGGCAGAAAGTCCTAGAAAGTTCCAGGTGGCCACTATGACATGGGAGCCAAGCAATCTCTGCAATGCCAATCAAGGCAGCCACATGACGTCAGAGGGTCCTCACAAGGGCTCGGAGAGGCAGGCCAGGGACATTTATTTGCAATAGACTCTGCACCAGTACTCAGCTTCTAGAAGGTCACAGTGCCAGCTGATCTGAGTGGAATGGTCTCAAGCCAGCAGCCATTCTGCCCATTGACTTTCTGTGTAGGACAGATGTACCCACTTGAACAAAACCCAATGCACAGGCCGGGTGCAGTGGCTCACGCCTGTAATCCCAGCACTTTGGGAGGCCGAGGTAGGTGGATCATCTGAGGTCAGGAGTTCAAGACCAGCCTGCTCAACATGGCAAAACCCCATCTCTATTAAAAATACAAAATTACCTGGGCATGATGGTGGGCGCCTGTAATCCCAGACACTTGGGAGGCTGAGGCAGGAGAATCACTTGAACTCAGGAGGCGGAGGTTGCAATGAGCTGAGATCGCACCATTGCACTCCAGCCAGGGTGACAGAGCGAGACTCCATCTCAAAAAAACAAAACAAAACAAAAACCAATGCATGAAAATGCAGCCTTATCAAAGCAGATAAAGGAGCAGGTGGTTTCTGGCACTGTCAGTGGATCTTCGGGAAACCACAGGGACTCACAGCAGGATTCCTGTAGGATGGAGCTTCTCTAGTGCATTTCAATATTGGTTTACAGATCTTTACCTACTTGATGGAAAGGTTTCAGGGCATTGTATGCTACAGTATGTGGAGCCTGTGTTAATTGAAGATGGTCAGAAATGAAGGTACAACATCTCTGGGTGTATCACGTAAATGAGCAGGAATATATGGTTATGAACTAGTACCATTTGCATCCACATGGAACTTTTCATCAACAGGTCTGTTTCATTAGCTGACCATGGCATGAAATCAGGAAAGAGCAAATGGGAATTCTTGTGGGCATATTAACTGCAGCTTGTCTATCCACCTGGCTGGGGCAGAAAGGGGGGACAGCGCCACTGACAGCTTCTCAGTGCAGGAGCGAGGAGAGGGTTACAGCCCAGAGGAGGGTTGGCTGTTCTTTGCGATGTGCCTGCGTCGTAGAAGGAGATTTTCAAGCATCTTCTTTCTCATCCTCCAACACATCCGCAAGGCAGGTAGCACCACTCCCATTTTGTGGATGGAAAACTGAGGCACAGGGAGTGGAATCATTTGCCAGGTGTCACACAGGCTGCAAATATCCACACAAGCTTTTGAATCCATGACCATTTACAAAGCGAGGTCTACTTCTGTGTCTGCCCTTCTTCTCTCCGAACACCAGGGCCAGAGGATGAAGGGCCCCAAGCTTGCCATCTCCAGCCCCTTCATGACCCCAAAGTCCATCAGGGCAGTCATAAAAGAGAAGGCTGGCTGGGCACAGTGGCTCACCCCTGTAATCCCAGCACTTTGGGAGGCCGAGGTGGGTGGATCACCTGAGGTCAGGAGTTCGACACCAGCCTGGACAACATAGTGAAATCTCGTCTCTACTAAAACTACAAAAATTACCCGGACGTGGTGATGAGCACCTGTAATCCCAGCTACTCAGGAGGCTGAGGCCGGAGAATCCCTTGAACCCCAGAGGCAGAGGTTGCAGTAAGTCGAGATCAAGCCACTACACTCTAGCCTGCTGGGTGACAGAGCAAAACTCCATGTCAAAAAAAAAAAGCGAGTCTCTTCCCCCAAGCCTGCTTCCAGCCATCTCCTTGTGACTGCTCTGAGCCTTCAGCTCCCATGAGGGCCTGTCTCAATCACCACGCACTCTCCTCCCTATTTTTTATGACTTTCTTGTTGCTGTTATTTTCTGAACAAACCAAAACATTTGGGTTGTGGATTTGGAATAACAAAACATTGAAGAAAGTTATTAAATATTGTAACCTAGGTTTTACTCTTCCCAAAATATTTTCTGAACCCCAAGTGGTTCAGAGACTTCATAAATAATTCTCTTCAGCAACCCTGCATTGGAAACGGACTGTCCACTCGTGCCGATGCTCACGGAAACATGGCCCAGATGAGAATCAACTGTCCTGTAGAAGGCATCTCCATTTATAAGTACTGAAACAGGCAAATGATACGATGGTCCTGGAGAAGGCATCTCCATTTATAAGTACTGAAACAGGCAAATGATACGATGGTCCTGGAGAAGGCATCTCCATTTATAAGTACTGAAACAGGCAAATGTTACAATGGTCCTGGAGAAGGCATCTCCATTTATAAGTACTGAAACAGGCAAATGTTACGATGGTCCTGGAGAAGGCATCTCCATTTATAAGTACTGAAACAGGCAAATGTTACGATGGTCCTGGAGAAGGCATCTCCATTTATAAGTACTGAAACAGGCAAATGATACGATGTCTCAAACAAAGGGAAATTAGTTGGTTTTGAAGCAGTCATAGAGTTCTAGGCGATGGATCCAACAAAGCACAAAGAAACAGGATGGCTGGAGCTGCCACAGCCACTAACCGCTCTGCATGATGGGCAAGGACTCGGGTCTGACATCGGGAGGAGTGTTGCCAACAAGAGGGTCTAGAAAAGGCAGGTCCTGGGCTGCCCAGGCATCCTCCCACCAGGTCTCTAAGGACCTGTCACAAGCACACACAACAAATCTCACCATGATTCCGTGTACTTTTAAATCTAGACCGAATTCACATGCGATAGCTCACGCCTGTAATCCCAGCACTTTGGGAGGCCGAGGCGGGCAGATCACTTGAGGTCAGGAGTTCGAGACCAGCCTGGCCAACATGGTGAAACCTCATCTCTACTAAAAATACAAAAATTAGCTGGGCATGGTGGCACATGCCTATAGTCCCAGCTACTCAAGAGGCTGAGGCAGGAGAATTGCTTGAACCCAGGAGGCAGAGGTTGCAGTGAGCCGAGATCACGCTAGTGCACTCCAGCCTGGGCGACAGAGCAAGACTCCCATCTCAAAAAAAAAAAAAAAAAAAAGAAAAGGAACATAGGAATATTACCTTAGCACAGGCAGACTTCTGTCTCCCTCATTTATTCTAGAAGCTATGAACACGAAACCACGAAGGAAGCAAAACCTACTAACGGAGGCTGCTCCTGTTCCATATGACAAAATATCGATGGCTTTAGCAAGCGTTTTCTTCCCGCCCCCGCCTTGATTTCTTTCCTGAAAATGAAAACTTTCCAGGCCTGCCTTGAAAACAAAATCACTCAGATTGTGTGCCTGTGATGCTGGTGGCTTCCCCTTTTCAATTTGGTTCTGTTCCTCACATGAGCTAAAATACAGTGAGAACCACTGGCTGGGTGGCTCAAACCTGAACCACTTCAAAGATGCTGCTGCTTTGCAGGTACCAGGCAGAGCTGAGGGTCAGTCTTGTTTTGTGGGTGTCCAGTAGACCAGCCTCTTTCTCCAGCCTCCATCAGGCCAGGAACTGGCCCAGCCTGCGGCTGCCCTCACACTTTGGACTGATGTTGTGTTGGTTGTGCTGGGTTTGGAAGAGGTGGGCTGAGGCCCCCGATGCCCAGAGAACACAGCTGCCTGGGGTCCAGGCGGATGCGTGGCAGAGGTGGCTTCCCCTGCACAGTGCCTCTTATGGGCTCCTCCAGGACCCCTTCTGGGTCAGCGGCCGGCCCTGCAGCCACATCCCCGTGCAGTGACCCTCCCTGCCCACCCCACACCCCTATTCTCTTTGCATTGGTGAAGGTAATGACTTCCCAACCAGGCTTCCAGCTAAATAAACATGAAGCGCATTGAGCCAGCAGTTCAGGCTGGGTACAAGCTGCTGGTCCAATTCACTCTCGTCATTTTTCATTCCGAATGAAATTAAGCTCCCGAGAGCAGAAAAGAACCCTTTTCTAAAAAGGAAATGCATCAGCGAATCCCTTAGGGGAAAAACATTTTGACATGGAAGTTTTCCTGTACTTTATTCAGCCAACAGGGCGAGGTTCCCTCTTCTCCTTGCACCCCTTCCGTTACCCCTGCTTTCGTGGCCGTGTTCTCAATCAACCTTCTCATGGATTCGTTTGTGGGAAAGTCTCCTTCCACCACCTCCCCACCCATAGCTCCCCATGCCCATCCCGTGGTGCTGCCAAGCCC
Organism: Homo sapiens; assembly: GCF_000001405.40. Taxonomy (NCBI): domain Eukaryota; kingdom Metazoa; phylum Chordata; class Mammalia; order Primates; family Hominidae; genus Homo; species Homo sapiens. Next base: position 79,282,148 of record NC_000017.11, on the reverse strand, counting down.
CCCTCCAGAACTGCCTGGATTCTTAATAAGCTTCAGGGCCTTTGGTCAGCACTATTTCAAAAAGCAAATAAAACTGCAACCCCAGCCAACAACCTCTGAATTCATGTCAGTCTCCTCCCATCCCCTGCCCCCTCAGTGTTTTCTTTCCAGATATATTTGTCTCAGCAAAGTCCACGGACCCGCTCAGTGATGATGAAATTAACGGGCTGCACCTGTTCTGACGTCTTTCTGCAGCCTAATGGCTTGTTCGTTTCCCCGATGATGGCTTCCTTCACTGGGACTCCTAAGCACCCAATGCCAGGACGGGTGAGCTTGACCAAGTGCAAGATCATGCATATATTTACTTTCAAAGAAGAAAAAACCTCAAGGCTACTTATTGATTTTAACACCTTTTGATGTGTGAAAAGCCCTTGAGGAAGGCAGTTAAATGCATACACCATTGGGTGTGAATTCCAGCCAGGTCCACCAGTTTATTTGATCACTGAGCAGAATGGGCTAGCGGTGCAGAGATGTGAGTGCTGATAAAATATCCAAAGGGCAGGAGAGCCAACCTGAGCCAACCCAAGCTCACCCCACAAGCCTGCAGCTCCTCCAGACCCAAGGCACCTAGATAGTCTTCTCTAAGCTAACCCCATACATCCAAACTAACCCACAAGCCCGTGGCTCCTTCCAGCCCCAAGGCGTCTGGATAGTCCTCTCTAAGCTAACCACATGCATCCAAGCTAAACCACAAGCCTGCGGCTCCTCCAGGCCCAAGGCACCTGGATAGTCTTCTCTAAGCTAACCCCATATATCCAAACTAACCCACAAGCCCGCGGCTCCTTCCAGCCCCAAGGCATTTGGATAGTCCTCTCTAAGCTAACCACACGCATCCAAGCTAAACCACAAGCCCACGGCTCCTCCAGGCCCAAGGCACCTGGGTAGTCCCATCATTATCCAAATCCTTCCCTCAACTCCACAAGGCTGTTCCCATTTTACAAATAAAGCAGCTCAGGTTGGAAGACACGCGAAGCTCCCAAGGTCACATAGCTGGTCCGTGCCAAGGCTGGAACCCAGGTATGTCTGGCTCAGAAGCACTTGTGAAATCTGTCACTGCCACCTGCCAGTGGGGGTGATAGATGTGGTCTGGAGGTGATAGGGGATCATCTTTCAGTATCCCCTGTCCTCACCCACGTGCTCGCTTCACTGCCTCTTCTCCTACACTCCTGATTGATGGGAGGTTCTTCCCAGAATGTTCTAAGTAATACGTGATGGATGGCAGAGCTGTGCCCCACATGCCTGCAGGAGACCCTCCCCTCCCCCCCCCCACAATGGGACAGCCTGCCTGGCAGCTCTTTCCTGGTCTCAGGATGATGTGCAGGCAGAGGCCCCTGGCAAAGCAGAGGCAAATCTGGATGCTTCGGTTCATTGTGCTCAGCTTTGATAGGAGGATGCCAGCCCCGCCTGCCGTGCGCCCCAAGGCCCGTCTACATGACTGTGACCAAAACATAATGACTTTCGTCTAAATTCACTCTCTAAAAGGAACACCCTCCTGAATCAGCGTGTTCTCCTCAAAGGCGTTATGGGAACCTGAGCTCACTCCGAAGACATTCCCAGTTGCTCAAGGCAGGGGTGAGGCCCCTCCATGGAACTTGGAGCTCCACAGAGCTTGAGCTCCGGTGTGGGAGGCCTCGCAGGAAGGCATCGCGGCCTTGATGGGTGGGCCTCACATTCCAGCGTGTGTGTGTCCTGTGCCCAGACCCTCTGTGTGTCTTCTCCATCTCACACAGACAGTCCCATAGGACTCACGTGTTTTCTTTTTGTCGCATTGATGGTTTCCTCAGAGGGTGGGTGTGTTGGGGGGTGTATGTGTGGTGTGTGCATGTGCGTATATGCATGTGTGTGGAGGGTGTGTGCATGTGTGTGTGTGTGCATGTGTGCGTGTGTGTGCATGTTTGTGAGTGTGTGGTGTGTATAAGTGTGCATGTGTGTGTGAGTGGTGTGTGCGTGTGTGTGTGCACGCACATGTGTGTGACATGTATGTGCGTGTGTGTGTGCATACACATGTGCATGCTGTGCCTTCTGTCTACAACCCTAGCTGCTGCTTCGCTCTTCCCATAGGGGTGTGGTGACATTCTTAATGGTGACATGATTTTTTTCCTCTGGACTACCCATTACTATTTTAGAATTGTTCTGAGAAGCACACACACACACCAGGCACACACACAGACACGCGGTGCCTCTTGGACTGTGCCTCACCTCTCTGGTGCCTGGAGTTGTTAAGACCTTCCAGTTGTTCCTCCCTAGACAACACGGGTCCTTTTTTTCCAACCTCTCAGTGACAAACACTAACCTGCATCCCCTTTCCTGAGAATGTGACCTCCCCCTGCCTGGGGTGGACAGCGGAGCCCACAGCTCCCAAGGAGTGAAGTTTACATCTGCAACCACGAGCCTGCAGGGCAGAGCTGTCTGCCGTGGGAGTGCCTTGCTGGCTGTGGGGAGCTGAGGCCTGCCTGCAGTGAGTTTGCGTTTACTGAGCAAATGCTAGCAGTGCTAGCTGGACAGGACAGGGTGACCAGAAACAACTGGCTGGCACATAGGTTATTTGGACTGGGTCATGCCTTCGCTCTATTTGGTCACCCAGCATCTGCCACGTGCCCACAACCCGCCGTGACAGTGCCGTACCGTGCCGGGCCGGGCCATGCTGTGCCGTGAGGGTGGTGGGGGATGCTCCCTCCACCCACTGGAATCTCAGCATCAAGGTCTAGAAAAATAACAAGAGTGAACTGGACCATTAGAGGTCCCAGAATGTAAGCACTGGAGGAGGGAATGTCCTGGGTGCTGTGGGACCCTGTCAGTATAAATATCGAGTGCCTACTGTGTGCCAGGACCCATGTCCCCAAAATGTCCAACCTAGAGAAGCAGAGACACCTCCTGCTAATCCAATTCTGTATCTTTTTCTCCTGGCTGTTCTTAAGACCCCGTGAACACCTCCCGTGCCCACCTTACCCTGTTGCCACCCCTCCCCTGCCCTCTCCTCTCCTCCTCCTCCTATCACGGTGTGGTTCTAAGCCAGAATTTTAGTCCCAGCTCTGCCACTAGTAATTGGAGGACTGAAGCTCTCTGACCCTCAATTTCTTCATCTGTAAAATGGGCGCATTACTAATATGTGCCTCCAAAAGTTGTGAGAGGAGCATGTGGAGATGTAAGTGGGATGACAGAGGCAGAGGCAGCTGGCCCCACAAAAGTGCTCAACCAGAACCGGCTGCTGGCACCACTCCCCTGCCTCTCCTCCCACGGCTTGCATTTCCTCATCTGTCACTGGAGGGGCTGGGCCAGGAGATCACTAAGTCCCTTCCCGTTCTGGCATCATGTGCCCTGGCTATTCCACTAAGCTGACGATGGGCCACTGCCCTATGCATGTGGATGCATCTTCGTCCTGGACAGGGTAGAGGCTTAAGTCAGGGGTGCCTTTCGTGTGAGGCTGCACCTGGACACCAGACAGAGACACAAGCCGTGCGGGCTGCCGCTGGCAGGGCAGATCTCCAGGCCAAGACTGGGCACAGGCCCGGCCGGCACCACAGGCCACGCCCACAGCACACAGGCAGGGTGGGGGGTCTGCATGCTCCCTGGTTCCCCACCTCACTGCAAGGGCCACTTCCCAGTGGGAGGCAGCTGGGCAGGGGGCACCCACCAAGAGGCAGGGCCAGCAAAGTTCTGGCTTCAACCTCCCCCACTCTGGGAGCAGGTGCCATGTGGCAGGCGCCTGAACCACCCCATCAGGCAGGGTGACACCAAGAGCTTGGCATCGGGGTCCCTCTTCTGGGGTACCAGGAACCAGGGTCCTCAGCTATTCTGAGGAGGGGGGCAGAGGCCCTCTTTCTCGTGATCCTATGATGCTGTTACTGCAGGCAGCCTGGAGCCACGGGCCAGGGAGCCCGTCAGGCCTGGGGAGCAGGGCTGTGGAGTTCTGGTGCTGCCTCTCCCAGGACTGGACCCCCGAGGCCCCCCATGGCTGCCACGGGCCAGCCTCCCAGCCTTCCTGGGGCCATCTCAATTCCAGATGTGGCCCCTTGTTGTCACCACACACCTCTGAAATGTTGGCATTTTGTGTACATTTGCAGAGTGAGCCACACTTTCCAGGCTTTTTCCTCATATCACACAGAAGTCTCCAATCAGGCTGAGAAAACTGCCCCTGCCCTCCTGCCTGTAAAGCTCTTGGGATTTTGCTTCGGTGGCAACTCTGAAGTCCCTCTCCAGAACTCTGCAGAGACAACCTCCCATCCCCGTGAGTCCCCTGCCCAAGGTGCAGGACTGCAGGGGGCTAAGGGGATGTGCCCAGGCTCTGTGTTTGCACACGCTGTCTCCGAGCCTTCTGGCTTGCCCCATCCTCTGCTTCCCCTTGCAAGCAGCTGGCTTCCCACCATGAGCCCCCACACTACAGCCAACCCTCCTTCCAAGCCTCCACCCGCAACAGTGACTTGACCCTTGACCCAGTGGAGTTTTCAAGGCCCAGCACGCCACATGCTACCCCTGCCTGTCCAGGCAGTGAGCCTGGGGAGGTTTGGGCAGAGGCCCGCAGTGGCCAGGCCATCCTTGGCAAACATACCGCGTCGGCTGTAACAGCAGAGATTGGGCTGCGGGTTAATTTATGGTGTTTCGGGGAACTGAGTATGGGAATATCTTCTGGTCTTTAAATTAGTCATGAAGTTGGATCCCACCAGCACAATTAGAACCTCAGCTAATGATTATTTATGGAGTTTGGAATGTGTATTAACCTGATTGTATTAAATATTAAACTCAATTGTAATACTTATATCTGTATTTACAGTATAAGGTACCAGTCGAGCAGCACTACCCCCCCCCTCCCCACCATTGGAATCCTTGGAGGCCTTGGAGGCCTTGGAGCTTTGAAAGATCTGGGCAGAGCCAGGCAGGTGGGGCAGAACCAGGCTGTGCCATGTGTACAGAGCCTGAACCCAGTGGCAGCCTGGGGGCAAGGTGGGCTGCACCAGGAAGGGGCAGAGAAGTGGGCTGGGCTTACTCTGGTCCCTGGTGGAACACAAGGCTCAATGTGCCCAGTGTCACCCACCGACCTTCCAGGCAAAAGTGGAGCTGGCACCACCACCTTGGAGTTTGGAGAAGGCCGAGGCTGACGTCATCATGTGCTCACTGGGAGCCATAGCAGATGGGGTGGCTGACTGTGCAGGTCCTAGAGCCACAGGGAGCTGGCTGTAAACCCTGCTCCAGCCTGTACCAGCCCTGAGTCCTTAGGCAAGTAAACTCTCCCTGCCTCAGATTCCCCTTCTGTACAAGAGGGGCAGTGGTCTCTTCTCCCTCAGAGAGCTGTTGTATATTGGCTGAATCAATGCACGTGGACTGCTGAGAACATGCCTGGCCGGTGCAGCAGCTGAAGAAACACTCCAGTTTCTTGATTTTTGGTTTTGGTTTTTGTTGTTTGTTTGTGTTTTGGTTTTGTTTTTTTAAGGCAGAGTCTCGCTCTGTCACCCAGGCTGGAGTGCAGTGGCACAAGCTGGGCTCACTGCAACCTCTCACTCCTGGGTTCAAGCGATTCTCCTGCGTCAGCCTCCCGAGCAGCTGGGATTACAGGCGCCCACCACCAGACCCAGCTGATTTTGTATTTTTAGTAGAGATGGGGTTTCACCATGTTGCACAGGCTGGTCTCGAACTCCTGACCTCAGGTGATCCGCCCGCCTCAGCCTCCCAAAGTGCTGGGATTATAGGCGTGAACCACCGCGCCTGGTCAAGAAACATTATTTTTTTAAAAAAGCAGCTTTATTGAGATAACAATTCACAAGCCATTCACTCCTTTAGGGTGTACAATTCAGGGGTTTTTAGTGTATTCAGAGTTGGGCAACCATCACCATAATCCGGTCTAGAATGTTTCCTCACCCAGAATAACCTTGACCCACCAGAGTCACTCATTTCTGCCTCGGCCAGCCCTTGGGGGACAGTCCTCTGCTCTCCATCCCTGGATGGCTCTGCTCCAGACGTGTCACGTGAATGGAATCATGCCACGCGGGGCCTTTGTGTGGCTTCTGCCTCTGAGCGTACCGTCTTCAGGGTTCATCCACGGTGCAGCATGTGTCAGAAATGCCCTCCTTGTTATGGCCGAGCACAATTCCATTGTGTGGATGGACTGCAGTGTGTGGATCATTTCATCACTTGATGACATTCGGGTTGTTTCCCGTTTTTGGCTGTGGTGAATGACGCTGCAATGAATACGCGTGTGCAGCTAGTTGTTTGAACATACATTTTCGTTTCTCTTGGGTATATACCACGGATGGAACACCTGGGTCCTCCGGTGGCTCTGGATTTAGAGGAAATGTCACCTCTGATTGTTCCAGCTCCAAGCCCAGCCCGAGGGCCTCCTGCTTCCTGACCATCCATAGCCCACCATGTGCCACTTGACCACACAGTGTTAGTATGGGTGAGATGGGGTGGGGGAGCTACCGTAACCAGATCTGAAGTCCTTTGAGGGTGGCCGATGCATCTGGCAGAGAGCCAGGCACAGTGGTGTGCTGGCAACCCTGCCTGATACCCCCTGTGCTTCTGTGTCCATTGGGGAGGGGCCCTCACCCATTCCTTCACTTCCCTTCAAGGACTTCAGTGAGCGTGCGGTCTGCACCCTCCAGGTATTGGGGATGTGGGTGGCCCTGAGCTCATGAAGCCTACCGTCTTGGAGGTTGGGGGGGGACCATTAGTCCCCAAACAGGAAATCATGATCACGTGAGTGCTCAGCAGAGAACAGAACAAGTGTGAGGCCCAGGCTGTGCTTCAGGCCTGGTGGTCAGGGGCCTCTCTGAGACCTAATGACCCGGTGACATCAGGGACAGAGAAAACCAGACACAGGGACAGCTGGAGTGCAGGCCCCAGCCAGGAACAAGCTGGGAAGGTCAGAAGAATCTGGGAGGAAATTTTAGTGAGAAGGGGAGGAACATGAGGCCAGGGGAGGAGCATGAGGCCAGGGGAGGGGGAGAGAGATAGGGAGGGAGACAGAGAGAGAGAGAGAGAGAGAGAGAGAGGGAGACATGGAGAGAGAGGCAGAGAGAAGGGGTGTAGAGGCAGGCTGGCTCAGGAAGGCCGGGTAGCACAGCCAAGAGTCTAAGGCAGGACCAGTTTGGCTCCTAGCTCTGGGGCTGGTGGATGATGGAGGTGGGACGGGGGTGGGGTGGGGATGCCTGCGGGGGCCATGTGAGACCCTAGTGTGGGGAGGGGGTGAAAATGACCTGGATTGGGGCACTAGCAGGACGTAGAGAGAAGGGGATTTGGGGTTGGTTTTGGAGGCAGGGCTGAGAGGCTTGCTGGTTGGATTGTGCTGGCGGGACCGTGGTCAGGGAGGATGGGCAGGAGCCAAGCGTGCCTCCTGGGCTTTCGCTGAAGCTGCAGGCAGGGGAGACATTTCCTGGGGTGGAAAAGTCTGGGGGCCAGTAGCGGGGAGTGAGCCAGGTGGAGACGTCTGTGCCCCCAGCCTCTTGGGGGATGAGGGGACCCTCGCTGGTGCCCTGACTTGGCATTTCCAGGTGCCACAGAGCCAGCCCTGCACCACAGGGCTCCCTGAGCCCCACGACCAGGAACAGCCTCTGCCCAGGGCAGGTGGGAGGACAGAGGTCGGACCAGCCTCCCCGCCCAGATACGGAAGCTTCAACTCCTCGGCCTCACAGCAGGACAAAGGAGTTCCCTCGCGCCTGAGTGCAGAGAAGAGCTGCGACACCTTGGTTTGGCTGAGCACTTACCATGTGCTGGGCCCTTTGCCGAGCAATCTTACAATTCTCTCACTTCATCTTCATGACATCCGATGAGGCGGTACTATTTCCTTGTGTTGCAAATGAGGAAACTGAGGCAGCAAGGTCCTGAAGCTCCTGCCAGGTTACAGGGGCAGGAAACTCTCCGCCATCCTGATATCCAACCCCCATCCCAGTCTCCAGCCAAAAGGCAGGAGCACATCTTGAGAACAATTGTAGGAGGGGTACCAGTGCCCAGACAGGTGGTACCAGTGCCCAGACAGGTGGACACTGCTGGTGGGAGGACCGGCCAGGGCACACCGCCTTCTCTCAGCCAGCTGTATGCATGGGGTCAGCGTCCGCCCCTGCCCTGGCTCAGCAGCTCTGCTGACACCTAACCGTCTCTCCACAAGGCCAGGGTGGCGCTGGACACTAATCTGGGGCACACCTGTGCTGAATCGCCAACCCTGGAAGAGTTGTGCCTGCAGGAAACGGAGGAGGCAGGGAGACCTGGGTCAGCTCCAGCTGGCTGGACCAGGTCAGGTCCCTTCTTGGCAGAAGGTTCCTCCTTCCCCCCTGCAAATACTGCCTGTCACTGTGGCAGGAGGGCACGGGCTCCCTGCAGCCCAGCTCTTTCTGTCCTCGGACTTTAACTGTTTTTGCACTGAAGCCAGCTCCTGGCACCTGGCCACAGCCATCCTGGACCTGCCCCGCTCGGACATCACTGCCAATGGGGCTGAGCTCTGTGGTACCAATGCCCATCTTGGGACCACCTATGTGCCCCAGGACCAGGGCCAGCCTCACGCTGCCCCCCAGGACTAGCCCCATCTGCTAGCACCCCGCCCCCGCCCCCCCCAGAGCACTGTTTACCCTATAGCCTGCCAAGCTAAGCCTGGCTTGGTGATTTCACTGGGGGACCACTGGGACTCTGGGCACAGGGCAGCCTACTATGTGAAGGCCTCTGCACACCTCCTCCAACAACCTGACTCCATCCACCCCACCCTAAAACACTCTCTCCCCTTCTCACAGCCCTGGACTGAAGTATCCTGGAAAATTCCTGTGACACCAGGTTTCAGGCAGATTGCTCTGAATACAGACTTTGGTCTCAGCCCTGTCCCCACAACCAATAAAAAATGACAAGAGTGCAAGTGGCCCTCAATCCCTGGTGGTGGACGTCACTCCTGGGGGCTTCAGGCCGGCTGTGGAAGGGTTGACTCAGATTGCTGCAGGGGCTCAGAGAACACCCTGGATCTGCTGGCACAGGCAGGGCAGTGCCACCCGTCCACCAGGTGGCTAGATTCCGCCAGGGACTCCTGGTAGTCACAGGTCACCACTCTGTTCTTTGGCTCCAAGCCAAGCCCCAGAGGGAGTCAGTGCTACCCCTGGGAGGCAGAGCCCCAGCATGGCGCCCCTTGAAACGTGGGAACATTTTTCAAATTCCTAGCAGGTTAGTGGCTTCCCTGCCATGGCCCACCACCCTCGGAGGCTCCTGGTACTGGGGTGGCCCTAGAGATGGGGACACGGGGCAAGCAGACAGGCACAGCTGGCACATCGGGAAGACAATCTTTCTGGAGAAAGATGTTGGGAAAGGGGACAGGAGAGGAAGAGGGCAGGATTCAAGCCCCAGCTTCCTGCATCCAGAGCCCTCCCTCCACAGCACCCCAGGACTGACTCACACAGGAACACGTGCCAGGTGACACAATTATCTGCGATGACAGAGCTGGAACTGAGCAAAACTCCCAACTTAAACAATTTCACCAACAACAGGGAAGTCCCCAAAGGGGGCAGTTGGAGCGATCTGATAGGAGGACAGGAGAGACCCCCTACCCCCTCCTCAGGAAACGAAGGGGCCACCTGGGGAGGCAGCCAGGTGGGACCTGCGTGGCCCCGCGTGGGCAGGGGCCATGTGGCTCCCCAGGCCGGCCGGCAGCCTGTGTAACACTGAGAAGAGGGGAATGGCTTGTCTCAGCAACCACTGGAGAGAAAATGCTGATGGTTATTCCCGTTATCTTGTGATTTTAAGTGATAATATCACCAGTGTGTTGCCACCTGCATGCAGGCCTGGACTCAGATGAGCCATGTGTCACAGGGACAGTCAGACAGTGAGGCCTGGGTCTTCCTGCAAACAGAATGTGAGGGTCTCATTCAAGGTAACCCCGAGATCAGCAGAGCCCCCCGCCCCCAGCCACAAAGGCCATGTAACCAGTGGCTGCCAATAGCAACGGCGGCTGCTGCCTGTGTATTTCTGGTCTCTAAGCCTGGACTGTTTCTCTCCAGCAGGGAGCCCCACACACCCCAAAGCTGGTGTTAACCACCCTCCCCCTCGCCCTTTCCTGACTCCACAAGTTTCCGTCGTCTCTCAGCCTCGGCGTTCCCACCCCGAAAAGGGAGATGGCCCTAACCAGGCCCACCCAGCGGGCTATTTTGAGGACATATATTCCGCGGGAAGGGCCAGCTCAGTGCTGAATAACTGGCCGGCCCTCTGTGGCCGGCTGCTGGTGTGGATTCTGTTCTTGCGGTCACTGGCTGGACTAGACCCTTTGGAGCCATGGGGAGCCCCCGGGGAACTCCTGTGCCTCTAGGTCCTGACTCTCCTCATGGTGTCCTGGGAGTAGGATCCGCTTCTTCTCTGGGATCTGATACTTTCTACAGTGGCTCTGTACCCTTTAGGACCAGTGTCCTTACTGTCTTTAATTAGGCAACGGGGTCCAGAGAAGTCTGGTGATTTGCCCAGGGTCACCCAGGGAAGTAGCCGCAGGGTCAGAGCTTTCAGTTGGAATGAGATGGGGTGGGAGAAGGGAAAGTCAGAAGAAAGACTTGGTGGTAGGAACATGGCCCAGGCATCCTCTGCCCTCAGAGAGAGGGCTCCAGCATGCCTTGGGAGGGACCTGATCCTGGGAGAAAGCCCTGCCCGGGGAGAAGGACAGCGCAAAGAGCGGCTAATGAGCTTGAGTCCGGCAGGCACACAGGGATCCGACCCAAGCTTAGAAGACTCCCATGCCTGGCTTAATGCTCTGCTGTCCCACCTTCAAATTCTTACTAATTTTTAGGCCGGGCACGGTGGCTCACGCCTGTAATCCCAGCACTTTGGGAGGCCAAGACACATGGATCATCTGAGGTCAGGAATTCGAGACCAGCCTGGCCATCATGGTGAAACACTGTCTCTACTAAAAATACAAAAATTAGCAGGGCATGGTGACGGGCACCTGTAATCCCAGCTACTCAGGAGGCTGAGGCAGGAGAATCGCTTGAACCCGGGAGGCAGAGGTTGCAGTGAGCCGAGATCGCACCATTGCGCTCCAGCCTGGGTGACAACAGCAAAACTCCGTCTCAAAAAAAAAAAAAAATCTTATGAATTTTTAAGAAAAGATGCATATTTTCATTTTGCAATGGGCCCTGAAAATTAAGTCATCAGTCCTGGGCTTTGGAGAAGAAAAAAACAAAAAAGAAAAGAAAGAGAAAGAAAAAGAAAAGGAATCTGAATCCAGCCCTAGCATGTTGTTGCATAACATTGGAAAATGACTGAACCTCTCGGCCTCATTTCCTTATCTGCAAAATGGGGATGAAGATGGCGTGTAGTACATGCTCTGTGCAAGGTATTGTCATGGTCATGCCAGTGGGCAAAGCCTGTTGTCCCTCTGTGTGTTTGTGGATTAAAGCAGGAGGGCTTCCCCACATTGCCCCCTAGGCCCAGTGGAGGAGGAACAGGGCCGCCAGAACTGCCTCTTTCCCCTCCTTACTCTGCCTACATCGCTCTCTTTGCAGGCGCTGCACCTGGAGGGGGACCAGTCTTGGATGCCTTTAGTGGTGCGTCCTGGCCTGGCACCATTGCATTATTCTCAGTGAGAAATGGCGGCCCTTGTTCCTGCCCAGTGGCAAAGGGAAAGAAGAGAGGTGGCCATATTAAATAATAGGAAAGGACAGACCTGGGTACAGGAGAAGGGGAGGCATGGTGGATGGGTCACAGGTGTTTGGCTTGAGCAACACAGGGGAGGGGGTGCCCGCTCTTGAGCTGGGGAGTGCAGGAGGAGAGGCTTTTAGGGAAGGGTACTGAGATCAGCCTTAGAGGTTTGGGTATCTGAGGGACCCCAGTGGACAGGTCAGTACACCTGCAGAGATGGTTCTGAACTCAGGAGAGAGGCAAGGACAGCACACTTCTCTTTGGAAGTGATCAGCACAGGGCTGTTCTCAAAACCATGGCGGGGGCCCTGGCAGAGGAGTTGGGAAAAAGGGAGCAGGGAATGCTCCTCCATGGAAACTGACATTTTTGAGGAAGAGGAGCCAATGGCAAAGGGAAGGAGGACGGAGGAGAACCAGGAGGGTGGCCACAGAGGCGGAAGACCAGCGAGAGGGTGGCAAGAAGGAGGAAGGGAGTGATTCGCAGAGGGGGAGAGGTCAAGCCAAGAAGGCAGACAGATGCTCGCTGAATGGAGAAGCAGCAGAGGCCCTGAGGGCAGCAGTGGCGTCCCCACCCCAGATGCTGCAGGGCAGGCACAGGGAGGGGCAGTGTGGGCAGGTGGATAAGGGCAATGGCGGGGCTCACTTTGCTGGAGAGTTTGCAGGTGGATGAGGGCAGTGGTGGGGCTCACCTTGCTGGAAGGCTTGCTTGTGATGATGTTTACAATGGAAAGGAACCCAGCATTTAAATGCTAATGGCAAGGAAAGACAGGGTGTTGACACTGGAGAGAGGACAGTGACAGACAAGGGAGAGGAAAGACCCAGGCCCCGCCAGGAGAAAAGAGGTGGGGGGTGCAGGGAGCTGACAGTGGAACAGGAGGGGAGGTCACCGGCAGAAAGTCAGGTAGGGGGAGAACAGAGAAGGTGTGGATGGGACGATCCCCAGGGAGACGGGGAGGAGGATCCAGAGGGCCAGGTGACAATAGAGAAGGTGTGTTTATAGGGTAGTGATCCTCAAGGGGGGAATTTTTTCCCACAGCTCTCAGAGGCAGGAGTGGGAAGGGCCAATATTCATTGAGCACCTGCTGCCTGCGAGGAGTCCTGGACAGTGACCTGTGACTTCTTGGATGGTTGAGTCCTGGCGTCTGTGTGAGTTTCCTGGGGCCACCGTAATAAACTACCCAGCTTCAACAGCAGAAATGCCTCCTCTCCCAGTTCTGGAGGCCAGGACTCTGAAGTCAGGGTGTGGGCAGGGCTGCATTTTCTCTGAAGGCTCTAAGGGAGGATCCATCCTGGCCTCTTCCAGCTCCTGGGACCCCGGGCATTACTTGGCGGGGACAGCATCACTGCAATCTCTGCCTCAGCCCTCCCATGCCTTCTTCCTGGCGTGTGCCTGCACGTCTCTATCTTTTGTGTCCGCATCTCCCCTTCTCAGAAGGACCCCAGTGATTGGATGTAAAGCCCACCCCAGTCCAGTCTGACCTGATCTTAGCTAACTGCAAAGATCCTATTTCCAAATGAGGTCACATTCTGAGGCTTTAGGTAGACATGAATTTGGGGGGACACCCCAGTACAACAGCTAAGCTGGACAAGGAGGCGTGTGAAGACAAGGGGGTGAGAGGGAGACGTTTCAGGGAGCAATGGCTGAGCTGTCCTAATTAGGCCCAGGACCAATGTCCTCTGTGGGAGGAAGGAACAGGAATGAGAGAAAGAGGAAAGAGGGTGGCAGGCAGCGGGCAGCACAGGTTGGGATGAGGTCCGGGGGCTACTGGAGAGGGACAGATGGGGAGCGGAGTGAAGGTGTGGGAAGTCAGGGAGCGGGAGGGATGCCAGAGCCATGGGTCATCACACGGGGGCTGGAGTCAGCCAGGGCATGAGTGTGGCTTTTCCTGGGGGAAGGGAGTCCAGGAGGATGTGCAGGCCAGGGGCTTGGGGTCACAAAGGAGAAGATCAGCTTCCTTTTCCCATGAAGATGGCAGAGGACTGGCCTGGGAACTGTGGCTGGAGCTCAGAGGGCAGAAGAGACGTCCCCACCCGCAGCGGGAGAGTTAGCAGCACCCCAGCTGAGGAAGGGCCAGAAGGTCTGTCTTGGAGGAAGGGGCTGAGCTTGGCCTCTGTGGTCAGGAGTGTGGTACTCAGACCCATGGGGAAGCCATCAAGAGGCAATGTCGGTCATGCCCAGGGGAGAACTTTTGAGTAGGGGCAGTTTCTGGAATGAAATGGGAGGTGAGGCAAGGTGGGCTGGGAAACACTGGGACGGTTACAGAGGCAACCTGAGGGTGGCCAGGGTCTGGCTAGATGGTCTGCAACCCGCCAGTCCTGAGCAGATGCTCCCCACAGGGGACACCCTCGCAGACTCGCAGACGAGAAGCCACTCTCCCTGCTTGCCCCTCACGGCAGCCAGGAAACGCATCTACTCCGCCTCCAGGAGATGGGAGAGACAACGGATGATGCGGAGGGTTGAAAGAGGTGAAAACTCCCTGGAGAAGGGGAAAATTTGCAGAGACCGAGGACATTTTTGACATGTGCAGGTTGAATTCTATAGTGGGGGTATAAAAAGTGGAAGGCATTTTAGAAATCGTGTGGATAGAGCCCAGAGCCATCAAGAGTTAGGCTGGAGAGACACCTCCTTCCCGTCCTTTTCTCTCTGCCTTGCGCGTTCCTAGCTCCTCCTCCTTCTACCTTGCCAGTTGACACGCCCAGGTTTCCACACCTTAGACCCTTCCTGGGCTTCTCCATGACTCAGGAGGTCTCTCCCTGAGAGGAATGGTGTCAGCCAAGGTCCCAGACAACAAGGCCATGAGCTCTGGCATCTTCCTCCATAGAGAGTGACATGGGGCCAGGCCTGGTAGCTCACACCTGTAATCCCAGCACTTTGGGAGACTGAGGCAGGTGGATCGTCTGAGGTCAGGAGTTCAAGACAAGCTTGGCCAACATGGTGAAATCCTGTCTGTACTAAAAATACAAAAATTAGCCGGGCATGGTGGCATGCGCCTATAATCCCAGTTAGTTGGGAGGCTGAAGCAGGAGAATCACTTGAACCCAGGAGGTGGAGGTTGCAGTAAGCCGAGATCGCGCCACTGTACTCCAGCCTGGGCAACAGAGCAAGGCTCTATCTCAAATCAAAAAAAAAAGAGAGAGAGTGACATGGGCATCTTGGCTCGGGGTCACAGCATTTCAGGACTGGACAGAACTTGGAGATCATCCATCCCATCACCATCAGCTTGAAGGGGAGGCACTGAAGGCCCTAAAGTTTCAGCGACCCGCCAAAGAGTATGACTCCCCAACCGAGGCTGAGAGATGGCACAGGGCCCAGAGCCAGCAAGGTCTGCATCTGGTGTGATGCCCCCTTGCCCCCACCCCAAGTGGGTGGGCTTCAGTGCAATTCTGCCACTCACTGCTCAGAGTCAGCCTCAGACTCCAAGGTGCAGGGCAAAGTCCCCCACAAGACCACCCTAACTTCCAAGCCAGCTCCTAGTTTCAGGACCCACCTTCTGACCAGCCAGCTGCAAATTCTGGGGTTCCCATGACCGCCTCAGGTTCAGTCATTGCTAGAACATCTCACAGAACTCAAGAAAGTGGCATGCAAATGATTCCAGTTTTGTTATAAAGGATCCAGGGAGGGTGAGGTCTGAGCAGGAGCGCGGAGCTCCTATGCCCTCACCCCATCACTCTCCAGGCACACCCACGTGTTCGCCAAGCAGGAAGCTCCACCACACTTAGGGGCCCAGAGCTTTCTCCATCAGGATTTCATTATGTAGGAATGATTGATGACATTACTGGACACCTGATTGAACTCCATCTCCAGCCCCCTCCCCTCTCCTGAGGTTGAGCCAGTCTGAAGTCCCAGCCCTCTAATCACAAAGTTGGTGTCTCTGGGGCCAGCTCCCATTCTGAAGCTATCTTATCTAGGGGCCACCAAGAGTCATCTCATAACTTTCTAAAGACCGTCCTGGCACACGGGAAATTCCAAGCACTTCGGGAGCTCCGCGTTGGGAACCCGGCCCAGTAACAGCCCTCCTGAAAGTCAAATCACAGAACACAGAAACTTAGCAAACAATTCCAACCCAGTTCTGAATAATACCCCCTAAGAAAAGGAACAGTCCCAACAGAACACAGAAAGCACAGCTGGATGAGATGGGCGGGCGGAGCACTGACTTCAGCAGGTAAATCAGAAGCTGAAGCAAACAAGGTGAGAAGGTGCCTGGACCACGAGGATGAGGACACTTCCCTTCAAGGGGCTGAAATGTCCTCAAGGGGAATGTGCCAAGAAGTCCAGGCTCCCACATCAGCTGGGGATGGAGGCCAGGCCAGACAGGAAACTTGCTCACTTCATTCAAGGTTGTTTCTGCCATGGGAGAACAGGCTGCTATAACCAGGGTCTTTTCCCATTGGAATCAAAGGAAGGAGGGCAGGGCAATGCCCAGAGAAGGCTGAGAGGGGCGGGAAGGCTGGAGCAGACAGTCTCACCTGCCCGGTCCGGGTGAGCAGCCCTCTGGGAAAAGTCAGCTCTGGTCTAGGTCTGTTACAGCGGGAATGGATTTACACAGTGTTTGTATAAATTTAAATTCCTGCTGCCTAAGCAGTCTGGATGCTGTGCCATGAGCCTTCTTGACCTGAGCTCTGTGGGGGCCCCCTCCCCAAGCCAGTTCTGAGCCACCTGTCCAAAGTCACCTGGAGCTGGCGGTAGACACGACCTGCCCAGAGTTGGCAGGCCTGCCCAGCCGCAGGCTCTCAGGAAGCAGGTTATAAGCTTACCTGCAAAATCCCAGCCCACTAAATCTCCGGAATGGGAGAGAATTCACCTAATGGAATTAGAAAGTATAAAATAGCAGTGATCTTGAAAGGCATTCGGAAACTAAGCCCTTTCTGGAAATTGGAAAGTCGCTAACATCAGCCTGGGAGACCCTGGAAATTACAGACCCGCGTGCCCAGGGGTAATAAGGTCAAACTGCTACACATATCTAAAAGGAAATCAGACTCTCTAACTCTCCAGAGTGCTCTAAAAAGTTAATAAAGTGGCAGTCCTTCTGGCAGCCCAGTGGACATAATTTACCTGTGTTTTCAAAAAGCTTTTGATGAGGTCCTTCATGAGAGACTATTAGGGAAAGGAAAAAGCAAGAGAGAGGACAGTGTCAGCTGCTGCCGGTGAAACCCTCGTTAAGCGGGAGGCTGTGGGAGCCCCGGAGGCCAGCTGCTCCCCATGACCGCCTGAAGACAGTTAATAATTGTGGCCCCCCAGGGCCGGCTTCGGGGAGGACACGGCATTACATTTAAAAACTTAGGAGCAAGCTCATGAAACCTGGTTTCATTTCCAGCATTCCTCCAGGCTGAAGGGTGGTGAGAGGGTTTTGTTCTTTGGAACTGTTTGTGTTCTGCGTTTTGTCCTTTGGAACGGGGGGCTGGACTGCCTCTGCCCAGCTCACCCTGTGGTCACTGCCGAGCGTGGCATCTGGCAGGGGAGGTGGTGGAAAGTCTGCTTGGAACAGAGCTGCATGGGCTGCTTTCTGTAGTAGTTTGATGCAGTTTTTATGATCGCCACAAATCTGCGCCCCCCCCCCCTCCTCTCGCACTGAGGGTCTCCAAGGGCATTCGTGGCAGTAATGCCGGACACTTCCCCATGTTCTCACCCAGCTTGCCCTGCAGAACCGTACAGGGGAGCAGAACCTTCCAGCGGGGGCAGGAGCCAAGGAGAAGGCACAGAACATGGGGAAGTCGAGGCCCGGTTCGTGGGGCACACCGCCTCTGGCAGTATACACAGGACCCACCAATCACAGAGACTGTACCCCGGGCCCATGCTTGCTAAGGTCCCAGGGAGGAAAACAGAAACAGCATCAGGTGGGTGAACTGGGGAAGCTATGAGGAGAATCTGCTCTTGCTAGAATTAAACTCCAGACCAGAGCACGTGGATGAGTCTCCTGGGGCTGCTGTGACAGATGACCACGAACTGGGTGACATGAGACAACAGAAATGGATTCTCACTGTTCTGGAGCCCAGAAGTCTAAAATCAAGATGTCAGCAGGAGCCGGGTGCAGTGACTTCTGCCTGTAATCCTACCAACTTGGGAGGCTGAGGCAGGAGAATCGCTTGAGCCCAGGAGTTCGAGGACAGCCTGGATAACATAGTGAGACCCCCGTCTTTAAAAAAAAAAAAGCCAGGCTTGGTGGCTCACACCTGTAATCCCAGCACTTTGGGAGGGCGACGCACATGGATCACCTGAGGTCAGGAGTTCGAGACCAGCCTGGTCAACATGGTGAAATCCTGTCTCTACTAAAAATACAAAAATTAGCCAGGTGTGGTGGCAGGTGCCTGTAATCCCAGCTACTTGGGAGGCCGAGGGATGAGAATCACTTGAATCCGGGAGCTGAAATCGCACCACTGCACTCCAGCCTGGGCAACAAGAGCAAAACTCCGTCTTAAAAAAAAAAAAAAAGATGCCAACAGGGCTGCGCTCCCGCCAAAGCTCTAGGGAAGGGTCCTTCCTGCCTTTCCAGCTTCTAGGGGCTCCAGGCATTCCTTGACTCTCCAATCTCTGCCTCTGGTTCCACGAGCCCTTCTTCCTTGTGTGTCTCAAGCCTCCCTCCTTTCTCTTATAAAGGCAACCGCTATTCGATTTAGGGCTAACCCTAAATCTAGGATGATCTCATTTTATCATCCTTCATTTAGTCATATCTGCAAAGATCCTTTTCCAAATAAGGTCACATTCCAGCTCTGGGGGTTAGGACTGGACATACCTTCTTGGGGACATCGTTCTGCCCCTCGTAAGCGCGCGTTCATCCAGCCATTCGCTGGCTGCCCCCTGTGTGTCAGGCACCGTTCTAGGCAACAACACGCAGAGTCCTAGCTCTCATGGAGCCTGGGCTCGGGGCAGAGGGGGTGTGGTGGCATTTGGTCTGCCTTCCAGGTGGATATGACCTGGCCACCCTAGAGAGCAGGTGGGGGTGGCTCACGATGAGCTGGGGCAGCCTCTGCCTTCCTGCCTCCTCTCCAGTGGCCACTCCCAGGACTTCTGCCACGAGCAGCACGGGACTCTCCCAGCCAGGGCCCAGGGCCCCGCCACGACTGGTAAAAACCTGACCAGGGGCAGAAGGCCTCTGTGTCCGCAGAAACTCCACGTGCCTTCCAGCGTTCCAAACAAATCACATAAATTTCAAGTGCTGCAGAATTTACAAAGTGCCTGTAAAATACCAGCGTTCACTTGGATTGTTCCTTAAAAGTGCTGGCCACCTTCCCAATGCTGGGCCGGGAGAGAGGAAAGAGCAGAAATCACGAAAAGTTTGCCCTTGCTGTGTTCTCCCTCTAGCCTGAGTGTTTCCAGAGCCTGAGCCCTCCAAAGGTTGGGGGAGGCAGCACAGCCGGGGGGGTACCCCAGCATCCACTTGGGTCAGGGTGGCTTCGCGGGGCCCTGGGACCCTGGAGGGGCACGCTAGGCCTGGGCGAGTTACCCTGCCTGAGCTGAAGGCCTGGGCCTGCTCAGCTAAGTCGCCTCAACCCAGAGTGGCCAAGAGCAAGTTCTCCCGGGGGAGGCAGCTGAGGCCTTACCAGCTGCAGCCTCACCTGCAGAGTTCATCAGCCCAGCAAGTGTCTGCCAACAGCTTTGGCAGCCAGGCCACCTGAAACAAGGAGAAGGCAACCAGAGCTGGCGCTTTGCAGCCAAGAAGCAAGAAGGAGCCTCGCCCTATTGGGGCTGCCCCAGTGCTCATGGCTGAAGGCATATGGGTTGGTTTCCATCCAACAGGGAGCAGCTGATACTATTGGACCAGTCTTGGCCTGGCTGTCCTCATGCCCCAAGTAAGGATGGACTCCAGCCTTGTGGGGCACACGGGGCAGCCACAGATCCGTAGCTCCACTCCTGCCTGTGGGCTTGTCCACAGCTGGCACCGTGAGCCTGCACAGAGGGCCCACAGCCCTTCCCACCAGCCTGGGCCTCCCTCCACCTCTTGAGACTGGAATAGGATTAAGGGGTCCTGCCCTCTGAGCAGACAGCAGCACTGATCTAATTTAGGATCCTAATCAGTTTGTCCCTGTGTGATCAGTGGAGATCTACCCATCGATTGTTCTTCAAAGGAGAACGACCGAGGTGGAATTCACAGAGAAATGTGCAAGTCCTGGCAGGGAAACCAAGGAGAGGGACCGTGTCCCCTCAGTGGGATCTGCTTGCGCAGGGTCATGGCTGGCTCCCAGGCCAGTCCTGGCCACCCCTTTCCTACCCACAGCCCCTGTCCGGGGCCCCCCATGGCTGCGGGACTTGCCCCTGGCTGCAGAGCTCTGGGCTTGTGGGAGCCTCCATGGAGAAGCTGAGGCTCAGAACCGCCGCATCTCGGGCTTGGCCTGGCCGCCGCTTAGCCACATTGTGTGTACAGAGCTGTGGCCACGAGAGGCTTTTCCAGAGCAGTGGTTTTGGTTTAACATACAGCCCAGGCAGAGAAAGGGAATCTCAAAGTTACTCAAATAACTCAAAAGAATCTCAAAAGGAATCTCAAACCTCAAAAGGAATCTCAGAGGAACTCAAAGCAAAGTTTTGGAGTGTGTGAAGGATCCCGATGCCCAGCAATCTGCATTAATATTGCAGGTGTTCGTACGCCTCCCCCCTCCACAAGCCCCAGTAAAGGCAAACCCACAATTCCGCGGGGCCGGCCGTGAGCACCTGAAGTCCTCCCCTCCCCTCTTCGGGTTCCATCAGAAGCTGCCAAGAAACAGGAGGGGAAGCCGCTCTGGGGGCCTCTTGTGTGAACAGGGGAAGCGTGGGGTGTGCAGCCTTCATCCTGGTTTCACACCAAGGTCCCCGTGGCGACCAGTGCGGGATGGGATAGGGAGGGTCCTGCCGCCCACCCGCCTGTGTGCGAGCTGCTGCTCAGACGGTGGCCCCTGCTCCAGCAGCCTCCGTGTCACCTGGGACCTTGTGAGAAATGCACCCCCACCACCCCAGACCTGCCGCATCATTGACTCTGCACTGTGGAGAGCCCTCCAGGGAATCCTGTGCCGGGGAGAGAGAGCCGCACAGGCCTGGGAGGCTCCTGGGGGACTGTGGCAGTACAGCGCCTCCACCTGCATCCTCTGCCTCCGGCTCCTTCCAAGGAGCTCCATGCCCCTCAGAACACCACTTTCTGCAAGAGAAAAGCAGGTCTTGGGTCTTGGGAGAGAAAAAGGAAAGGAAAAAGAAAGAGACCCTGTGCATGTGGCTTCGGGGTGCTCGTGCCCCCTCCTTCATTTACTCACACATATTTATTGTTTGCTCTGTGCCAGGCCCTGTCCTGGGCTCTGGAGACACATCAGTGTGTACATCAGGAGACAAAGCAGATAAAAATCTCTTGTTGTGCTTACATTGCAATAGGGGAGATGGGCAGTTGGGGGAACAGATGAGTATGTTTGTAGGGGGCTCGAGGAGCGAACGCCGTGGGGTGGGAACTGGAGGGGTGTAGGGGTATGAAGGCTTTGACTTTACTGAGGTGAGAAAAAGGATCTGGGCAAAGATCGAAGGCAAGCGAGGAACAGCTAGGGTGGGGAGAGGCCCCGGCCCCAGGACGGGAGGGAGGGAGGGAAACACATGGATGGTAGGGGAGAGGCTGGAGTTGGTGCAAAGGCCCTGGGTGGAGTGTGCCGGCAGGTGCCAGGGCCAGTGAGGAGGCCAGTGTGCGGCCCGTGGAGGGTGATAGAGTCTGGCAGTCGGCCAGAGCTGGTGGGCCTCAGAGCTGGGAAAGGACTTTGGAGTTGCTCTGTGATGTGGACTGAAAATCCTCTCCTACATGCCATTTTCTCGCACTTTACAGCGTCTTCCTTGGCCATGTTCCTATCCCCAGGGGAGGGGCGTCGGATTCCCATCAGGCCCCAAGGCCGGGCAAGCTGGCTGCAGCTTGGCTGTGTCCTCAGCCTCAGGCCAGTGTGGCCACACCTCTCTGGGCCACCCCTGGGGCTCTGGATTTGGCCTTGGCCATCAGTGCTGCCCTCAGAGTTAGGGGCACGGGCCTGGCCCCAGCAGCTGACCCCTCACCCGTGGAGGTGCCAGTGGCATCTCTGCTCTATTGGCGTGCACTGTGGGCACCTCGTGGCTCTTTCTGGGGCCCTTCTCAGGCCACGTTCTTTCTTCTCAGGGTTCCTAGCTCCAAGGTGCAGGGGAAAGAACAAGACCCCATCTGGGTTCCACTCAGGGCCCAGAACGTGTGGGGCAGAGGCCACAGACAGTGCTGGATCCACTGTGGCAGGGAGCAGGTGCCGGCACATGGGGCTGCTTTGTGGGAAGGGGCCCTGGGAGAAGCTGAGCCTCAGCAGGGCAGGGGGTCCCCGACAGCTAGCCAGTGGGGAGGGGTGTGAGGGTCTGGGCAAGGCAGGCTCCCATTCCACCTCCCCCTGTACCTCCTTATTTGATGATTAAACCAGGTGGCCGATGGGCTGGGCCAGGCCCAGGGGTGCTCAGTAAGTGCTGGCTAGACAATAAGGGATGTGCAGACAGCACTCTACCTGTCCAGAGGGCTCCCCACACCAGGGGTGTGAGGACCATCTCCCATGGTCCTCACTCTACCCAGGGAAAGTCAGCGGCCAGGAAGGGGCTCAGCATCTGGCTGCCCAGCCCACCTGACTGGATTCACATCCCTGCTGCACTCACAGTTGACATATCTGAGCATCAGTTTCCTCATCTGCAAAAGAGGGATAATGCTCAGACGGGCCTCTTCAGGGAGGAGAGAGAGAGGGAAAATGCTGCCCAGTACTGAGAATGGCGCCTGCTGCAGAGCCCCTGCGGCTACTGTGACCCTGAGATGCGGGGGCACCTAGACACCCAGGCCACACCGAGCCTGTCCCTGCGTCTCCTGGCTCCCGGGGAACGCAGGATTGCCAGGCTCAGCAAAGGGAGCCCGGTCTACTGACCAGCAGGTCCCTGCTCTCAGCCCCCTCCCAGCTGCCTCTGCATCAGCTGAGTGGCCTTCCCTTCCATGCGGTCCCAGGCAACGCCATCTCACCTGGGCCCCCAGAGTCCTGCCTGCTCCCTTCCCTCCTCAGGCCTTGCCTCCCAGATGCAGCTGGTTTGCAGCTTGTCTTCTCAGGAACACAGGAGAGCTCTTCTCTGGCGATGACCCCATCTCTGGTGCCTCCTGCCCCTGCCCTCACCTTCCCATTCGCCTCTGGGGTACAGGCAGCTGCCCTCACCACGGAAGGGCAGGGACCCCAGAACACACCCTCTTGCCACAGGGCTGCGGGTCCTGCAGGTGGACCCTACCCGAGATCGGTGCTGTGCCCACTCCCCACTCCTGCTCCACCCTCGACCCGAGGACAGCACAGCCCCTGGGGCAGAGTCCACAGATGCCAGGTGGGCCAGACACCAGCTGCGTATTGGGTCAGTATTTCAGGGAGAAGAAAAGTGGGTCTATAGAAAAACAGCATTCAGTACCCACCAGTGCTCTGCTGTCGTCATCCCTACAGACAGTTTAGCCTGAAGGGCAGAATTATAAGGGAAAGAGAATTTTGACATTTCTGGTTTTGAGCAATGACTTAGAGCTGGGATTGCAAGTGATAAGCGACTCTGCAAAAGCAGCTGCAGCCACTTAGAAAGAGCAGGCTTCCCTCTAGCAAGCGCTGAGAAAGCAGGGCAGCTTTGGGGCCAGACTTGCTGGGACGGCGCCTTTCGACATGGCATCGAGTAGCCATGGCAGGTGGACTGTGATAGCCGGGTCAAGTACAAGGTGGCCCAGGTGCAGGACCCTCTCTGTCATCGGCAGAGCAGGAGGAGGATGGTGTGGCGAGGGTGGGATTCCCACTAGGAGATGAGCCCTTCCTGAACAGGGTCTTCAGCAGCTGTGAGTGCACCCCCCACCAACCAGCCCCTGCCTCCTGATCTTCCAAAGGGCCTGTCCATCTCTCTTGCTGGGTGCACCTGAGAAGAACTTCGCCACGTTCCCTGTCCCACCCTCCCTTGGCCCTGAGGCTCTAGAGCTCCTTTTAGTCTGCCCAGGATCTGACCCCTGAGTGTCGTTAGTGGTCCTGGCTCCATCCAGGCTGGGGAACCTGTGTTCCATTTAGACAGGGACCCCCGTGGGAAGGGCTGGCCCAGCACATTCCCGTGCTCAGTAAATGCTGAATCATAACAGCAGCAACCTTGACTGTGGTCCACGGCAACACACCTGGTGGGTTCTGAGGAATGGAGATGTTATCCTCTGCTTTCACCTCAGTACAGGAGTATTGAGTAGGGTTTGAGATTTAAGCGGGAATCCGTTTCAGATCCTTTCTCTGTGTCTGCGGCGTATCACTGGAGGCTGCTGTCTGGTGCTGCGACTGCCTGTCAGTGTGGTGCTCCCTGCACTGGGTCAGCCCTGAGAGCTGGATTGGTTTAGCTGAGCTATTCACCGCGGAGGACCAACCAGTGTCTAGCAGCAAAGCAGAAATAGGTTCTTCTGCATTTTCCAAGAGTCATAATCTCTAAAACAGGCTCTTCCTGAAAATGTCAAGAAGCAAACTTGGACTTCTGTGTAGGCATTGGCATCTATTCCCAGTGAGGCCAAAAACCAGAAAGAGAGACAGTGGGGAGAGAAGGGGATAAAGGGGGAGAGAGAAGAAGGATTTGAGACCCCCGTCCCCACAAGATTAGAAGCTGAAAAATGTACCATCATTGCTTTTTATTTTTTTATTTTTTTTTCCCAAAACAAAAGCAAAGGACAGACCAGGCATGGTGGCTCACACCTGTAATCCCAGCACTTTGGGAGGCTGAGGCGAGTGTATTGCCTGAGCTCAGGAGTTCAAGACCAGCCTGACCAACATGGTGAAACCCCGTCTCTACTAAAAATACAAAAATTAGCCAGGTGTGGTGCCATGTGCCTGTAGTCCCAGCTACTCGGGAGGCTGAGGCGGGAGAATCGCTTGAACACAGGAGGTGGAGGCTGCAGTGAGCTGAGACTGCACCACAGCACTCCATCCTGGGTAACAGAGCAAGACTCTGTCTCAGAGGGGGAAAAAAAAAGCAAAGAACAGTGAGAAGGACTCAGGTGTCTTTTCCTGGCCCCATGGGCCCTGCAGCCCTTTGGCCAAACCCCTGGTAGGTGAGCAGCTTCCTGGTCTGCTGCTCTGTCCTCCACTCAGCACAGGCTGTGCTCTCAGCATCTTGGCAGCAGACTCCTCAGGGCACCTGCTAGTCAGAGCATCTTTTTGGTCTCGGGTTTGTATTCTGGGGAAGCTATTGGAACATTGGACCCTTTGGGACTTCACTTGCCAAAGCATGAACTGAAAACTCACCTAACAACATGCATCCCTGTGCTGGTGTCTCTGGAACCGCACAAACCTCCCGGGGCTCGGGGCTTGGGGAAGGACTGCTCAGAGCACCTGCTGGCAGAGGGACTCACAGGAGTCCCCGGAGGCCCCAGGACAGTCACTTCCCGGCATTGATTGTAGTGTGTGCTGCCACATTCCGGCTTCCCAGTGCTACCCTCTCTCCCAGGGGAAGGATGTGAGTCGAACCTCATACTGGAGGGGACCCGTCTGCTGCCTCACGGTAGGGCAGGTGGAGAGACAGCAGGAGTCCACCAGTTCCCCAGATTCCTCCCACCCGCGTCACGAACTTCTTTCCTTTTCTTTTTCTTTTTTTTGTTTTTTTTTTGTTTTGTTTTGTTTGTTTGTTTGTTTTGAGATGGTGTCTCACTCTGTCGCCCAGGCTGGAGTGCAGTGGCACAATCTCGGCTCACTGCAACCTCCACCTCCCAGGTTCAAGCGATTCTCCTGCCTCAGCCCCCCACGAGTAGATAGGATTTCAGGTGCGTGCGCCACCATGCCCGGCTAATTTTTGAATTTTTAGTGGAGATGGGTTTTCTCCTTCTTGGCCAGGCTGGTCTCAAACTCCTGACCTCAGGTGATCCACCTGCCTCGGCCTCCCAAAGTGCTGGGATTACAGGCATGAGCCACCGTACCTGGCAGAACTTCTTTCCCTTTCTTAGAAGAAAGGGGAAGATGACACAGTGTCTTCCACCTAAAGACTTTCTCCTCCCCACAGCCATGGTTCTGCGATTTACATTAAGGGCTGTAGCAGGTTGGAGTAAATGGAGCAGGTTTGCAATTAGTTTTCAAAGTACTTATCTCATTAAAGTAAATGAATTATTGATTTAGGGACACTCATGCTTTTAGTGAGTGGCGTGGTGCCATCCTCACTCTGGGCTTCAGCTCCCGGAGCCGGTGGCCGGCACAAGCAAACTTGCTATGTGTAGGGAATTTTTTTTTAATTTTAATATTTCCTTCTCGTTATTTAGCTTTGTAATTAAAGTGGATTCACATGAGAAAGGAAGGGTCGGTTTATGGGAATAGAAGCCCCAGAGACAAGCGTGCCTCCCTGCAGGAAGGAGCAGAGCTAAGAGGGAGTGATGAGGCTCTTGACCTCCACAGCTGATGAAGGTTGAGCAAGGCGGGGGTGCACACCTGGCGGGGCTGGGAGGGTTTACAATGGGCTGGGGCTTCCCTACCATGGACTGCTAGGTCAGCCCCTCCCGTCCGCACCAGGGAAGTTGGTGGTATGGAAGACAGCTCCAGAAATTCCTAGAGGACTATGACCAGGCATTTTCTGGATGGCTGCTTTGGAAGCCCCCGAGGGAGTTGGCTGGGGAGGCAGCTGTGCCCCTCTGTGCTCGGCAGGCAGCGGGTCCAGGATCCCCAGCCCCAAGCAGAAGACAGGAGTCCCAGAAGTGGTGTCGATTCAGTCCCTACACCAGCAACATCCACCGTCCCTGGGATGTACAGGAGGGTCTTCCTATCTGCGGCCCCTCTAGGAAGGGGAATTGCAGCCATGGAGGAGGAGAAGCCCAGGGACGCTGCCCCTGAGCTGCAGGTGCCCCCGGGATGGTGATCAGCTGGACTGGGAGGCCAGGCCCAGTGCTGCTGCTGAGCACCGGCCACCCTGCCCATGCAGTGTTGACTCAGCAGCTTCCCGAGGCTTCCTGGGAGACGCGGTCGCCAGGGGAAGATGGAGTGTCCCATTAAAGGCCGCTGGCTCATGCTAGCCTCGGCTTCTGGCTGCCTCTAATTTCCACCCTTGGACAATTCAAGGGTGGACACAGCCTTGTTCCTAAGCACAGCCTTGTTCCTGAGCACAGATGGGGGGCCAGGGCTCTGGGGTGGAGAATGGTGACAGGGACTATGCCCCTGTGAGGTCACTTCTTTGAAGAGCAGGGCAGATGTTGAAGTGTCCACGTGTCTCTCAACGGTGTCACTGATGTTCAGCCACCGGGCTGAGACCCACCATAGTGAGTCTACGGCACCGTCACCCCAGACTCCCTCTCCAGTGCTCCTCCTCATGCCACACCCCCAGTACACACACACACACACACACACACACACACGCACACATGTGACCACAGGGCCACTCAGCTCCCATTCTCTGTCCTGGAGGCAGCACCAGACTGGCTGGGAGGGGTGTGGCCTGGGTAGGCCCCATAGGAAAAGCCTGGAGAGAGGTCAAGTTTCTGAGGGGTCAAGGAGTTGGCTAAGGAGGGGAGGCCAAGCAGATACAGGCCCTGGGGGCAGGAAGCCAGCAAGGTCCCAAGGACAAGCTGCCTGCCCTCCGCTCTGACCCACAGTTCCTGCCCAGGATAGAGGGCTCAGGGCACATAGTCCTGCCCCAGGCCCTACCTAGAGCAAGAGTCTGGGGTGTTGCCAATCCCAGCATGTCAGCCTGAAGCCCCACGTTGTCCTTAGAGAGTCCAGCCCATGGTGATAGCCAAGTGGCCATAACCTGGGCCATCCAGCACTTCCAGACATTCTGGGACCCCTCTCATGCCCAGCCAAGATAAGGCACCTGTCCACCTGGATACTGTCCAGGTAAGGCACCCACTCAGGCAGGGCGGGTTTTTCACAGCCTGGACTGACACTGCATGGAGGGGCAAGTATACGAATCGCCAAGAGGGCTCAGAAGTGGCCCCTGGTGGCATAAGACCAACCCAAGCAGGTGGGAGATCCCTGGGGCCAGCACTGGTCACCAGCTGAGGGTTCAAGGGCTCAGCTTCCCAAAGCTCCATCTCTAGCCCCAGAACCCTCAGTCAGGGTCACCTACAGGCTTAGCAACTCAAGGGCTTCCCTCCATCTATGTTCAGAGGTCAGTGTGCAAGAGTCCAGCTGGTTGGTCTCAAGGCTGGGCCCTGGTGCCATGTGTCCTGGATTGGGGGGCAGGTTTGGGGGTATGTGGAGCTAGGGCTGAGGGTCTCAGGAGTAAGGTTCCTCACCTGCTGCCACCTGGGGGTTGCGGGGTGGGCAGGGTTCTGAACGAGGCAGGAATAGGACTGGGCAGCAGCTGGCCTCTTCCAGACCTCAGGGGCCCTGCTCCCTGAAGCCAGGACATCTGAGAACCTTCTGGAAAATCACTTTCACTCTCATGAACTGCAAAACTCAGCAAATGACTTCTGTGAGGCTCCTGTGTCCTGGGTGCTAGCGATGCAGTGGTGAACTTGCCTCCCTGCCCAGGACCTGGGCATTGCAGTGACTTCATTTGCACCATGGAGGACTCAGAAGTCCTGCCACCAGCTGGGGAGAAGGCTCCCTCCCATACCCGCCCTCAGAGGCTGCGTGGGGGAAGAGAAAAGTGCTTAGGTTTGGGAACCTGACCTGGACCCAGACATGGGCTCTTCATCCATCTGCTACTGTGTGACCTCAGGCAGGGTGTCCAACCTCTCTGAGCTTCCTCCGTGGTAATCCCATCCCATGGCCACCCCGTGGACCATTGCTGGGAGAATTAAAGATGATGGCATGTGAAAACCCTCTAGGGCACTGCCCAAAACACAGTAGGTGCTCAACAAACAGCAGCTGGGGACCTCCCCTGCTAGGTACACTGCCATGCCCTCATCTGGGGACACCCCTGCCACCCTAACCGCAGACAGACTGGCCAGCCAGGGATTTGAAATTCCAGAGATGTCTCCCCTTTCCCCGGCACCCTCTCCAACCAGCAGCACCTCCTGGAAGCAGCAACTCAGGGCTGTTGCTCACTGGCTCAAATGTGGCTTTAAAAATATATATCTTCCTTTGTGATTTAAAAAAAAAATTTCATTTAATTAAAAATGTTGACATTGTGCCTGGATACCCCGCCAGAGAAAGTGGCTATAAATTAAACATTAGATCTTTAATGGTCCATAAAGAAAGATTCGTTTCTGGTTATGTATATACTGGATATAAATAGATACAGAAGAGGTTTTTTTCATCTGGGCGGGGAGGCAGACTTTTTTTTAACCTCAGCTGGATCATCTTGTTAAGTGAATATAATTAAAAGTTAAATTAATTCGAGTCCTCCCCGGCTTTGTGTCCGGATGTGTGTGTGGTGAAGGGCAGGTATTTGAGGTGGGGGGAAAGATGAGCCCCGTCTGGCTTTGGCAGCTCTTGAGGGAGCACCAGATGCATTGTGCTAGGAGGAGTGGTGGTTACCTCCCTCTGCGGTGTCTGTCGGCCGCCAGGATCTACTTGGGCTGAAAGAAGAAGGGGGACCTGAAACAGCCTTGTCAAGCGTTGCTTGTTCCTTTTTCTTGCCCCTTCCCACACAGCACCACCCCGCAGGGTCAGGGCCAGAGGCTCCATCTGGGAAGCAGAGGCTGCTCAGAGAGGGACTTGACTTTGCTGAGTGTAGACGGCAAAGAAGGCTGCGGGTTTAGGGGGCTGGGGCTTGCCGGGCGGGATAGAGGGGGAAGGGTGGGGTTGGCAGATTTGAGATTTTTCAGCTCCCTGCCCTCCTGTCTCATTGGAGAGGCAGAAAGCCTGGGTCCACGCCTCACTCTCTGTGGACATGAAGACCCAAAAAGGAAGGGAAAGGAGAGGGGCATTGAGAGGGGCAGTTGGCTGGGAGTGGTCAACACAGCCAGAGCGATGTGACGCTGAGAACTTTCCAAGAGGACCGCATTAGGTGCCGCCGTCGCAAACAAACGTAGCGGCTTGAAACGAGCTGGATGGGTGGCCTTGCAGTTCTGGAAGGCAGAAGTCAGGAAGGAGCCTCACTGGTTTACCATCGAGGAACCATCAGAGCTCATTTCCGAGGGAGAGTCCACTGCCTCCCTGTTCCAGCCTCTAGAGGCCCCCGAACTCCTTGGGTCAAACTGACAGTCAATGATGGATTGGAGGATGGGGGAGGAAGAGAGGGAGGGTCAGAGTGGACCCCAGCTGACTTGCTCACTTGGACGGGTGATAGATCCATTCACTGAAATAGGGACCACTGAGCTAGGACCAGGTTTCTGGGAGAAGACCCTGAGCCTCAGCCATGTGGGACAGAGCAGTCTGGGAGACATCAAGGGAAGCAAAAGGTTGGACCCACAGGGAACTCGGCTAGAGTGGGCATTGCTGGCATCAGGGTGCGGGTTGAAGCCAGACCTCTGAAGTTGCCTGGGGAGAAAGTAAAGGGTGGAAGGAGAAGGGGCCCTGCAATGCCCAGTTACCCACTAGGCAAAGGCAGGAGGAAGGGCCAGAGCCATGGGGAGACCAGGAGGGTGTGGGCCAGCCCAGGACAAAGTGTGCTTCCAGAGGCATGAGGCGTGGTCAGCAGACTCATTCCCTGCTGAGAGATGGAGAAAGACAAGGCTGGCTCAGGCCACCTGGTCTCCAGGTGAGTAAGAGGCTGCTGGGTAGAGTGAGAGGGCTCAGTCTTTTCAGGCAGGGAGGGGAAGGATCCAGGAGTGTGAGCTCGGCCACTGGGGAGCTGTAAGACGCTCTCCTCAGCCTGAGGGCAGACCCCTGGTGGGGGAGCCGAGGGAGAAGCAGGTGGGCAGGTGGGTTGGTGCCAGGTGTGGGCATCCTCAGCCCCAGGCCAAGAGGTCTTGAACCTTCCCTGAGCCTGTGGGCAGCTGTGAAGTGTACAATGGGGCGGAACCTGCCATGCAGCCGACTCGTCTGGCCACTGAGTTGAGGCTGGATGTGGGAGCTGTAGGGTTTCTGAGCCAGGATCAAGTTCAGAGGCCGCGCCATGTTCTAGGAAGAGAAGGGGCCTGAGCCATGTGGATTTGTGGGTAGCGGAGGTCACACAGGTACAGAAGGTGTTAAGGAAGAAGAATGCATAGGACCTAGAGGCAACTTGGGTGGGCACTGGAGACAAGGGAGGGGGAAGGGTTGTGCCCAGAGATCTGAGTTTGGGATGCTGGATCAATTCCAATGAGTTTAGGGGTGCTGGATCAATTTCAGTGAGTTTGGGGGTGCTGAATCAACTTTAGTGCCATTGACTATACTGGGAGGGGCAGCGGTAGAGGAGGTTTCGGGAGAGGCCCTCGTCTGTTCTCTGTCCCACACGTTGAGTGACGTTGGCACCAGTAACCAGGTAGTAAGATCTAGGAGGTGCCAGAGATCTGGATTGTAAACCTACATGCAGGAGTTCCTGGTGGTGGGTGGCGGATAGAGCCAGGGCACAGACAGCATCCAGGGTGTGTGGCTAGGACCAGAAGGGGACAAGGGAGAAGGGGAGCTGCTGAGGAGGCTGAGCTCACATCAGAAACAGGGATAGGCCGGGCGCGGCAGCTCACACCTGTAATTCCAGCACTTTGGGAGGCAGAGGCAGGTGGGTCACCTGAGGTTGGGACACCAGCCGGGCCAACATGGTGAAACCCCGTCTCTACTAAAAATACAAAAATTAGCCGGGCTTGGTGGCACGTACATGTAATCCCAGCTACTCAGGAGGCTGAGGTAGGAGAATTGCTTGGGAGAACCCGGGAGGTGGAGGTTGCAGTGAGCCACTGTACTGCAGAGCGAAACTCAGGGAAGAAAGAAAGAAAGAGAGAAAGAGAGAGAGAGAAAGGGAGGGAGGGAGGGAAAGGAAGGGAGGGAGGGAGGGAAAGAAAAAGAAAAGGAAAGAAAGGAAGAAAGAAACGGGGACAGCCAAGCACAGGGGTGGCTGCCGAAGGGAGTCTTGCAGAGGATACTGTCCTGTGGCACCTCAACGCTGCTTTATTTTTATAAATCAGAGGTCCTCAAAGCCTGGGAGGGCATATGAAGCTCAAGCAAGCGTGTTTATCTGTTGAGGCAAATGTTCATTGAGTATCGGCCAAGCAGTGAGGCTGGGTCTCCCTGCATGGTGCTCCTGCCCACGCCGAGTGATCGGCTCATTTAAGCGCCCTCATCAGGAACTCCTCCTACAACAAAAATTATTTTTATTATTCTTTAAAGTCTGACCACGAGCCCCGGGGCCTTGGGAATGTCCATGTAAACACATTCGCAATTTATCGTGTTCCGTCTCAGCAAAGACCTTCTGCATGAACAGAACCCAGGGAAGACAGCAACTATCTATTATTAAACAAACCCAACTGTCGATACAGGCACAATCTGCAAATTAGCTGCTTGTCAATGTGGGTTAGTTGCAGATGGACGTTCACCGGGACATGGGTGTGATAGAAGTCCATGTTCACATTTCACTTCTGAGGCCGTATCCAGTAGGAGACTGAAATTGATCATGTGAGTAAAGATGTATTAATCCCGAAAGGCAATTGCTGAGCAGTAATAGTCTTTCTGACGCGGCTGTGGCAGTGGAAACTCTGAATCCGGTTGAGCCAGCAGCCTCTGAGCTGCACCAAGCGCTAAGGAACTCCTTACCACCAGGGAAGCATTACGGTTTCATCCTTAAAACTGGCTCCCTCTCGCAAGAGCCAAAGCGATGCCAGGGATGCCGGCAGGTGCAGCTAGGATGGTGAGGCTGGTGGGGATCTAAGGATACCTGGAATTTGTTTTAATGGGGTAAAAAAGACACACAGATACAGAAATGACTGGCATGGCAGAAGAAGCCTATCTAGGGACAGATCCCTAGAGACAGGGAACTCGGCATCAGGGACACACAGGGAGGTACCAGGTTTGGTCGGGAGGCAGAGGGAATGGGGGTTCACAGGGGCAGGGGTCTTGACTGTGGTTTCCCTAGGAAGGAACGGGCGAGGCAGGGGAAGTGGTTTTGGGGCTGGCTGGTTTGGATCATTTCAGTGAGCTCTGGGCTATGGGGCTGGATCTGATTGTCTGTACCTGGCTCTGGGGTGATTAGGACAGGTAAACAGTCTCCGGGAGCATGGGACCCCGATAGAGGCAGGGGCTTGGGGTGTGGGATCTGGTTGGCCGGTTTGCAGGTGAAAAAGCACACCCCAAGCCCGTTGTTTGCTGCCTCTCGGAATCTGCTACTTTGGGAGGAGCCGTCTCCCCAGGGCCAGCAAGGCTTCAGATGTCAAAGCATCAGAATACAGGGAATAAAAGACGGTGACTGCAGCAGCATTGGAGCCGAGCGGGCCGAGACACAGGGAACAGAGGGAGGTGGTTATGAGTGGACTCTGACTTTGTTCACAGCTCAGCATCTCACTAGCCAGAATCCGCAGCCCAAGCACAAACGGTGGCTTTGAAGACCTGAGCGCGCTTGGCTTTCGACGCCCCAGCAAGCAGCAGTTCCTGAGCCGAGTCCCTAGCTTCAGGGTGGTTCCAGAGATGGTTTTGCAGGGCTTGGAAGGGTTAGTGGCCTCAGGAGTCCTTTGTCAGCTGCAGGAAGCGAGGTGGCGTTGCCGACCCAGGGGAGGCAGCCTCGCTCTGGGTTCTGGCCCCGCTGGCGGAAGACCGCACCGCATCCCAGCCGATGGAGGCAGGTCCCAGCTCAGAATGGGGGCTTGGCGAGTGGCAGGCGGGGGCCCTCCCACAGAAGAGGCAGTGGATGTGGGCCTCCAGCTGCCCGCTGAGCTGCAGAGCTCTGAGGCCTCCAAGAAGGAGAATCTCTGCGGAGCTGGAGCTTGCTGGTAAGTGAGGCTGGATGCTGAGTGGCTCTGCGTGGCAACACCCAACACTCCCTGCCAGCCTCAGTCCCCAAAGAGAGTGAGTCAACGGGGACCCCCATTGCCTCAGCTCCTTACCTGTGCCTAGGGATACAAGCACCCCCCGATAGGGTTGTGGGGTGAGAATCCTCTGGAGGAGATGTGCAAAGCACTCCGGCCGTCACTGTGGGGGACACCAAGCACAGGCCCACAGTTGCCCATGGGAGCTACTCTTGGTTTTGTTTCAAAAATCGTTACCTCCCAGGGAAACTAGCTTAGGTTGGGGAGTGCAGTTTAACACGTGGAAATGACGTTGCATTCATTCAGGTTTGAGCCTCCTCCCGGGTAGAAGGCATCTTGGTGCAAGTGAATCCCACCAAAGTCTCTAAGACCCCCCACCCTTCCAGGGACAGACACCTGGCTTTTAATCACTTCAAAGCCACCAGCCCTTGACGGGCGCCTGTAGTCCCAGCTACTCGGGAGGCTGAGGCAGGAGAATGGCGTGAACCCGGGAGTGGAGGTTGCAGTGAGCCAAGATTGCGCCACTGCACTCCAGCCCAGGGGACAGAGCAAGACTCCATCTCCAAAAAAAAAACACACACACACAAAACAAAGCCACCAGCCTTTTCATCACTTGGGTCCAAGAGGTGCAGAAGTCTTCTTGGGGTTTGTTCCAAACGTCCCTCCCTCTCCTGTGCCCCGGAGGTAGAGGAGAGCCCCGCCCCTTCGCCCTGTTTGGGTGAAACCCACAGCCCAGGGTCTCCCCACCGGAGCTCACTGCAGCCCTGAGCAGCTCCTGCTGTGACTGCCTCTGGTGGCTCTGTTTCCTCCCATTGTGGGCCAGGCACTGTGCTAAGGGTGGCTCTGTTTCCTCCCATTGTGGGCCAGGCACTGTGCTAAGGGTTGGGCTGCCTTTCATCCCTATACCTAGAGGTGGGTCCTACTGTCACCCCCGCTTTTACAGGGGAGTAAACTGAGGCACTTCGATGTTGAGTAACCCATGGGAGGTTTACCAACCATCCCAGCTTGACTCAGAACATGGATCAACCGCCAGATCTAAGTTCCAAGCACAGCCAGGGTCCTGCCTTGCCTTCTCTTCTCTGGAGCTGGAAGAGTGGAGATGCCCCACCCTGTGATTTTTCCCCAGATGCAAAACTCTGCATTGCTTTTCTCTAATTCTACAAATGCTTATCTAGTTGTTGCCTTAAATTAAAACAACATGGGGGCCAGATGCGGTGGCTCACTCCTGTAATCCTAGCATTTTGGGAGGCCAAGGTGGGCGGATCACTTGAGGTCAAAAGTTCAAGACCAGCCTGGGCAACATGGTGAAACCCTGTCTCTACCCAAAATACAAAAATTACCCAGGCTTGGTGTGCACACCTGTAATCCCAGCTACTCGGGAGGCTGAGACAGGAAAACCATTTGAACCTGGGAGGCAGCGGTTACTGTGAGCCAAGATGGTGCCACTGCACTCCAGCCTGGGTGACAGAGTGAGACTCTGTCTCAAAAAAAAAAAAAAAAAAAATACGATTATGTTCTCTGTGTGTGTCTACCTGTGGCATTACCGAAGCCAGCCAGGGTGGGGAGATGAGCTGGCTGTATCTCCCACCTTTCATCCTAGGCATTTTTAGGACCTCCGGCTGGCTCCCGTGGGCTCCACAGACCAGCCATTCTAGCAGCCAGCCTCCAGCACACTTGGCCTATTAGCTACTTTTATTTTGTAAGTAGGTTGATGGAGACGGATTTCTGAAAATCTTAGAGGAATGAATAGGTTGGTTTCTTAGGGGATTTGCTCAGGAAATGAGATTTTGCCCATCTCCCAAAGGAGAAAGGACATGTCTAAATTGTTGATAATGAAACGCGCTCATCTAAGAAGCCGGCGTTCTCCAGCTGCCTGCGTGCTGAGTGGTGCCGTCTGCCCTGTGTATTAACTCGGCTCCTTTTCCTGTCTCCGCCGTTCTCCCCCCACCCCCATCCCATTGGCACTGCTCACAGCCACACATGGGCAGGACCAAACCCAGCATCCCCTGCAACACTTCTGCTGGGAGGCCGCGTCCTCGGTCCAGCCACATCCCTCTCTGCAGAGAGGTGGTGCCTCTTCAGGTCTCAAAGAGTTTCCATCTCTCCAAGGGATGTCGGATGGGTCTTGAGATCTCACCAGCATAGGAGAGACATCCCGGCTGTGCCTGTGAACATAGGCAGGCTGGCTCTCCACACCCGGGAGCAGGGGGACAGGTGCAGCAGACAGCAGCCAAGTGGGGACTGGACGGCCATCTGGACACCATCATTGCTGAACTCTGTCTCAGCTGAGTGTTGGAGGGAATATGGCGTGCAGCGCCAGCTCCGGAGAGAGCAGCTCAGACAGGGACTCCGCTTCCCTTAGGTTCACAGTAGAAGGAAGAACAGCCCACTCAGCGTAATCAGACACCAGCAAGAGGAGGTGACCAAGAAATCTGGAAGCCCAAAGGTGTCCAAGGCCCACAGTCCACGAGCAGTCGGGGGCGGGACTGTTCCTCTCATGCAGTGCTGTGCCCTGTGCCTGGCTGCAAGGCAGGGAGGGAAGGTGGCTCTCCCGGAGGCACACAGCCCCCTGTGGCATCAGGGAGGACTTGGAGAATGACCTGAGGCAGGGTCGTTTCAGCTTGTGTCCATGTCATTCTATAGATGGTTTTCCATTGCCATAGCCACATAAAATCAGACGGAAGCACGTCAGCAGATAAAAGTCAAGGTCAGACAATGGAAGACAGAGAGGGCAGGAAAATGAGGCAGTGGGGCTTTTTGATACAACCAGTAAGGTTGAGCAACAATTTTTTTTTTTTCTGACATGCTCGTGGCTGAAGCAAAATGGGAAATGGGGCCAATGACGTGATTCTCATTGTCTTAAAAAGTGGATTAAAATCCAAAATGTTCTGCTGGGCGTGGTGGCTCATGTCTGGAATCCCAGCACTTTGGAGGTCAAGGTGAGTGGATAGCCTGAGCTCAGAAGTTCGAGACCAGCCTGGGCAACATGGTGAAACCCCGTCTCTACTAAAATACAAAAATTAGCCAGTCATGGTGGTGTACATCTGTAATCCCAGCTACACGGGAGGCTGAAGCAGAAGAATCGCTTGAACCCAGGAGGTGGAGGTTGCAATGGGCTGAGATCACGCCACTGCACTCCAGCCTGGGCGACAGAGTTAGGTGTCTCAAAAAAAAAAAAAAAAAAATCCAAATGTTCACCTACAGACGAATGGATAAACAAAATGTGGTGTATCCATATAATGGAATATCACTCAGCCTCACAAAGGACTGAGGGGGTGAGCGGTGGGAATGGGTGAACAGTGTGAGGTGCTTCATGCCACTGAACTGTGCACCTAAAGATGGTTAAAATGGTACACTTTATATTATGGGCATTTTACCACAAAAAATTCAAACCAAAAAAGTGGCTTCCAAATAAACATCAAAGGAAAAACCATTTTCCTGGGGTCCTTTGGTCTGAACGGTCTTTCTCGGGGTCCAATTGTGTGAGGCCACCGTGGCATGTGGCCTCTAGGTCCCTCTAGTGTGCCCCATTAGGAGTTCCAAACCAGCCTGGACAACAAGGTGAAACCCAAAAATGAGCCGGGTGTGGTGGCGTACGCCTGTAGACCCAGCTACTTGGGAGGCTGAGGTGGGAGGATCACTTGAGCCTGAGAGGCGGAGTTTGCAGATAGCCAAGATGGCCCTGCACTCCAGCCTGAGCAACAGAGTGAGACTCTGTCTCAAAAAGAAAAGAAAAACAAAAAGAGAAAAGGAAAGGGAGAGGAGGGAAGGGGAGGGGAGGGAGAAAGAAAGAAGGAAGGAGGGAAAGAAAAGAAAAGGGAGGAAGGAAGGGAGGGAGGGAAAGGGAAGGAGAATGAAAGAAGGAAAAGAAAAAAGGAAGGAATGGGAGAAAGAAGAGAGGAAGGAAGGAAAGGAGGGAGGGATGGAGGGAGGGAAGGAAAGGGAAGGGAAAGGAAAGGAAGGAGAATGAAAGAAGGAAGGAAAAGAAGGAAGGAAAGGGATAAAGGAGAGGGGGAAGGAAGGAAGGAAGGAGAATAAAGGAAGGAAGGAAGAAAAGGAAGGAAGGAAGGAAAGGAATGGGAGAAGAAAGAGGAAAGAAAAGGGAAGGGAAGGGAAGGCTCTAGGAGGGGCACCTGTGACAGTGTTTGTGTGGTCAGGAATAACATCATGGAGAAGTCGTGGAAGAGCAATGACCGTGAAGAAAGGGCCACCATGCTCTGGGAACCAGGCCCAGCAAGCCCAGAGTGAGTAGGGTGCAGGCAGGGGGTGAAAACCAGGCCCACTGTGCGCCCGCAGCCCTCGCTGGCACTGCCCTGAAGGTGGGGAGGGTGGGTGGGTTACTCTCCTGTGGCTGCCGTAACAGATGACCACAAACTGGGAGGCTTCATACAACAGAAGTTTATTCTCTTACTGCTCTGGAGATGGAGCCTTGAGGTCTGGAATGCAGGTGTCTCAGGGCCCTGCTGTCTGAAAGTTCTGGGCAGGTTCCTTCCTTGTCCTTTCAAGTCTCCTGGCAGTTTTCAGCGCGCCCTAGCCTGTGGCTACATCACTCCAATCTCCGCCTCCATCCTCACACACCCTCACCCAATGCGTGTCTCTCTGTGTCCTCTCCTCAACTGATGAGGACCCCGGGCATTGGATGTAGGGCCCAGTCTGTTCCACTATGACCTCATCTTCACTAATTACATTTGCAAAGAACCTGTTTCCAAATAAGGTTCCGGATGGACATGGACTCTGGGGACACCATTCTGCCCTGTGCGGTGGTATCTCCTTCATGTGTGGAAGGCCGAGGGTGTCTATGGATTGTTGAGATGACCCAGTGCTGGGCTCTGGCCCCTGAAACTTGCCTGTCTGGAGATGCTCCAGGGCAGAGATGCCACACTGGGCCTCCCACCTGCCCCCTACCTCTGGGACCGCAGGCCATTTCTGCATCCTCAGTGGGGTCTCTGTCTCCTCCACTGCCATCTGCTTGGTGGCATTGCGCCTTCTTGTCTTGGCTCTGCCCTTTGGAAGCTGTGTCAACCTTGGCAAAATTCCTTCTCTGGGCTTCTGTTTCTGAGCCTGGCTGACCCAGGGACAGGTGGAGGATACACTATGGTGTCTGTGGCACAGCTTGGGTGTTGTCAAGGGTGCTCAGGGGTGGGCCAGTGAGTTCAGTTCAGTCCACAGGTGTGCGCTAAGTTCCGCTCATGCAAAGCCAGCACCTTCCCCACACCCTCCCACCTGAGGGCAGCCAGGTGCCTGCAGACCTCATCCCACCAGACAGAACCTCTAATATATCACCCAAGCAATTGACTGTGGTCGACTCCACAGTCCCAAATGACACCCCAGGGCAAAGGCACATGGGCTTTGCAAAGCCCAGCACAGCTGGAAGAGTCAACTGGTCACAGAAGGTTTGGGCTGATGTTGGGCGTTGAGGCTGCACAAGTGCTGGGGTGGGAGGCAGGTTGGAGTTAGACCCGGCAATGAGCAAAAGGAGTACAGTGGGTTTTCTCCTGGGGCCACGTTGGTTTGCCCCCTGCTCACTCTGACACTCCAGGGTTTATCCGGGAGTGCTTGGCCTGAGCAGAATAATCAGCTCTAAGCACAAGGTTGTGGTCAGGTGGGTCTCGCGCAAACTCAGCTGCAACCGCTACCAGCTGTGGCATTTAGGGCAATCTGCTTCACTTCCCCAAGCTTCAGATTTGATGTTTGGAAACTGGAAGTGATCATAGTACCTGCCCCCTAGGGTGGTTGTAAAGCTGAAATGACATCATCAATGGCATAACCCCAGAAAAACACAGTCCCCAGCAGGTAGCCTGGCATACATTCAGCAAGTGCTAGGCATGCATGCTGCTGTCACGGGGCCCACAGCAGTGTCCACGCAGGCAGAGGAGGAGTAAGGCCCCACTGGAGCACAGCTGAAGGCCTAGAGTGCCTAGAAGGACCTTGAAGGTGGGACTCCAGGCAGGTTGCTGTGGAGCCCTGCCCGGGCTTCCTGGGAGAGGAGGCAAAACTGCTCTGAGCACGGCGTATAACCCCTAAGCCCTGCCCTGCTGCCCTGTGGAGGCCCAGTAAGGGGGTGGCCCTTCCCACAGACCTAAGTATGGGCAGTGTGCTCAGAACCCAAAGCCACTCCAGGGACTACTGTGATGGCCAGAACCTGCCAGAACTCCCCGGTCTCCCTAATGGTGACAGTTTATGGCTCAGAGCCATAAGCCAGATTCCCTCCCCTGCCCTCTCCTGCCCTATGCTCCCTTCCCCTTCCCTCCCCTCTCCTCTTCTCTCCCCTCCTTTCCTCTCTAAAGGCAAATTTCTATTCAGAAGAAGGAGGAAAACATCACATTAAATAGATGTGGCTCTCCTGCTCTGATCACCGTCATCACAAGCCAGGTTTAAGCCACCCACAGTTGATTTTTTATAATTTATAAAAAATTTTATAATTTTATAGTGATTTATAAAATTGCACCCTTCACCTCCAGCTCCCCTTAGGGAAAGAGCACAAACAGATCGTTTCATAAAATCTGAAGTAACACAAGAGAGTGGTGCACTGGGAGTTTCTCAAAGCTGCCTCGAGGACCCTCCATACGGCCTGCCCCCCACCCCGGGGCTCCTCAGGTAGCACCCCCTCCACCAGCAGCAGCAGCACGCTGGGAACCAGAGCTCCCAAGGTCTTTCCTGGCACCAGTGCCTCTGCTGCAGGAACTCGTACAATGCCAAATAAATCTACTCTGACCATAAACTAGGTCCAAGCACCGTCACTGCACATTTAGGAAAACATGGAAGGAAAGAAAGCAAAGAATCGAGTGAATACGTGGAAGCTGTGTGTGCTGCACTAAATGTCGGTCACTCCCCAAAATTCCTATATGGAAGCCCTAACTCCCTAAGGGATGATATCTGGAGATGGGACCTTTGGGAGGTGATTAGGGTTAGATGAGGTCATGAGGGAGGGTCCCTTGGGCAATGGGATTAGTGCCCTTACAAGAACAGACACCAGGGAGACTGCTTTCACGCTGTCTCCTTGCCATGTGAAGACACAGTGAGAAGGCGGCTGTCTGCAAGCCAGGACAAGAGCCCTCACCAGCGCCTGACCACACTGCTCCCTAATCACAGACTTCCAGCCTCCAGAACTGGGAGAAATACATTTCTGTTGTTTAAGCCGGCAGTCTATGGTATTATCATGGCAGCCAAAGTGACAAAAACCATCTCCCTGCTTCAGACAGTCAAGCTTCCTCCCGCACAAACAGTTCCACGTGGTCACAGTGGAACCTTCCTCAGCACAGAGTCACCTTCCTCAGCACCTTCCACGTCAACATCAGTTAGTTGTGCTCCCCTGAACCCTGGCACCAGGACAGGCCCCATTTTTCCTTGCCCCTCTTCCCAGCCATCATCTGTGGCTGATTCAGTTGTCCTTGCCAATGGAGTTAAGAAGAGATGTCCCAAAATGATGGAATCTCCACATATCACCTCCCCAGAAGTGCAGGATGGTGTTACGCAGAGGGCTCAAACTTAAAGCGAAACAGGCCGGATGCCATGGTTCACACCTGTAGCCCCAGCACATTGGAAGGCCGAAGTGGGAGGCTCACTTGAGGCCAGGAGTTCAAGACCAACCTGGGCAACATACTGAGACCTCCCATCTCTACTAAAAAAAAAAAAAAAGATTAAATAGATAGACAGATAGATAGCTAGATAGATAACCAGGCATGTTGGTGCTTGCCTGTAGTCTCAGCTACTTGGGAGGCTAAGGTGGGAAGGTGACTTAAACTCAGGAGATGGAGGCTGCAGTGAGCTATGATTGTGCCACTGCACTCCAGCCTGAGCAACAGAGCAAGATCCTGCTCAAAAAAAATTTTTTTTTAATTGAAAAATTTAGGCCAGGCGCAGTGGCTCATGCCTGTAATCCCAGCACTTTGGGAGGCCGAGGTGGGTGGATCACGAGGTCAGGAGATCAAGACTATCCTGGCTAACATGGTGAAACCCCATCTCTACTAAAAATACAAAAAAATTAGCTGGGTGTGGTGGCGGGTGCCTGTAGTCCCAGCTACTTGGAAGGCTGAGGCAGGAGAATGGCGTGAATCTGGGAGGCGGAGCTTGCAGTGAGCTGAGATTGTGCCACTGCACTCCAGCCTGGGTGACAGAGCAAGACTGCATCTCAAAAAAATAAAAAGAACAATTTTAAAAATAAAGTGAAACAGACCAGGAGAAACATCAGAGTATCCTTTCTCTCATCTTGGTATCAAGGGTAGGAATGTGTCCCTAATGGGGCTGACGTGAGGTCAATGATGTATATTCAGTGCCTGACACAGTAGATGCTCAATAAATAAGAGACATGATGGCCACTGCTAAGAAATTGACTTTATCAAAGAGCTGGGGACACATCCATGCAGAAATCCACGTTCCGCTTGCTCTGTGCCTTTCTAGACCTTCCCCATAATCAAGTAACTTGCATCTATCTTGGGAGAGAAGGGATGTATGTGTGACAGCTAAGCTGAAGGGCCACCAATGAGTGGGAGTGGTCTGATTTTGACATGAGCGGTTTTTTTCTGGCCAGTTGTCTTGCATGATCCACTAACGATGAGTTTTACTAA
Source organism: Homo sapiens (assembly GCF_000001405.40). Taxonomy (NCBI): domain Eukaryota; kingdom Metazoa; phylum Chordata; class Mammalia; order Primates; family Hominidae; genus Homo; species Homo sapiens. The sequence continues at coordinate 79,240,247 of NC_000017.11, read as the reverse complement.
GGAACACATGTGCTTTTCATTTCAAGGGCCACACAAGCAAGCCCCAGTTTAATTTCTGAAGAATGAAATGTTTTATGGACAGAAGACAGCTAGGGTTAAAGGCTTTGGGAGGTGGGAGACTTCCGTCATTTGGATGGAGTTCAATAAAGACAGAATCACATGTCCTTGAGGAGAATTGCAGGGAAAAGCCCACAAGGAACTCGTCTTTGGAGGGACTAGTGCGAAGGTGGGAAGTTGAACTGTGAGCCAGGTGGAATCAAGGGGCCTAAAGGAGAGACAGGACAGAAAGGGAGAACATGAGAAAAGGCCTCTCCAGGTGGATAAATGCACATCCGTGGCTGGGATTCCCCAAGAGCAAATATTATTCTCAAAGTGTCCAATCCCATGCTTCAAAACAGGGGTCCAGCTCTGACCTCTGGAGTCAAACCCTTACCTGTTACAATTTCATTCCCTTGTTCATTCATTCAGCAAACATCCACTGCCTCTGGTCCATGGTGGCCCCACACCAGTGTCTGGGGACACCAGGACCTCTAAGATATGGCCTCTGCCCATGGGGGCATCACAGTCTAGTGGGAAAGCAGACCAGGGGCTCCACATTGGGCACTCACCCCAACCACAGCCCTCCCTGCTCCCCCAGGAAGAGTGTGGAGTTGTGCAGTGCCCCGCCGTCTCCTGGGGGCAGTGGGCAGTGTGGAGTGGACTCTGGGAGTGTGGAGACAATTTGAGCCTGGCAGGCGGGTCTTGCTCTGTCTGGGCTTTGCTGAAGGGTGTGACTGCATGTGCACTTGGGGAAGTCGGCACCACTGTGCTGATCCCTGTGTTCCTCCATGAACCTGATTCATGGAGGCAAAAATTACCATAATTGATTATCCCGCTGAGTGGCTGAGAGCAGTGTTTGCTAACAGTGAGGCTGAGAATCAGCTCCGTGTTTCATGACCCTGGGAGCACGCCCGTGGGATGTCATCCAAAAGGCCCATGGAATGGGAATGAACCTGGGGGGCCTCTCTCCTTCCCCCGCCCCCAGGATTGGGTAGGTGGGGCAAGGACCAGAGACATAGAAAATGCTGGGAGTGCAGAAGAGGAGGGGGAGCCGACATCTCAGAAACACGAAGCGAGGCACCATCCCAGGGATGGGCAACCAGGCCACCACTGGAGTTGGTTGCTCCCAAATTGTGGGCTGCTCTGCACAGAGACCACCTTCCTTTCCATGCACAAGAGCCTCCGGGGAGGTGCAGGGAATTTCGTGACCCTGGAGGTTCTGTGAAACGATGGAGGACGAAGCTGGGCTCGGGGAGCTCCTGGCCCGAAGAACCAGGAAAACAGATTGGACCCTGTGGTTGAGGCATCAGGCTCGACCGGCTCTTTGACCATCCCTCTAGTTCTGGAGCTTTCAAAAATGGGGACTCTTTGGTGATTGAAATGTGGCTCAGCCCCTGGGCCTCCAGATGCCACTGCAACCCCGGGTTCACACAGTGCAGGTAGGACATATTTCACCTTGACTAAATAAAGACACTCGTACGTGTGTGACACATTTAAGAGAACTCAAGAAATGCCAGCAATCTCTCAGGAGAGAAGGGTTGGCAGAGGCAGAGAAGCTGGGTTGGATGGGGTGGGGTGAACAGGCTACTCTGCCAGCTCCCATCTGGGCTGATGTGGCCTAAAGACTGGGAATTCCAGAGCCGAAAGGAGTTACTGTGCTGGGAGGACTTCTAAGGGCTTGGGCATAGAGCCTGGGCCAGTAGAGGAGAAGGGACAGGGGACACGGAGGTGTTCGGGAAGAGAGGTGAAGCCCTGAATCTTTGGCTTAGTCCTGCTTCACCTTCTCAGCCCATGGGCCCGAGCCTGCCTCCAGCAGAGCCACAGACGTACCCTTCCAAGGCTCTGGACCTGGCTTCAGATCCAAATGCCTGGCTGTGTGTTTGTTCAGTGGGGCTGGATTCAATTGAATCAAATTGTATTGAATTGGAAGAAGAACTCACTTCAAGAAAAGAAATCACCAATAAGAAAATCCAGCTGGGTGTGGTGGCTCACACCTGTAATCCCAGCACTCTGGGAGGCCGAGGCAGGTGGATCACCTGAGGTCAGGTGTTCAAGACCAGCCTGACCAACATGGTGAAACCCCATCTCTACCAAAAATACAAAAATTAGCCAGGTGTGGTGGCACATGCCTGTAATCCCAGCTACTTCGGAGGCTGAGGCAGGAGAATCGCTTGAACCTGAGAGGCAGAGGTTGCAGGGAGCTGAGATTGCACCATTGCACTCCAGCCTGGGCAACAGAGCGAGAGTCTGTCTCAAAAATAGAAAAAAATCCCCCAAATTAACGAAGGCAGCAGTTGATGCAAGCCGCTCAGATGACACATTTCCTTTCGAAGTGACTCTCACTGGCAGTGCCTTCCAATCACACCTGCCCTTCTCAGCGTCATTTTGTGAGCTGTGTGTGGAGATGGCTCCACGGGCCAGAAGTTACCTTTGCCATTTTACTGGGGAGGAGAACAGGGGCTCCACAGGGCCACCTTGGAAATGGCCAGCCCAGTGCCCAGTTCAAGTTCAGCTGCTCCTTGGCCCATAGCCCTCCCTGATGCGGCTGGGAGGGGCCCGCCTATGAAGTACCCAATACTGCCACTGTGATCTGCACAAACTCCAGCAGGGAAGGCAGGCCCTGTGCATTTTGGTGTTCTGTGGCCACGTTCATTCTCGCCTCCCACAGGGCGGGGTACTTCTTTCCACCTGTGGGTGAGACAGGCAGATGGGGTAACCTGCTCTGGGGGACGGGCCAGCTGACTCAGTTACTGTGGCCACAGTCGCTTCACCAGCTGGGGCCTTGGTTTCTTTATCTGAAGAATGGGAAGAGTAAGAAGTGTACCTGCCTGCTAGAGCTGTTGGGAGGGCTGAATGAAGCAATGTACAGGCGGTGCCTGGCTCATAAACCATGCAAACTAAACGACCGCAGTAACCTTTTTACAGTGATGTGGATGAAGACGGTGGTGGTGATTTTTCTAGATCTGAAGAAAGAGGCCCAGTCTGACCGTCTTTCAATTCCAGAAGCTTTTCACTTGCTTTTATTTTTTGCACTAAGTTTTAAAAAATACGCACACATACACATATGCACAGGAGGCTGGGGGCAGGGAGTGGCATCTTAACAGGTATGGATATTCTTTTTGGAGCAACGAAAAGGTTCAGGCATCAGAGAGCAGCAGTGATTGACAGCAGTGTGAATGCACTCAATACCACTGAATTGTACATTTGAAAATGGTTAAAATTGTAAATTGTATATTATGTATATTTTACCACAATTAAAAAATGTGCAAGTCATGTACACAGAAAATTATGAAACATTACTAAAATAAAGGAAGGAAATCTAAGTTTGTTTAAAGCACACTATACACACACCCCTTTGTTTCTGAACTCCTCAATGACCTACTAAGAAAAGGAAGGTCTCCAGGCACTCGTGTGGAGTCCCAGGCCCCAGTGAGCTAGCTTTGTGACTTAGGCAGGAGTGGATACCCTGGCCCCGGGCCCTGGATTATAAAGTGAGTGAGTGGTGGTCCTTGCCAGTCTGTCCGTATCACTGAGCTGTTCCTGCTGCTGGTAGGTGCACCTGATTCACAATAACATACAACGATTGCCTCTATAATTATGTGTTTGGTGGGATTTAGAATTTGTTAAATAACTTTTCTTTAATAACATAAAATGAATGTGCAGGGCAAGGTGGGTGGATTGCCCGAGCTCAGGAGGTTGAGACCACCCTGGGCAACATGGCGAGACCCCCGTCTCTACTAAAAATACAAAAAATTAGCTGGGCGGGGTGGCACACACCTGTACTCCCAGCTACTAGGGCGGCTGAGGCACAAGAATCGCTCGAACCCAGGAGGCGGAGGTTGCAGTGAGCCAAGATCGCACCATTGCATTCCAGACAGAGCGAGACTCCATCTCCAAAAACAAATAAATAAATAAAATGAATGTGCATGCCATGACCACACTCAAAGTGACCCCCGCCCTACACCTGGAGGAGGAAGCAAATCCCCACGGCATGGCAGAGGAAACCCAGTGTGAAACTAAACGTCACCATCAACAAGCCACAAGGCCTGCGTTTGTGGACAACCTCAAACCAGGCTGGGGAGTGCTTGGAGTTTGAGGTGGGGGAAAAAAAGGAACATCCAGAGTCGCAGAGAAAATGAGTCTGAAACCTCTGGGTGGCCGGTCCACCGTGCCCTGTTTTGCTTTATCTCTGCCTGTTATCTAACCGCCGCCTCCCAGCCATGCTTGAGATGCAGACGGCAGCCAGAGGTTAACCCAGGCAGGTTTCCTTGGACTCCCAGGGAGATGATGCTTCCACCTCCAGACTTCCCTAGTCGATGAGCAAATAGCATCGCCAGCAACCAGATGCATGATGACAACATTGATTGTGATTCTCTCTCCTTTCTCTCTTTTTCTTTTCTTAGAGAGCCCAGAGTGCCTCGGGGAAAATTGGCTGAATAAAAGGTATAAAGACTTTCTCTATTTTTCCTGAATAGTTTTTGACAGATATGAGCATGTTGAACATCTTGGGAGCTGCTGATAATGAAAGCCAGGAGTTTCTGGGGTTTCCCAGCCACTGGAGGGAGGAAGAGTTTGGGGGCTGTGGAGGGAAGGCTTGGCGCCGTTTAGCACCTCTGTGTCGTGTTCTCTCTTGTCCCCCATGGATGAGCCCAAAATGTGCTGGGAAAGGCAGGACTGGGAGCCGGAGGGGCTGAAAGGGAAATGGATAAATGGGGTAAGGATGGAGGACGATTGTTTTTAGGCAATTCTGGCTGGCCTGAGAAGCAATGTCACTGCCTTCCTGATCCTTTCCCTCCCCCAACCCCAAGGTCCCCCACCCCAGGTGCTCCGCGCATGGCCACCCATTCCTCAGGCAGCCCCAGCTTGCTGGTCCAGGGTGGTCCAACTCATCTCCATGGCCTGGTCTCCTCGGGGAAGGGGCTTCGGATACCAGCTCAGTTCCCAGTGTTGACCCTCGCTGGGGGACTGGCTACTACTGCCTGAGCCCATTGGTCCATTGCTCTGTACCTCCAACCCCCATTACCCACCTGTGGCTGACCCCCTCCACAGATTCACTTGCAGAGTTTACTTTGGGGAGATTATTATACAAGTATGATGCTTCTGGACCTTCAATGGGGTTGTGTCCTGATAAACCCATCATAAGGTGAAAATATTGTAAGTCAAAAATAAATTTAATGGACCGGGCTTGGTGGCTCATGCTTGTAATCTCAACATTTTGGGAGGCCAAGGTGGGCAGATCACCTGAGGTCAGGAGTTCAAGACCAGCCTGGCCAACATGGCGAAACCCTATCTCTACTAAAAAATACAAAAATTAGCCGGGCATGGTGGCGGGTGCCTGTAGTCCCAGCTACTGGTAGGCCGAGGCAGGAGAATCACTTGAACCCGGGAGGCGGAGGTTGCATGAGCTGAGATCACACCACTGCACTCCAGCCTGGTCAACAGAGCAAGACTCCATCTCAAAAAAAAAAAAAAAAAAAAAAAAAAAAAGCACTTAATGCCCCCAATAAACCCAACAAACATAAAGTTGAAAAATTCAAAGTCAATCGTAAGTCAAACCTTCGTAAGTTGGAGATCATCTGTAATGTATATTTAGTGTGAACAAAATTAGAAAATGCAGCCATCGGCCCTCAGGTGGCCTCTCTTCGCTAGGTCCTGGGTTTTGGGTGGTGTGTGCACAAGGCCAGCGCTGCGTTTTTCAAAAATCAGGACCGGAAACTAGATCCGTCAGCGTATGAAGTCTTCTTCAGCCAAAACTAGAAAAGTTGGGCACTCTTTTTTGTACCGCGTTTGCCCTAAGCCCGCCCTTGGCTCAGAAGTGGGCACTGACCAGATGGCCTGGAGCTAGACCTGACATTAGAACTAGACCTGGGCTAGACCTGAGCCGGGTGCTTCCGTCCTAGAAGCAGGTCACCTCGGAGCCACTCAGGGCTGCGGGCAGAGGCAGCTCGGGCTCTGCTGCCGGCTCTCCGGCTTTCTAGCAGGAAGAGGACAAAGAGACAGAGCCCAGGGGGTCCCCTTCACATGGCCTCAGGCTTCCCACAGTGGGCCGTGTGTAACAGGGTCCCCCGTACCGAGTGGCTGCCTGTGTGTGTCAGGGTTAGATGCAGTTTTCCGTGGGAGTAGACAGGAAGGCCGCCGGGTGTTGGCCTCACAGGCGCCCGCAAGTGTTCACCACGAGGAGGGCAGCAGCCGTCACAGCCGCCTCCTGAGATGCCACCGCTGTAAACTGAATCTATTTTACAGGGAAGCATCGGAAGGAGCCCCCAGGTGAGTCACTTGTAGAATAAAGAATTCATTTGCCGGGCCGGGCGCGGTGGCTCACGCCTGTAATCCCAGCACTTTGGGAGGCCAAGGCGGGCGTATCACCTGAGGTCAGGAGTTCAAGACCAGCCTGGCCAATGTAGTGAAACCCCGTCTCTACTAAAAATACAAAAATTAGCCGGGCATGGTGACAGGCACCTATAATCCCAGCTACATGGGAGGCTGAGGCACGAGAATCACTTGAACCCGGGAGGCAGAGGTTGCAGTGAGCCGAGATTGCACCACTTACTCCAGCCTGGGCAACAGAGCAAAACTCCGTCTAAAAAAAAAAAAAGGAATCCATTTGCACTCTATGTAAGAATGCAGTCATTTGCCTGGTCCCGTAAACTTGGATTTTTGCACGTTGGTTTTTTAAATAGTTTTATTGAAGTACATTGGGGGTATGATAAACATCACAGAGAGTATGCAATTTGATAAGCTTTGATATATATGTATACCCATGACACCATCACCACAATCAAGATAATGGATGTATTCATCACCCCCAACCATTACATTGTGCCTCTTTGTAATCTCTTCCTCACACCCCACCCAATCCCCTCTTCCAAGGCAAGCACTGACTCTGCTTCTTGTCGCTGTAGAATATGTATATTTTCTGGAGTTTTATATAAATAGAATCGTAGCATCTGTGGTCATTTTTTGCTTGGCTTCTTTCACTCCTCATAGTTATTCAGAGGTTCCTCTGTGATGTTGGACATAGATATACTTTTCTCCTTGTTCTGGCCAAGTAGTATTCCACGCTGGGATTGAGCTACAAAGCGCTGACTCATTCATTCCTTGAAGGACATTTGGGCTGTTTCCAGTCTGGGGCTGTTACAAATAAAGCTGCTGTGAATATGTGTGTGCAAGTCTGTGCATGGACATATTCTTTGTTTTCTCTTGGGTGAAATGGCTGGATCTCAAGGTAAGTATATTTTAACGCCCTAAATAAGTGCCAAACGGTTTTCCAAAGTGGTTGCACGACTTTACATTCCCACCAGTCGTGGGTGAGAATTGCAGTTCTTCAGCCTCCGCAACCCTTGGTGTTGTCAGTCTTCATAACTTTAGCCATTTGACTAGGTATGTAGCGGTAGCTCACTGGGGTTTTAATCTATATTTCCCTAGTGACTAATGATGTTGAGAATCTATTCGTATGGTTATTTGGCATTTATTATGTCTTCTTTGCTAAAAAGTAAAGAGATTTTTTTTCGCCTATGCTTTCTTCTAGATCTTCTATAGTTTCAGGTTTTACATTTAGTTCCACGATTTATCTCAAATTAGCTTTTGTGCATGGGGCAAGCTATAGATTGAGGTTTATTTTTCTCCATATGGATGTCCAATGATTTCATTATTACTTATTAAAAAGATCATCCTTTCCCCCATTGAATTGTCCCTGCAGTCTTATCAAAAATCAGTTGTCATGTGTATGTGAGTCTATGTCTGGGTTTGATATTCTGTTTCTTGGATCTGTTGGCCTGTCTTGATGCCAGTCCTACCACAGCTATTACAGTGATTGTTATGGCTTCCTAGTAAGTCTTGAAACCAGGTAATCTTCCTGTTCTTTGTCCTTCTTTTTCAAAGTTATATTGGCTCTTCTAGGCCCCTTACATTTCTATATGAATTTTAGAATTAGTGTGTAAATTTCTAAGAAAAAAAAATGCCTGCTGGGATTTTGATCGGGATTGAATTGAATCTATAAGTCAGTTTGAGGGATTGATATGCCCATCTCACCTCGAATTGTAATCCCCATGTGTCAAAGGCAGGGCCAGGTGGAGGTAATTGGACCATGGGGGTGGTTTCCTCCATGCTGTTCTCGTGATAATGGGTGAGTCTCACGAGATCTGATGGTTTTGTAAGCGTCTGGTATTTCCCTGCTTGCGCTCATTCTGTCTCCTGCCGCCCTGTGAAGAGGTGTCTTCCGCCCTGATTGTAAGTTTCTTGAGGCCTCCCCGGCCATGTGGAACTGTGAGTCAACTAAACCTCTTTCCTTTATAAATTACTCAGTCTTGGGTATTTCTTCATAGCAGCATGAGAATGGACTAATACAGCGATCAGTGACATCTTAACAATACTGGGCCTTCTGACTCATAAACAAGGTATTTCTCTCCATTTATTTAGAATTTCTTTAATTTCATCAATGGTTTATGGTTTTCTGTGTATGGATATTGAACATCTTTTCTTAGATTTATGCCAATGTCATTCATATTTTAATGCTTCTTAAAATGGTATTTTTCTTTCAATTTCTGATTGATTGTTGCTAGCGTATAGAAATAAAATAGATTTTTTGTACATTGATTTTGTGTCCTGCAGCCTTGCTAAATCTATTTACTAGTTCTAGTAGATTTTGTGTCAATTCCGTCAGATTTTCTATATAAATGATTATGTTAACAAAGGCAGTTTTCTTCTACAATAAATACAGCCCTGATATGCCCAGGGCTGTATTTATCCTAGGTGTGATTGTTCTTGCTACTAAGGCAGGGCTCTGCATGCTCTACCCAGTGCCCCATGAACAGTAAAAAGTTCCTGTTCCAATCTGACTAGTGAGGACTGAGCTACTCTGGCCCTGTGAGGGTGCCCAGTGCTGTGTCCTTCATCCCTCCAGGGGGTTCTCGCCTCAACCTTGGGTGGTTTTCTCCAAAGCTTGTGCTGATCAGTACTCAGCTGAGTACTCAGTGGGACCCTCTTAGTATCTGTAGAGCTCTTTCTCTGTCCAGCTGTCTTCTCCCCATTGCTCTGTCTTATAACTCCAGCCACCTTGGCTCCCCACCTCTCAGCTCTGTCTCCTCAACTCAGGGAGTACACCAGGCTTGACCTGGGGTCACTGCACCATGGCCTGAAAACTTCCTCAAGACAGTCAGCTGGGACGACTGTGCAGCTCCTCTATGACCAGCACTGGGGGATCACTGCCCTTCACTGTATCTCGTCCAGTGTCTTGAAAACTAGTCTTCAGCTTGTTGTTATTGTTCTCGGAGGCAGGCACATCAGTCCCCATTTCTCCATCTTGACCAGAAGCAGAACTGTTTTCTTCTTTACACCGGATCTGTCTCTGCAGTAACTGCCCGGCTGCTGGAACAAACCCAGGCACATACACAGGCTGGGCCTGGCCCTTGTCCCCAGTCCCCTGCAGGGTGGAAGGAGACGAGCTACAGGGCTGTCAGAAGCACTCGTGAGCCTGGGACACACAGTCCTAGTGTAGAGACAGGCACCTTTGCTTCCCATGCCTTGAGAACAGCCTCCTCTCCTCAATGATGAGGGCTCTGCAGGAGCCGGAACTTAGCTCTGGAAAGGCTTAGCAAGACTGCTTCACAGCGTTTCTTCTCAGGAACATTTTGATTGTAAAGAATAAGGAGAGCCGGGTGCCGTGGCTCACCCCTGTAATCCCAGCACTTTGGGAGGCCGAGGCGGGCGGATCACGAGGTCAGCAGATCGAGACCAGCCTGGCCAACATGGTGAAACCCCATCTCTACTAAAAATACAAAAAATTAGCCGGGTATGGTGGCGGGTGACTGTAGTCCCAGCTACTCTGGAGGCTGAAGCAGGAGAATCGCTTGAACCCAGGAGGCAGAGGTAGCAGTGAGCCAAGATCGTACCACTGCACTCCAGCCTGGGTGACAAAGCAAGACTCCATCTCAAAAAAATAAATAAATAAATATGGAGAGAAAGTGAGAGAAAAACAATGCCTCCAAGCCTCTCAAAGACTGGGTGGTGAGGAACATGAGAAAACTGGGGAGAAGGGAACCTAGAGGCCGACGGCAACCCAACCAGCCTCATCATCACTGCGTGTCACTGTGCCTCTGGGCGGCACCCCCCTTGCCCCCAGTGAGAATAGCTGAGGAGGACCCATGAGAAGCTGAGCCTGTTTGGTCTTCCAAATCATGGTCCCTGCACCTGCCTCAGCTGAGTCGGACATACCCAATCCTTTATCTGGGCACAGCATCTCCAGCTGATTAGGAGCTTGGACACAGGTCATCACAAGTGAAACCTGCCGTCCCATGTCATCCGTACAACAGGCCTGTTCAAAAGGCAGGAATGGTGTCCCTATTCTACAGATGAGGAAACTGAGGCTTAGGATGGGTCGATTATTCACCCAGGCCCACGTTGGAAGTGGCCAAGGCAAGACCACAGTCCTGGTTGTTCAGGCTACTTTTCACACTGAGAATTTCCCTGGAGAAGTCAAGCCTCCCTGTAGGAGACTGTGGATTTCACGGGTTTGGATTTCTGAGCCCATTCCCATCCCCACCTCCTCATGCCACCCCAAAGGAGCTCTCTGACCAGTGGGAGATGCAGAGGACTCCACCCTTCCTGGCCCACTTGAGCTCTCCTGTCTTTTTTTTTTTTTTTTTTTTTTTTGAGATGGAGTCTTGCTCTGTCACCCAGGTTGGAGTGTAGTGGCACCATCTCAGCTCACTGTAACCTCTGCCTCCCAGGTTCAAGCAATTATCCTGCTTCAGCCTCTTGAGTAGCTGGGATTGCAGATGTGCACCACCACACTTGGCTAATTTTTTTGTATTTTTAGTAGAGATGGTGTTTCACCATGTTGGTCAGGCTGGTGTCAAACTCCTGACCTCAAGTGATCTGCCCTCCTCGGCCTCCCAAAGTGCTGGGATTACAGATGTGAGCCACCACGCCCAGCCCTGTCCCTTTTTTTTTTTTTTTTTTTTTTTTTTTTTTTTTTTTTGACAGAGTCTCATTCACACTGTCACCCAGGCTGGAGTGCGATGGCACAGTCTCGGCTCACTGCAACCTCTGCCTACCGTGCTCAAGCCATTCTCCTGCCTCAGCCTCCCAAGTAGCTGGGATTACAGGCGTATGCCACCACGCCTGGCTACTTTTTTTGTATTTTTAGTAGAGATGGGATTTCACCATATTGGCCAGCTGGTCTTGAACTCCTGACCTCAAGTGATCCGCCCATCTCGGCCTCCCAAAGTGCTGGGATTACAGGCATGAGCCACTGCGCCCGGCCCTCTCCTGTCCTTTGAGAGAACATTTCCAATATCAGAGTTGCCAGCTGCCTAGCTTCATGGAACTGCAAGGCTCCTGCCTCACCAGAGTGTTTTGTAATGAGTCAGGTGGCAGGAGCGCTTGGTATGCGCACACGTGTTTGGACTAGCGCATCAGTTAGGCTACTGTGATGGGGGAAATAAAGAGCAATGCCCCAGAATGTTGACCACAAAGGGTTAACCCAAACTCACGGCTATTTCTGACTCTGAGAAGGCCAAAGCTGCTTTGCTCCACGTCAGGGATGCAGCCTGGGCACTGCTTGTTGGCAAATCAGCTCCCAAACGCTCAAGTTCTGCATCACGGAACCTGAAGAGGGTCCCTGGTGCCTCCCTTGGCTTTCTGGATGTATCCAGTTGGGTGGTTTTGTGCTACCCATGAAAGAAGCAGGACATTAAACATTTGAGATGGGATCGGAGGACAATGGAAAGAAATCTGTGAGTGTGTGTGTGTTTGTGTGGAAGTATGAAAACCCCAAGTCTGTGTTTTCCCCAGAGTATTAATTACAGCTGGAGAGGAGGCTTGTCCGGGCGTGTTCCGCTTGGGCAGAGTAATTTCTCCCTGGTTTTCAGGGAGCGGGAGGCGTCACGGTGCAGAGAGCAGGACACACACCTCTCTCTCAGGCTTCATGGCCACCCCGCCCGCTCCGGAGCGGACAGCTTTGCCAAGGCACAGGCCGGAGGGAACACGGAGAGCCCACGGATAGCGCCAGGGAGGAGAGGCGAGATAGTGAGGTCTTGACACAATCCCACTTAAGACAGAACAGGTGACGAGAGAGACCTGTAAGCAGCTTAGAAGGAGGAGCAGGCCAGGCTCCGTCCTACGGAGGAAGGGCAGGGAAGACATGCGTCCCTGGCCAGCCTGGCTGCCCACACCTGGGTCCTTCTGACCCTGCAGGCCTTACATTGACGCTGACCGCAGGGCCCCTTGTCTCTCCAGAGGATTCGTAGGGGGAGGTCCACAAAGAAGGTGGGTTTTATCGCTGTTGGTGGCTAAAAAGCTGCAGTACCTATCTGCTCCCCACTAAGCAAAGTGGAGGTCCATGCAATGTGATGGCTACAATTCAGGACCTCGCTGGCCTTGGCATTACCAGCTCAGAAGGAAAAACCAACACAGAGGCCCCGAGCCTACCTTCCCCTGCCCCTGGATTTCTCCCACCCTCACCTGGACACTGAGGCCACCTGCCTGCATCCCTCAGGCTGGTCAGGGTCTTCCTGGGCACTTTGCTTTTTGCCTCTTGGCCATCACATGTGCTCCAGTTATAAGCCATGGAAGAGTGAGTAACCGCCGCCAGTCAGCCTCCCCACGCCGCCATCCCCCAGCCAGCCGGGAATGAGCGGGGCCCTGTGCTGAATCCTTCTCTATGGCAGAGTCCCCCACTGGCATCAGAGACCTGCTCATCTCCTGTGCAGTGAGCACAAATGACATGCTTGAGATGCAACAAGGAGCCAAACAAAGCCCCTGCCCTGGACGAGCTGATGCTCAAACAATACTCACCCCCTCTTAGGGGTGGGCTGGATTTCTGACATCCATGGGGACACCTCCATCTGGTCCATGGGATCAAAGGACACCAGCCCAGGAGGAAAAGGGGAAACCACTCCGAAACTGAGGCCCAACCTGCCTCTGTGGATGTTCTCTGGCTCGCTGCTTCGCTGGACCTCTCAGGACTTACTTTGTCCCTCCTCTGCTGGAATTCGCCTCTGGGGACTCAACACACAAAACTGGTGGTCTCGGCCAAAACCAGCAAGAAGTCTCCATGGCTCCTTTGCTGAGTGTCCAGCCTGCCAACTGGCTGGCGCTTGCAGATAAGTTAGAGGGAGAGGGAAGGAGGGAGGGAAGAGACACGGGAGTGAGAAAGGGGAGCAAGGCGGGGTTGGAGGCACCGCAGCCTTCTGCTGCTTCTGCAGATGCTCCGCGCAGGCCAGAGTGAGAGGTCCCTGCCCAGAATGCTTAGTGGGTTCCCCCAGGCCTGGCAGGTCCCAGAGCCTCCCGAGCAACTTGTCAGAGCTGGAGTCTGTCCTTATCCAGTCTCACGCTGGTGTAGAAATTTGCCAGCCTCACGCTCCCTCTTTCCTAACTCACATACCTGCAAATGCCCATGTCCCTTGATTAATGTGATATTTTTTATCCAATACCTGTGTGCCAGACCCTCCACCTTGGTGACTGCTAAACCCCCATAGTCACCCCAGGAAGGTAGATGTTGCCATCCCCACTCTACCAAAAAGGGAACAGAGGCTCAGAAAGGTTAAGTAATCTGCTCAAAGCTGCCCAGCAGGACAGTGGCTGGTCTGGAATTTGAGCTCAGGTCTGAGTTTTGCCACATCCCAGGCTCCTCCTGCTCCACAGGGTGATGCCCAGGACACACTGGGTGCAGTCACAGACCCCATGCGTTCTCTTGACCACGGTGGGAAGCATAGCAGGCAGGTGACTGCTCATCAGGCCAGGAAGCCATCCCCACCTCCCCGTGAATACCAACCATTACAAAATCCTCAGGCTGAGCAAAGATGGTCATGAGGTCCATCTTTAGACACCTGGCCCACTTCCTATCCAGGGAATGTGCTGTTGGGGTGACGCTAATACGGTTAAAGCCCAAGTTGGGCTGCACTCCTCCTCTGCTCCAAATCCTCCTGTGACTCCCACTTCTCTTGGAGAAAGGCCAAAGTCCTCACAATACCCTCCCATATAGGACCTCCTATGATCTGACCACTTCTCCCACTGCTGCCTGCCCACTCTCATTACTCCAGCCCATGGGCCACCTTGCTGGTTCCCCAAATAGCTAGACATATCCCATGATGTGGAATGCCCTTTGCCAGGGATATTCTTTTTGCTGGAATATTCTCCCCAGAAAGCCTCAGAGCCCCCTCTTTGGGCCTATCCAGATGGGCCTGAACATCACCTCATCAATTACACTTACTCTGACCACCTGGCTGAACACTGCAGCCCCCTCCTCTGCCCTCCCACACCCCCATCCTGCTTCCCCCACCACTGTCGCCCTTTGACATGCAAGACAATTTTCTAAATTATGTTTGTTGACTCTCCTCCCCAGTACGGGGTAAAGCCCAGGAGTGCAGGAAGGTTAACCTGTTTGGTTCAAAGCTGGGTCCCTGGTGTGGAATGGGCCCAGCCTGCAGTTGGCACCTCACACACATTTGTGGACTTGCTGCTGAGGCAGAAGGGACCCAGTACCCCCTCCGGCTCTGCCCAGCAGCCCCCTACCCAGCTGGGGTCTGTGGGTCCTCGAGGCATGGACACACGCTCCCCTTGGCTGTGAGGAGTTCCAGAGTCAATCCAGCAGCTGAGCACTTACAGAATTGATCCGGGGGCTGGGCACATGGCTCATGCCTTTAATCCCAGCACTTTGGGAGGCTGAGGTGGGCACATCACTTGAGGTCAGGAGTTTGAGACCAGCCTGGGCAACATGGTGAAATCCCGTCTCTACTAAAAATACTAAAATTAGCCAGGTGTGTTGGTGCATGCTTGTAATCCCAGCTATGCGGGAGGCTGAGACATGAGAATCGCTTGAACCCGGGAGGTGGAGGTTGCGGTGAGTCCAAATGGTGCCACTGCATTCCAGCCTGAGCAACAGAGTGAGACCCTGTCTAAAAAAAAAAAAAAAAAAGAATGGAGGGAGGGGACAGCAGTGCTGGGGAGGGGACTGGCCAGCGAGAGATGCCCAGGGAGGAAGCTTGAGATTGGGAGACAGCCGAACTTTCCAAAGAGGGAGAGAGGTTGACTGTGCAAGCCATGTGGGCTGTGTACGTGCTGGTCACCTTTCACTGAAGACTGGATGGTGGAAAGGCAGGGGCATGTTTTGCATAGGTGACGTGTGTGAATGGTCAAAGGGCACTGACTCCTGGGGTGTCTCTAATGGTGCGCCACAAGGCTGGGCTCTCAACCCTATGCTAGTCATGCCTTTCACCAGCAGTTTATGTAAACATTTAGTAGGCATGATGATCAAATTCTTATTCTTCTAAAGATGAGAGGAATAACTAATAGTTTTCCTGGTTAGCTGGCTAGCACCAGGGGTGAAATTCACTAAATGTAACAAGACTAAATGTAAAATCTTGCTCTGAGTTCCAAAAACACCAGTTGGATGAGTACAAGAGAAAGAAGACTCAGGGGCTGTCACTGATCACAAATTCAGTACAATTAGAGTGACCAGATGACACATCCTCCAAACTGCAGCCCTGTTAATAATTACAGTGTAAACCAATTGTGTCCCCAGGAAGCTGGAGGGACGATGACTCCAAAGCTAAGTGGCTGCCCTCCAAGCTGACTCTGTTTAGATGGCATGGGTAAGGTCCACTCTGGATCACCTCAGGGGATCCCTGGGCCGCAGGGCCACCTGGAATGTTAGTTTCACCCTGGAGTTCCCAGCTATGGGCCAGGGGATGTTTCGCAGCCAAGTGGACAAGACGGGGTAAAGACCCAAATGCACCCTAAAGGAAATGGCCCCAGGGACCAGCGCTGTGTGCCCAGAGGAGGAAAGAGCTGGTTGATCTGTCTTGGAAAGCTCAAGGGCTGGCCTGTGGAAGGGAAAGTCCACACAATGCCTGTGGCCTCAGATGGCGGAACTAAGATCAATGAGGAGAGTCTGGGGGAGATGGATTTCAGGCTGTCTGAAAGAAGAACTTCCTGACCATGACAGCTGGCAGCCATCGGGTGGGCTGCCTGGATTCCCTGTCCTTGGTCCTTGGAGGCATCTGCGGTGGGGAGGCTGCAGAGGAATTTCCTATGTCCTGGAAGGGGAGAGGCCAGGTGACTCCGGAGGCTCTTGGTGGCAGTTAATGCCTCAGTGACCACCATATGTTACTGTTTGGGAAAGAAGAATCTGCCCAGAGACTCTCAATCAGGACACACGCAGAGAACTGGCGAGGTGTGCAGGAGGCGGCATTCAAGCCTGCCTTCCATCGTGCTTGCCATCTTCCCTTCTGCTGTCTCTCCCTCCCTCCTAATATACACACCTTTGCCTCCCAATATACACACCTTTGCCTTGTTCCTCTTGGCCCCTCTGTCAATGCTGAGGTGGATTTTCCCTTCCTAAATCCCCTCTCCTGCTGCTGAATTATTGAAAGTGTTGTTTGCTTTAGTGCTGTGCTGTAGGGGGGGCGCACTGCCACAGAGCAGCTGAGCTTGGAATGTGTCGACGGCCCAGGACAGCTGCCCAGGCCTCAGAATCCCTCGGTGGGGGAGTGTCCTGCACCCCGGCCCCTCTTTCTTCTCCCTTCATCATTATTTATTCATAGCTGCTGGCGTTCTGACCAGAGGATGCCGCATCCTCTCCATGTCTCACGCCACTGGCCTGAGGGCTGTGGGCAGAATGTGTGGCAAATGTCACAGCCTGGCCCAAGTGCAGGGTCGGGTTTCCATGCCAGGATCTGCAGGGACAAGCCCAAGACCTCCAGGGCATGTGTGGAAGTGGTCTGCTCACTGGGGGTTGCCCCAGTGGGGCTGCCACATTGGTACATTTCCAGGGGAAGGTTCTGCGTGCAGAGGTGTGTATGTGACCATGCATGTATACGCAGCTGTTTGTGAGGGGGGTGGATAAGGGCATCCATGCATGTGTGTGTGTGCAGATACACATGCAGCTGTGTGCGTGTGCAGGGGTATCAGGGCATCCGTGCATGTGTGTGTTTGCAGATATATGCAGCTGTGTGTGTGTAGGGGGACCGTGTGTGTGTACAGATACACAGGCAACTGTGTGTGCTGTCTGCTGTTGCCACATGTGCACTCAAGGTGTGGAGTTTTAGAGCAGAAACACTGGAACTTAACTTGGCAGAGGCCCTGCCTGTGAGCCCATTTTTCGAGGGTGATGGAGTGGCCACCCCAGAATTTAGAGGATGCAGGAGACAGGCAGCTTGTTTGAGGAAGCCACTGGCCATATGGGCAGGTCCCCAGGGCATGCAGGAAAAGGTGGCAGACCCACACCCTGACACCCCAGAGCTGCAGCCAGAAATTCACCACTGTCATCACAGACCCTCCAGAATGGAGCCCGGGGGACACAGGCTACAGAGGAAACTGCTTCTTTCTCACCCTGTGCTCCCCAAAGAGCAACCCAGCCCATGCCCGGCCACCTCTTCATTCTTTCCAGCCCCACAGCCAGCATTTGGGCATCTGCACCATGCTGGCCACCCTGGACATGACAAGTGTGGCTGAGCCCCTGCCCTCTAGGAGGTGCCTGTGTGCCCAGGGCAGGGACAGCCCAGTCCATGTGCAATGACAAGGCTGTGTGTGGGGGGACATGGAGGAGGGGCTCAAGGCCATCTCTGGTGGGCATTGTCGTCCTGTGAGCTTTCTGAGCCCAAAGCTCAACTTTCTGGACACGTGCGAGAGGACATGTGGCTGCTCACTGGCCTCGGCAAGGGGCTACAGAATGCTGCTCAGAGTCTCAGGTGCAGGGGCTTGTGCCAACTCAGAGTCCCCAGAGCTCTGGCCCTTTCAAAAGAACAGGAGCTTCCCCAAACAGCCCTGGAGCAGGGTTTGTCCTGCCATCCCAGCTTAGACATGAGGACACTAAGGTGGAGAGCAGCGACGCAGCCCACAGAGGCTGCAAGACTGGCAGTGGCAGAGCTGGGAAATGTTTGGTTTAGATGGATCTTAGGCCTCTGTACCTTCTGGCCAGGGCTGGTTCCTTGGCATGAGCTAGCACAAAGTGTTGGATCCCCAGGGAGCCATAAAGGGCTTTAGATCTGCTAGAAATCAGGCTGCCGGTAGAAATCAGGCTGCAGGTAGAAATCAGGCTGCAGGTAGAAATCAGGCAGCAGGTAGAAATCAGGCTGCGGGTAGAAATCAAGCAGCAGTAGAAATCAGGCAATGGGTAGAAATCAGGCAACGGGTAGAAATCAGGCAGCAGGTCCCTATGGCATCGGCTCTGGTGGAACACCTGCTTTCCTACCCTCAGGTGTTTGTGGCTGGTGGAGGTTTTTGGGCAGTCTCATTCTAGAGCTTGCAACATGAGCAACTCATATTTCTGCCCTCTGCACCCCTCCCCATCTGCACCTCCACCCTTCCCCGCTCCTGCCAGGCATCCATGCCAGCCCCAGAGACTCAAAGCTGATGCTGCTGCCTGCATCCTGTCACCTCCCCTGGGCTTGCCCAGCCAGAGAGCTATGGGCGGCGGCCTTGGAGGGGAGCCAGGGAGCAGAGCCAGAGGCTCCAGCCACCGACCCCCACCTCCTCCTTCCCAGCGAGCCCTCCTTCCACTCAGCCAGGTCCCCATGGAAGGAGTGACAGGGTGGGAAGACCTCTGTGGGTCTGGGTGGGCTCTCACTGAAGACGATCATGAATTCGCCCGGACCCCACCTTACCACAGCTGGACACAGTTGGGTTGGGGGACCCAAGTTACCCTCCAGGGAAGGAAAGTCCTGGGTGTTTAGTCTAGGGCTGGCCCTTGAGGCCACCAATGCAGGCCCAAGGGGGACAAGAGGCCCCCCAACCTGCATCACTCTCTCACTCTCCAGAGGAAAGAGTGGAAGCATGAGAGCAGAGCCAGCACATGAGACCTCACGCAGCCACCCGCCTGCAGCCACCCCAACACTAACCGGCCTCTGGGCCTCATTGTTGCTCATTGGAAGAAACTCTGAGAACCATAGAAAGAAGTCTCTTTTGTCTATTCAAAGAGCAGGCAACCGCCCGGGTGGGCTCTGGCCTTCAGGCCGATGGTGGAGCAGGCTCCCGACCGGGCCCTGGGCCTGGGTCCCTGGCTGTATACAGCCCATGGGTGGCACTGGCCAGAGATGATGGGCAGCGAGGCAGGTCGGCTGAGAGGCCTCTGTCAACAGCGCTCAGCCGGCATCGGCTTTTCGGCAGGGCTGAGCGGAAATCCTGGCTGCAGGGCAGTGAGTCCTCAAAGGTCCTAGCCCCCAGCAGGGTGGGTTAGTGGAGAAGGTATCGGAGTCCCTCATGGATGGGGTGTCCTGGAAAACGCTGAGGCAGGACAGACGTTAGATGCAGGCTCTCCTGCAGGCGGTGGCCCCACCTCCCTGCACTCCACCCTCTCACCCCTGCTGCACCCAATGCACATTCAACTTCTGCGCCTCGTCTCTGATTGGCCCACGCTCCAGGCCTGGAGAGCCGCCCCGCCTCTGCAGGAGCTGCTTCTCCTCCCTCCCTGCTGCTCCAACTTGGGGCTGGGGTCTCCAGGCAGTGTCACCTCTCTGGCCCTTCCAAATCTCATCTCCCACCCTCTGAAGCCAAGAGGGACCTTATGAGAATTGTTCTAACCTTCAGTAAAGTGTCCTCCCCATTCCGGTATCCGTGAGATCTGCTAGGCTGGAAGGTTTTGTGTCCCCCCGACACACACACACACACACCCTCCCCTGGGTCCCCTGCTTGATGAGCGCTGGAATCAGGACGCTGTAGTTCAACTCTGAACAGAGATCCAGGCAGCAGGAGTGACTGCGACAGGGCAGTGCCGGGCAGGACCCCATCGATGGGCGAGCGGAGAGCAGGCACGGAGCTGAGCAACCTGGGGAAATAAAGCGAGAGGCAGAGACACAGGGAGAGGGAGAGAGGACCTGGAGTGAGCAGGAGCGAGCGGGAGGCAGAGAGGAGAGCCGCACTTCCTAAGACAGCTGCAAGTGACAGCTAAACTGAGTGCCAGCGTTGGGGGACCAAGCCCCTACCCCCACCAACCTGCCGCCAGCGGCCGCTTCCCTGATTGGGTCTCCTCCCCTCCTCCCCGGGAGCCTGCTGTGGAGCCGCGGTTCCGAAATGATGATGTATTTTTGGGTATGTACCAAGCGTGGACTGCGTGTTGCTTTCTCACTCTGGGCAGATCTGGGGCTGAAATGTTGGGAAGCTCAGCGTGCTCCCCCCACCCCCCCACCCCGTGCCTTCCCAGGCCATGCCACCCTTCCCCCAGGGCCCAGCAGGCAGGGGTGCCGGTTGGAGGTGTCCCCAGACAGGAAGTGCTGGCTGTCGGCCAGACTGTTCTAGGTGGGCCTCGGATGCAGACGGTGGGGCTGGGACAGGGGGCTGGGACAGGGGGCTGGGCCCAGCCTCCAGTAATACCCGGCAGGGGATACACTAGCCCAAACTTCAGATGGCTCCCAGGAACCCAGCACACCAGCCCCAGCCCCACAAGCTCCCCTCCCCCTTATCCTGTGCCTTTACTCCTCCCGCTTCCCAAACAAAATCAGGTGTGGGAAACCGGACCCTGGGAAGGAGTGGTGAAGCATGGCTGTGAGCCCCAGCCGACCTCCCCGGAGCTCTGAGCCCAGACACGAGCAGCTTGCAGAGGCCCTGGGGAGAGTAGGCGCCCCCACTCTGCAGCCTCCCCCACCTTCCTCTGCGAGCCCCTGTGCCTTTTGGCAAAGGAAATGAAAAATCAGGGTAGGGGTCTGGGCCAGACAGGCCTGAAGGGGCAGTACCAGGCGAGGCCAAGCAGGAAGGGGCCCTCACAGTGAGGGGAGGACCGGGCCATCCTAGCTCAACTGGGCGGAACTGGGAGAAGAAGGAAAGGTTTAGGGTATGTGTGTGTGTCTGTGTGTCTTTGTGTGTGTGTGCACGCGCACGCACATGCACACACTTTGGAGAAGGCTGCATATCCCCGGATCATCAGCCTCTAGGCTTGCGCAGAAGTGGTTTGGAAATCTGTGTGAATTTGTTGTGCTTTCCGTGTAGGGTGAACTTTTCCCCTGTGCCCAGCCAGCAGCCTCAGCCCAGGAACACTTCCCAGGCAGGGGCAACCCCACATCCGGGTACCCCTTCCCAGCCTGACCTCTGGGTCCAGACACAATCTACCCTGCAGCATGGAACTCCAGGGCCACAGTCCAGCCCCATCACCAGGAGAAGGGCTCAAGGGCCCTGGAGCCCCACTGGGAGGGCCTGACCCCGCACAGGTGCCTGTGGGGCCCACACCAAGCAGCTGGACTGTGGGTCCAGCAGGGGGTCCGCAGAGCAGGCTGAGGCCGCAGGAGCCATGGCAGCCGTGGAGAAGGGACGGATGGCCCCTGGGAGTCAGAATCGCGAGGGTCAAGCTCACCGCTGGTCACCCCATGGGCTGAGCTCTGCTGTGCTTTGCTGACTCTGCTCCCATTCAGGGCAAAATTGGGGCAAGGATGTGCCCGGGTGCTCCGGCCTCCATGTCTGCACCGAGGCCTTTGGTTCTACCAAGAATGCCCTGATGTGTCCCACTAGTCCCCCTCCTCATTCTTCAAGGCCAGCCTCAGCGACCACTTCCCCAAAGACATTCCCTGAGCCTGCAGGCAGAATGGAACCCTGTTCCCTGACCTCCCTGCATCTCGGCTCCCGGCCCTGACCTGGCGTGTGTGAGCCGGCCTAGGAGCCCCTTCAGAGGTGGGAGGGGGCTTCCGTCTCTGGTTAGGGTCTGATTGCCGGGCTCCTCTGGGGGTCTTCCTCCCAGAACTCCCCCTCTCCCCAGCAGGGGCTCTGCCTGTCCTCAGCCACGCTCGGCCAAGCCCTGGGGGCCGGGCCAGTGCTCCTTTGCTGGACCTTCCAGGCTATTTTGGGATGGGACGGAACCTGATCGGGGAGCCTCTCCTTCTCATCTTCCCAGGAGCCAGATCCCCGGCTCCACTTCCAAGCTGGGATTTGCAGCTGGGCAGAGAACCAGGCCCCCATAGGAGGATCCTCCTCCTCTCCTGCTGTCCCTCCCTGAGCCATGTCACCCACCCCAGTGTGGGAGACGGCACCCAAACGCTGCCACCCCCCAAGTCCGAACCCCACCAGGACCCCCTCCCAGCCTCGCCAGCTCGATTCCTGTTGTCCACCTGATGCCCACACACTCCTCAAACTCACACTCAAAAATGAGCCTTGAAAACTGCTGTTTCCTTCAGACTGGCTTCTCCATCCTTGCCCTGCGGATCACCAGTGGGTACCACCGTCCACCTGACCCCAGCTCCCAGAGTGGGTCCTGCCTCCCTCTACCCCGACTTCCCACTCAGCTTCCAGGCCCAGCCCCAGCCCCGCCTGCCCCGATCAAATCTCACCTTCGTAACACAGAGCGCTAACTTCTCCCCACCCTGCCCTCTCAGCTCCACCTCACCCCGCACCTCCTTCCGGCTCCTCCCTAAGCCCCGTGGCCCAGCCAGGCTGAGCTGCTCCAAGGTTAATCTGAACATCTGCCGTGTTCTCCTTTGGGCTTGTTCCACCTAAAAAAACACCCTGCCTCCCACCCCACCCCCATAACTGGCTCCTGCTTGACTTCAGGGTGAGCTTTCAGGCAGAGACATGAGGGGCTGCTGCAGGCATGGAGTCAAGGGCAGCTTAGCTGTCACCACCTCCAGGAAGCCCTCCCTGAGCACCCCACAGCCAGATGCCATTTCCTCCTCTGCACCCCCACCCTCATCCTTGGGTGCTCCTGTTACCCATTCACCCCTCCATCTCCCCTCTGCCTGCAGCTCCCTCGAGCACCCTGGCTGGGTCTTGTTCAGTTCTTGTTCCTGGTATCTGCCCTGTGTCTGATGTTCAGCTGGGGCTCTGGGAACACTGAACACTGAAATGAACGAGTGAGTGATTGAAAGAATGAGTCTGTTCCGAGATGCAGGATGGGACCTGGCCAGGGGTATCCCCTGAAGCAGCAGCTCTGTAGGGCTCCCCACTCTTGTGCAGCCTCCTCTCCCATCCTCGAGTGAACATATCTCCACCTCCCATGGGCATGGCTTTTCAAGGGCAGCACTGGAGATATTGTTGCTCCCATTTTAAAGCTGGCAAACTTGCGGCCAATGATTTCTGTGCTCATTGTGAAGGGGACAGTTGCCAGCAGAGCCAAGGGGCCTGGCCTTGGCAAAGCAAGAGTGGGTTGCAGGGAGGAACCTGCCCCCAGGCCCTTTCAGCTTGGCCGTGCGGGGAGGGGCTCCCCTTGGTAGCAAGGGTGTGGAGGTCACTGCTGTTCTGTGAGAGAGGCCCAGAGTGGGGGGCCCCCTGCCTGCTTTGGGGGTATCTCTGCCTTCGGATGTTTCACCTGGGGATACCCCCTGGAGGAGGGCTGCCACCACGGTGGGGAGACAGGGGCCGGGGGTAAAAAGGCTGCTGGGGTCTGGGCAGTGGGCTCAATGGCAGGGGCAGGGGACTCGTGTTCCTCAGGCCTGCTCTGGGATCTGGCTCTGCCACTTGGCAGCTGCATGACCCTGGACAAGTCACCAAGTCTCTCTGAGCCTCAGGTGGCTCATCTGTAAAGTGAGATCAGGTTGGGTGAAAATTACTGTTTGCGTGTTCTGTGCCCGGTCAAGCAGGACAGGGATATTTGCTGGCAGGACAGGGAGACGCCAGAACGGGTGGGCATGTGACCCTGTCCCCACCTGGGTTCTGCTCACTGCCACAGAGAAGCCCACACCAGCCGTGGGGCCTGTGCTCTGGGCCTGAGGGGCCATGGTACCTTCCTTCCTGCAGGAGACTGGGCTCAGCCCAACGTGCTCCTCATCTCCCTCCTCTCACTCCTGCCCCCTGGCCTCATGCTGGTCCTACCTCTAAGCTGCTCCTACAATGCCCCACCCCTCCTTCCTGCCTGCCCCCCAGTCCATCTCCACTCCAGGCCCTCCAGGTGGTCCCAGCCAGGAGACCCCTCCCCACCTGCTCCGTGGTCCCCATGGTCTCCACCTTCTTCCGTCAGGTGGGTACACTTCCTCACATGGACCCTGTGTCCCAAGAATGCCACACACCGCAGAGACCACAGTGGCTCTCAGAGCCTCCTCACAGATGGCGTCTCAGCTCGCCTCACCTACGCCTGGGAGGCAAACAGGCTGGGCTGCTCTCCCCACCCAGCTGGGGGGCCACAGAGGTGGCAGTGACATATCCAGGTCACCAACCCAACTGTGATGTCCAGGACCAGAACCTGGTCTCCAGCTCCAAAGCCCAGACAGTTACATCTTGACCCCCGCTGGGCTGAGGACGCTTGGGGGCAGGGGACAAGTGCTGGACCCCTGGGTGACCCCAAGACCATCAGCTCCAGCCCTGCGTCCGCTGCTTGCAAGGCTATCGGGTTAAACCTGACTCTGGCTCTGACCTCTACTCAGGAACCCTCAGGACGACGTCCAAATGCCTGCACCAGCATCCACAGCCGCCAGAGTGGCTTCCCACTGCCTTGGGGACAAAAGCAAAGGACACATTGAGCCCGGCAGTGTGCCCAGCAGGCACCGAGGCAGTGGGTGCTCCGCTTCAGGGCAGGCTGAGAGAGGGCGGTGCCCAGCGTGGCATGGCTGCCTACAGCAGAGCCAAGCCTGGGGGATACGCTCCTGCTGGGCTACGTCCAGCCATGCACAGCCTTTGGGGACCAGTTTATTCCTCTATGTGCTATTCCCTGAGCCCTGCCCTTCCATCTTCTGTGAGTCCCCGCACACCAGGGGTGCCTGTCTTACCCAGGGCACCAGCTGACTGTGAGCTCCGTGTGGGCAGGAGATGAGTCTGAGTGGTCGGTCAGCAGTGCCCTGGAAAGGGGAGAGGCTTGGCAAGGACTCAAGGAACAGATGGAGAAAGGAAGGGAGGTTGGAGGGAGAGAGGGAGCGTGTTGACAGTGCTACGTCCTTGGCATGGCAGAGCAGGGGCCACACGTCTGAGCATGAGTAGGGTGCTTTCCAGAGGCGTCTCCTACCACGGTCACATTCATAGGTCTGGAAACCAGTGTGACTCTTTGGTTGACGGGGCTGCAGCCCAGAGCGGAGGACCTCCCTGCCCCTACAGCCTCAGCGTTGCTGGGCTCAGCTCAGAGCTGCACGAGGGCGGCAGCATGCAGTCTGGGGCCTGGGAGCTTCAGCCGGGAGCCCTGCGGGGGCCAGCACCTCCCTCCCACTTCCCCCAGAGCCAACCCGATGGGACAAACAGATGGCACAGGAAGATGGCCTGGGGTGTGTGAACATTGCCCTGCCCAGGAAGGGGAAGGGCAGGGAGCCAGGGGGTGGGCTCATGTCACTCCCCCAAGCCCTGCAGCCGCTGGGTCTTGTGCAGGAGTGACGGGTGTGGGGGCAGCACCAGCGGGTGGCTTCATAATTGACCGGCACCAGGCGAAGATGCCAAGGCAGAACGTCTCCAAATTAGCGGTAATTGCCAGAGAAATAAAGAACAAACAGGGTGAGCTGAATGAGGCTTTCTATAAATATTATGTTTTTTAAAGTTTGCCCTGGAGTAATAGAAGCTGTTTAAACGCTAATATCCTGTCTGTGCATTTAACAAGCCTTGTAATGAGGATTTAGTGTCTGTTTCCTAGGGCCGTCTAGTAGCTGGGGGCCCCTGGGCCTCCAGCCTCCCCTCCTGGGCTTCCCAGATGGCCACCCTCCCAGGAACCTGGGGAACAGACCCAGCTTCAGCCCTGCCTGGGAGCCTGGGCTCCTCCTCTCTCTCCCTGGACAGCCACAGAGGCCAACCCTTCCTGCTTCCTCCGAGACCCCCCCCAGACATCCCTCCCACTTGGCCTGCCCCAGGGAGCCCCTCTTCTCCCATCTCTCCTCCTCCTCCCTGGGTGCCAGGGTGGGCAGCAGCGTCCTCCCAGTCACACTGATCCAAAGGGCTTTGCATCACTTTTCTCAAGAAGAGAGCCCCCACCCTCCCTGGTTGCTGGACCTGCGGGCGGGAGGGCTTGTCTAATTAATGAGGAGACAGGGCTTTCCTCCATGAGGCACCTCCATGACCATGTCTGATTTTTATTAAAAATCATTAAGCAAAGTGTTTTTTCATGCCGGCAACCAACACACAGCCACTTTCACGTTGTAAGTGAGATAGCTCCGTGCGTTGCTGGAGAGGCCGACTTTATCAGGGTCCTAATACCCACGGGTGGCAAAGCTCTGGTGAGGGGCAGTTCCTAAAGAGAGATCCATCATGGTTTACCAAAGAAGTTCACTTGACTCCATTTATTTCAGTCCCTCCTACCAGAGCTGGGCGGCGCCATGCGAGGGTTGGCTGTAGTTCACCGGGCCTCCCAACATCCGCTGGCACCACCTTCGGAAACGGAACCAAGTCTGATCCGCTGAGTGTTTAGGGGCTGTGGCCCACAGGTCACAGGCAGCACGCGATGTCTTGGCTTCCTTCACATCCTCAATTCCCAAAACCCAGCAATGCCCAGTACAGAATGGCTGAGGAGACCCTCTGGGCTTGTGCATGGAGTGTGGCCGGCTGGAAAGTCAGGTTTCCTGTGACGTTCGCAGCCCTTTGTCCTTGGGGTACAAATGTTCCCAAAGTTATATCTGGTGGGAGTCCAAGAGAGGAGGAGAGATTTTAGCTATCAGCTGGTCAACATTTGTTGGCGGTGCCGAGTGGATACACCCTGTTAGGTGCAAAGTGCCCCTAATGGTCGCAGTCCCCGGGGAAGGCTCAGGACATCCAAGATGGAAGGACTTAGGAAATCTCACCAAACAAGCATGTGGATAAAGGGGGAGTGACAGGAGAGTGGGGCTGACCCTGGGGGAGGAGCCTCTGGATGGGCCCCACTGGTTGGCGGGGTGGGAGGCCAAGAAGGGGAGGGCCAGCCCTTGACTTTGGCCCTCATCTCACCCTCCCCCGTCTGGCTGTTGCTGGATTTAGGTCCTGGTAGCAGTTGCGGGTGCATATTTTGGGGACTTGACGCGAGGCCTGGACTGCTGGTGAAGACACAGCTTCCCTTGTGGAATCTGCAGGGCTGTGGATCCAGGTGCCCCCCCGCCGCGTCCTTCCCCTTCCTGGGTGAGTGCAGGGCAGGGAGGCGAGGGAGCCACCTGCTCCAACACCACCACCCTAAACCCTTGACCCTCAACCCTCATCTGCTCACAAGAGAAACAGGGGAACTTTATCCTCTTTTTCATTGTCATTAAAATATTCATGTCCAGGCTGGGCGTGGTAGCTCACACCTGTAATCCCAGCACTTTGAGAGGCCAAGGCGGGCAGATCACTTGAGGTCAGGAGTTCATGACCAGCCTGGCCAACATAGTGAAACCCTGTCTCCACTAAAAATACAAAAAATTAGCTGGGCATTACAGGCGCATGCCTGTAATCCCAGCTACTCAGGAGGCTGAGGCAGGAGAATCTCTTGAACCTGGGAGACGGAGGTTGCAGTGATCTGAGATTGCGCCACTGCACTCCAGCCTGGGCAACAGAGCCAGACTCCAACTCAAACACTGTAGCTGAGGTGACATCTGTTTCCAGGCCCCAGGAAGTTGTCTGGGTCCCCTAAGGGAGAGAATGGGCCTGGCTTCTGTTTAGAGCCAGGCACTTTCTCCCATTCCCCGCCCCTCCCCACAGCCTGCTTTTCTCATTCTAGGACAAAAGGGGAAACAAGTGGTAGTGTGGGGACTGTCAGCGACATTTGTGATTGAAAAGGAGCAGAGAGAGTAAGGCCTGCAATTACGGGGAGGCCCTCCAGGGCTGGGGAAGAACCAGGCTCTGGGAATTTGCTTGTGAAAGAAGTTAAGTTGCTCTGAAATCTACTCTTTATGAAGAACAAGGAAGGAAGTGCAGAATAAGGAGTCAGGAGTTGCGGACTGGGGGGCCCAGGGTGAGACCCGACCCCCTAAAAACAGGGTGGCCCCTGCAGCAGTCCTACAGGAAGGAGAAATTGGGAACGGGCAGCGCCAGGAGCCCGGCTGCAGGAGGGAAGGAAGGAGCAGCCAGAGAGGCTGGAGCAAGTGCGGCCCCTTCCTTCCTCCCAGGCAAATGGGGAGGGGAGGAGGAGAAAGGAGTCACGTAGGAGCCCAGGCGGAGCAGCCCTGCCCCAGCCCCAGCCCCAGCCTGGAAGAACCCAGGGCAGCGGGTGGCCAAGGGTGTCTAGAGTTTGAAGGTTTTCCTGGAGAAGAGTCCAGAGACCCCAGCCCTTCTCCCTGGGGCCATTTTTCTGCTGTCTTGTCCCTGGCATGGTCGAAGATGCCCAGGTGGGCCCGTCTTTGGGCGCTGGTCAATTTCCCCAATGCAGCGGGACTCCAGGAGGGAGGGTGCTGGCTGGTTGTCTTCCAAGACCCCAGGAGACCAGAGCTTTCGGGAGCTTGGCCTGGCCACAACCTCCTGGGCCCGCTGGGGGAGTTCCTTGTGGGCAGGGGTCTCATCTGTCTTGTTCCCCCCCACGTATCCCCGTGCCCAGCAGTCAGCCTGGCACAACCCAGGTGACCAGGAGAGGTGCTAAGAGAGGGCCTAACCGAAAGTCCAGGGCTTAAGGGAGGACCAGGGCAAAGCGTTGTGGTTGCTTTGAGGAGAGTTACCAGTGGTTCTGGTAAAGGGATCTAGAAATGCCCCAACCAGCAGTGAGAAGTCATATTAGGATTGGAGGAGTCAGGGCTGGAGATGGACCGGGGTACAGCCCTGCCGGAGCCTGGGACTCTGACCTTGGGGTATCTGCAGCTGCCTCCCTGTCTGTCCAGCCCCCCGGAGTCTGAGCGTGGGAAGGAGGCATCCGCAGGGGATGAGTAGCAGGGCTCTCCCAGGCTGCTGGCAGCAGCGACACGGCCCCTATCCCTGTTAACTGCACGCCAGCGTCCACCTGGAGCCAGTCCCAGCAGCTCTGCTGAAACCTGGGTTCAGCATACGATGATCTCAAAACTTAATTATGGAAAGAAGTTGGGATTAAGGACCCTTCCATTTATCTTCCTGCCTGCTGTGGCTTGTCAGCAGCTCGGATCTGGAACGTCCTGCTCATGGTTCCGGAGGCTGAGCGGGCAGGAGGTGGCGGAGGCTGGCGTTGGCAGGGTCAGAGGCACAGGCTGCCGTGTGCCAAAATGAGCATCCTGATTCAGGGCTTGTGCCTCCCCACGACGGAAGCCACAGCCACCCACCAGACCAGCCCGCATCGGGCCGTGCTGCCTGCCAGGAAGCCTGTGTTCCCACCGTCTGCTCCGTGGCCCAGG
Source organism: Homo sapiens (assembly GCF_000001405.40). Lineage (NCBI taxonomy): Eukaryota > Metazoa > Chordata > Mammalia > Primates > Hominidae > Homo > Homo sapiens. The sequence continues at coordinate 79,211,151 of NC_000017.11, read as the reverse complement.
ACTGAGACCGCCGGACGCTGGAGAAGGTGTTGGAACCTCCAAAACTCGGCACCCTCATGGTGTTTTGGAGCTCCTGCTGTGGGTTGCACCCTCTGCCCAAGCCGCACACCATAGCACATGTGAGTCACGCACCCCACCTCTTGCTGTGTCTCTGCAGGCAACCTCCTCCTGTTTATTTGTATGGGACAAGAACTATATGCGGACACCTGTGCAGGACACTGGGGATACCGAGGTGGCCCATCCCTCTGCAGAGGTGCTCACTGCTCGCTGCCTAGAGGAGACCAGGACTGAGATCACCGGACGCTGGAGAAGGTGTTGGAAACTCCAAAACTCGGCACCCTCATTGTGTTTGGGAGCTCCTGCTGCGGGCTGCACCCTCTGCCCATGCTGCACATCCCCACCAGGCACCAGACGTGCAGATGGAGGGTGGTAGGGCACTCCTCCACATCACCTACCCCAGCCCCATCTCTTGAAGGGCAACTGGCAGAACAGGACAAGAGCCACCCGACCCTTCAATTCCATAATCCCGCCCCGGGACCATATCCCTGAGAAATAATTCAAAAGATGAAAAAAGCTGGACGTGCCAAGATATTTATAGCAGCAGAAGAAACCCCTCTGGCATCATCTTACCTGTCCGCCGTAAAGGGATAGTTACGTGAAGTATGCGGCGGGCACTCGATGGGATATTGTGCGGCCGTGAGACCTGATGGGTAGGAAGTCCCCGTACAAGGGAAGCCGTCTCTGTATATCATCAAGTGAAAAAGCAGGACCCCTGATTACAGCGAGGTGAAAACTATAACCGCATGGAGATGAAGAGCAGATGCAGCCAGAGAGAAATGAAGACGGTGGCATTAGCGTGAAGACGCCGGGGGTCCAACTCTGAAAAAACACTGAAGAAATAAAAAAAGTTCACAAAAGAATAGCCTCCCTCCTTGACCAGGCACCTGCCCATTGCCCTAACCGGGTGGCCCCCTGCACTCCCCACTCCATATCCCTCCCCCCAGGCAGGTACACTCTTCCCTCGGGCTCCAGAGGTTATCTAGCCAGGGCAGAAGCTGAGCCTGTGTGTCTGTTGTTTTTGCAGGATTTGCTAAGGCGCCTCTGTGCGCACACAGAAACGCTGTCCTTTCTTTTCTTTCTTTTTTTTTTTTTTTTGAGATGGAGTCTTGCTCTGTCGCCCAGGCTAGAGTGCAGTGGCGTGATCTCGGCTCACTGCAAGCTCCGCCTCCCAGGTTCACGCCATTCTCCTGCCTCAGCCTCCCAAGTAGCTGGGACTACAGGCGGCCACCACCACGCCCGGCTAATTTTTTGTGTTTTTGTTTAGTAGAGACGGGGTTTCACCATGTTAGCCAGGATGGTCTCGATCCCCTGACCTCGTGATCCACCCGCCTCCGCCTCCCAAAGTGCTGGGATTACAGACATGAGCCACCACGCCCGGCCAGCGCCGTCCTTTCATAGCACATGTGAGCCATGCACCCCACCTCTTGCTGTGTCTCTGCAGGCAACCTCGTCCTGCTTATTTTTATGGGACAGGTACTATGTGCAGACACCTATGCTGGACACTGGGGTACCGAGGTGGTTCATCTCTCTGCAGAGGTGCTCACTGCCTAGAGGAGGAGAAAGTCAAGTCCCCAGTATGGGGAATGAGAGGCCACACCTGCGGTGCCGGCCACATTTTGTTCCATGGTGCTTTGGAAGTGGGAGTTCCGTTTGGTTCAATGGGTGTGTCCCGAGTGCCTCTGTCCTGCCTGCCACACTCAGCCCTGGAGACACAACAGGGATGAAGCCTTGTCCCTGCCCCCTGGGAGGTCCCGGAGCTGTGCATTAATAGTTACAGAGCAGGTGCAAACATGGTGATGGGGTTCAAACAATGTGGGCACCCAGAAGGAGGCACTGGCCTGCTCCTGGGATGGGGGCACATCACAGAAGGCCTTGTGCAGGAGGGCTGGCCCAGCCACATCACCAACCACAACTCACATGGGTGGCCTGGTGGGAGAGGGGAGGAATGGGCACGTACAGAAAGAGCAGCCAGGGGCCGGGCGTGGTGGCTCACGCCTGTAATCCCAGCACTTTGGGAGGCCGAGGCAGGCGGATCACAAGGTCAGGAGATCGAGACCATCCTGGCTAACACGGTGAAACCCTGTCTCTACTAAAAAAAAGTACAAAAAATTAGCCGGGCGTGGTGGCGGGTGCCTGTAGTCCCAGCTACTTGGGAGGCTGAGGCAGGAGAACGGCGTGAACCCGGGAGGCAGAGCTTGCAGTGAGCCGAGATCACATCACTGCACTCCAGCCTGGGCGACGGAGCGAGACTCCGTCTCAAACAAAAAAAAAAAGAAAGAGAGAAAGAGCAGCCAGGGTGGAGATGGGAGTGAGGTCCTGTGGGGCCCCTTAAGGCAGGAGCAGGGCCCTAGGAGCAAGCGTGGGGACACGGTCAGAATAATTCTGGCTTCAGACAACATCTCTCCACCAAGAGCCTCCCCTCTGCCTCTGCCTCTGCCTCTGCCTCTGCCCGGGAAGGGCCTCCACCAGCCAGGTGGGCATCTTTCACTCAAGGTTGCTCAATGCCACTTGCCTGGCACCCACACTTCCATGAGAAGATGAACAGCTGACCGTGTTTTCAAAGATACCACCTGGGGAAACAGCCAGAAGCTGGAAGTCATCCCAAGAGAGAAGTCAGCCAGGGGTTGGAGACCCCAGCAGAAGGCAAGTGCCTCTTTTCTCTTCCTTGACCCAACCTTCCCGACTGACTCCCAGCCCCACCCCTTCCCCGGACTGCTTGGAGGGCCGAGGGGAGCCCCTTTGGTTTCCAGGCGGTCGAGGCCTTTGGCTATTGGCTGGGATGGCCTGGCCGGGTGTGTGTGTGACAGAGACAGCCTGGCTGGGCAGGAAGGACCAAGAGTCTTGGTTCTGTGCCTGAATCCTGTCTTGAGAGCCACAGCTCGGGGCTGACAGCTGGAGACCCGCACTGCCAGCAGCATCTCAGCTCTGCTGTATCCGCTTGGTTGTGGTTCTACCAACAGAGGGGAGAGGGAGTGTTTCTGCAGTGACTGTAAATAAGCCTTTCCCTCCAGACGCAGGAAGAAGGGCGTGAGGGGAGAACAAAGGGAGGGAGACACCAAGAGCTGGCCAGAGAAGGGCCACCTTTCACCCAGCCCAGCCGAGGCTTGCCGAGGCTCCCGCGGTCCCGGACTTGTGGCCCATACTGTTTTAAAAGAAAGGGCCAAAACATTGATTAATTGTATAGCTAAAGAAATAACCATTCCTCCTTTTGGGGGCAAGACTGGCTGGCCGCAAAAGAGCTGAGGATGAGCAAGAAGAGAGAAGGGGAGGGAAAGGAGGTGTGAGCGTGCAGGAGGCGCTGCCTGGAGGTGCCCTGGTGTGCACCCCAGTCTCCAAGTGGCCGACGGGAAAGTTCCTGAAGGCCAGTCCTCCCCAGAGGGCAGCACAGAGACTTGCAGACACCCCCCTAGAAAAGGGAAGGGAGCTTAGGCCCGCGAGAGGAGGGCGTGTTCCAAAGTTTCCTGTTCCTGGAGCTTGTCCCAAGAAATCCCAGATCCCTTTGCCCAGTGGGCTGACCCCACAGCCCATAGGCCCAGGGACCCAGCCCGAGCCTGGCCACAGGGAATAACCCGAGAGGCTTCTTGGTAAAGCTTGCAAGGGGCCCTGGTGCCACGCTGGGAACAGTGCAGGCCTCGCTAGGGGTGGAGCAGCATCCAGGCACCTCTGACCGTAGCTCCCTGACTCTGGCCTCAGGCCACTGAGCAGGTGGCTAATCGAGGGACACTGGGGGCCTCACTCAGGTCCAGCAGTGAGTTTGGGCACATGGAGAGGAAGTTTCAACTCTGTACCTGTCCTGGTGACATGGGAAAGGAGCGTTTCATTCCTGTTAAATATGAACCATTAAGCCCAATAAGCTCATTAGACCATGGGTGATAATCTTCTTCATACTTTCCTCTGTTTTCTGAATCGTAAAACAACCCTACTAATTATAATATTAGGCAGAGGCACTTTTAACCCAGTAAGCATTTGGAAACTCTTCTACTGGGGAGACAGGCAAACAGAGAAAACTTGCATGGCTTTTTTCTTTGCATGGGAAACTTCAGATTTCAAATCTTGTCTGTCTTAGTCTAGAGTTTTCTCCCCAAAGCAGAGTTTGAGACAAGGGCTTGCATGCAGGAGGTTTATTTTGGGAAATGAGCCAAAGGAAAGGGGGCTGGGAAAAGTGAAATGGGGAGGAAGAAAGCCATTCCAGGTGTACTATTGAGTCAATGAGATGGGGAGTGGTTCCAAGACTCAATCCAGTTAGGACTTCTCTGAGGAGTGGTGTAGAAGGCACTTTCTGAGCTGCCCACCTGAGGGATAGAAGAGGGAAGGTTGCATCCACCAGCTGCCATAGCCCACAGCGCAGGGTGCACCATGGGGTGTTAACTGGCCGGCACATTCAGGTTTGTTCCTGCCAGGGGACAGCTGAGCAGTGGTGGCCTGGAGAGACTCACTAAGTCAAGTTGTCTTCAGGCTACATCTGTGGACAGCTGATGGCTGCAGCAAAGTCTGGAGTGAAAAGCAGGGCTTAGAGGAGACAAGGTGGACACAGGAGGCATCCGCTCCCGCCCACTTCTTGCACCCCTGTACTATGTCCAGCTCATCACAGAGTCTTCAAGATGACGGCCAGCCTCAACCATCTTGAGGAGTCAGTGCTGTGTCTCTCAATGAGACTTGCCGGAGACTCCTCACACAGCCTTATCCGCCACAGTGTACGTCGGGCACCACTGGGATGATGTCACTGCATCTTGGACCTGCTATAGAGCCCTCGTTTGCTCTGGGACCTACTCAAAACGGATAGCCTTTGGAAGTGTTAGGCTAGAGCTGTATTCCCAAGGGGAATATTTGCTGCCTCCAGCATCCAAAGAGGCCACCAAGTTCTGTGCCCCTCTCTTGGTGGAAGGAGTGCAATGATTTGCTTTTACATGATCTTCAAGGGGATGTTCCAGAAAGCCCCAGACTCTAAATATTTCATTGACGTGGCAAGCTGTAGACCTTCTTGCTAGGCTTTACCTCGCACCCTCTGACACACAGGTCTTCCTCAGGCATTAGCTGGACTTGCTCCTTCCTGCCCGTCTAGCTCAATGAGCCTGATTTCCTCAGTGTATCGGATGAGCATATTCTCTGGAATGTCACAACGGCCAAGGTCCCTGCAGACTATATTGTGGAAAAGAGCAAGAGAATGATTGCAGCCTTGCAGCAAGATAGGAAATGTGTATTGCTGTCCTTCCTATGTAAAAGCAAACTACTTTAAGGAAAAAAAAAAAAAAAGCCAACTGCTTTTGACTCTTTATGGACATGGACTGGAAAATACATTTTCCATATCAATCACCATATACCAAGTAATAGAGGCTCTGTCGAGCTATTCCAGTAAATACAACACTGCTGTGAATAATTGGAGGCTGCTGCTTGGTGAAGTTTCCAGTAATCCACCATCACCCACTCTGATTCATCTGGTTTTTGTAGGGTTCTGTTTTGTAGGTGAATTGAACAAGGATAGGATGGGGACCTCATCCTTGCTTCCTTTAAGTATTTGATAGTGGATATAATTTTTGCAAGTTCCCTGGGGTGTACTGTTTTTTCTGATTTCCTGTCTTAGCTGGGGGTTAGGGAGGTTTTATAGGCTCCCATTTGGCACTCCTACGTCAGGGAACTCATATTCAGGTTATGCTAGATGCTAAGTGTAGCCATCCAAATGCAGACTCAGAGACCAGAGAACAAACCACAGGATGGGTCCATGAGCCTGACAGACCTGCTGTAAGATGGATGTGGTTCAGGATGTCATATATCCCTGGGTTTCTGTGGACCCCCACTCTAACTGGCAGAAATGATGGTGTTTTCATTTCACAGGTATCAGTGTCTGCTCTAACCATGTATCCTCCTGCCTGCAAAACTTCTGCTAGTCCCCTTCCCCAGGACACAGGTTCTCTGGCAAGTATCCACAGGTCCATCTGGGGAAGGATGGGGATGCTATCATTATAAATATTGCAGTGCATTCCTAAGCCCTACCTGGTCTTCCTTCCACCAGTGGGCTCTGACTGGAGAACTGCCTTAGACCTGGAACTGGATATGGTACTGCAGTTTCCCGTTGTGATGACTGAGGAGTTCTCTGCTCTCTAGCTCTTGATTTTTTCCTGGCTATATAAGCCAAGCAATACCCTACTTGGCCACCCATCCATTTCATCCCCAGGAACACCATGGCTTATTAGCTGCAGACTTCTGTAGTTCAAAGCACCCTGGTCATCTCCAAAGCCTGGCTGACCACGGTGGTATTTAATTCCAACTTGCCTCTGATGGTTAAATGCAACTATCTGGCCCCTGCTATTCTAGAATCTTCTCATCCTCACTGATACTAAGGAGCCCAGTTAGTGGCAGCATCTCCTAATGGCAACCCTAAGTGAAGGCACTCACCACGAAGCTTTCCAAATGCCTCAGCGGTCCCCCACCCCAGAATTGCATTTTTTATTGCCTTAGTGGAGGGAATGTCCCCCATACCCTTCTGGGACACAGAGTCATCTAGTGGGTTCTCTGTTCACAGCATCTGGGGCCTTCGGACCCCTTCTTTAATACTCCACCAAAGTAGTTCCAGCGCGTCGACCTCGTTGACTGAATGCTGTCGGTATGTGTGCGCTTCAAGGAGCTGTTCACTGGACTGGTACGCGTGTCCTTTCCAGGATATTAAGCCCTGAGTCATGAGAAGTTACTTTCACGTCAGTAATCTCTCCTCTGTTCAGACTTACATTCTGCCCCAACCCCACCTACGCCCCCTGCTCCCCGGCACCCGCTGGTGTGTACCCGCTCCCCGGCGCCCGCTGGTGTGTGTCCGCTCCCCGGCGTCCACTGGTGTGTATCCACTGGGTCTTGGAGCTTTTTGGGTGTGTGGCTGTTTTCTTCCTGAGCTGGGGCTGTTGCCCCCTTGGCCTGTGCTGAACCCCAACTCTAGCTATTGCTGTCATGGCAGTAGGGGAAGTAGGGGCAGCTCTCAGTGGGGGACAAGTGTTATCTCATGAGAAAATTTCTCAGTTGAGGTCTTTGCTGGTTCTCCAGGTGAGAAAAGTCTGCTTTCTCTTAGCAAAGATGGAAGGGGCCACTTCCACCAGCCCAGAGCGTTCAGGGAATTTAGGGGTGCAAAGTTCTCAGGCTCATCCACACAAACGTTCTCATCCCAGGGTCTCACTCTTTCCTACGGTGCTTGGACTTCGTCAGGGGAGAAGTGCCATGTCCGTGGGTTCAGGCTCCTTGGTGACTCTGATTGGTGTCAATTGTAATTGGTACAATTGGTATACAATTGGTACACCAAAAACTAATTGGTGACAATTACTTCCTGGGCTTTAGGAGACAAAGGTCTAGTTACATATTTCCATGAAGGCCAGGGGCCCTGTGTTGACAGTCAGCTAGCTTGAGACAGTTGTTTTCCTTTTTCAAAGCTTCTAAGTCCATTAATAAATCCAACCACCCCCACAGTCCTTACACGCCCCTTCACCCTCCACCCACCCCCACAGTCCTTACACACCCCTTCACCCTCCACCCACCCCCACAGTCCTTACACGCCCCTTCACCCTCCACCCACCCCCACAGTCCTTACACGCCCCTTCACCCTCCAACCACCCCCACAGTCCTTACACGCCCCTTCGCCCTCCACCCACCCCCACAGTCCTTACACGCCCCTTCGCCCTCCACCCACCCCCACAGTCCTTACACGCCCCTTCGCCCTCCACCCACCCCCACAGTCCTTACACGCCCCTTCGCCCTCCACCCACCCCCACAGTCCTTACACGCCCCTTCACCCTCAAACCACTGCCACAGGAACAGCATAGCCAGATGCTTCACCTCCACCTGCCCCTCTTCCCCATCCTCTGCCAGTGAGGGTCTATGTAATCACAGTGCCCCCACAGGCCAGGGGTTGTCACAGCCCCATCTGTCACCAGCAGCGTGGTCCTTAGCAATGTCTGGCCCCACTCCAGAATCCTATCCCGAGGGGCCACTTTCTAGGCATCTTAGGAACAAACTGCCTTAGCTTGGGAGCCCCCAAAATCCAGGCCCCGAGAGAAGTGCTCGCATGCAGGTAGCATATTTTGGGAAGTGCACAGGAGGGAGGGGCACTGGGGAGAGTAAAATAGGGAAAGGAGAAGGAATCCAAGGGTGCGTTACTGAGCTGAGACCACTGTGGGCGCTGGGGGCTTAGCCCCTCGGGGCTCCATGTATGGCTTATTCACCAGGTCCTCTCCCCGTCCAGCCAAGGACTGCCCCACACAGTGGTATTAAGGCCTTTTCACCACCAGGCATGATAGTGCATCTGCATGGCTGAGTGTGCTCTGCAGGAGTCCCACGTGGCAGTAACAGAAGAGCCCCAGGGCGGGCAGTGCTGTGCAGCGTGTTAGGGCGAGGGGCTGTTGGATCACAGCTGTGCGCTCTGACACGCACAGCCAAGGCTGGAATAAAAGAGCAGGAGGGAGGTGGGACTGGGGTGGTGTCTGCTGTGTGGGCTCAAGCCAGGCGATCTGGGGCAAGCCCCTGGCCTGGGCCTCGCTCTTCCCGGATGTAACACTGACATAGTCATAACCGTCCCATGGGGTTGTTGTAAGAATTCGTGAGATGGTGTTGGTGAAATTTTCGTAAGCTGTATGGCTCTGCGCTTATATAAGGGATTGCTCCCAGCACCCCTAGCAGTGGCAGACTCTACCAGGATACAGAGGAGTGAGTGGTCTGCCGTGAGCACAGAGGGGGCTTTCAGGGGCTGGGGAAACAGAGTCATCTGTTATTATACGTGAGCGTGGTACCCGACACAGCCCCAGAGTTACCCAGGGCTGCCTCTCCTGCCAATCCCACTCTGTTTCCAGGCTCCTCCCGTTTTGCTGTGGATAAGAGGCCCCTGTAGATGATACAGCGGGACAGAGCACAGTCCAGCTCAGATGCAGGGATCACACCACACCCCGGGGTGTCTTCCTCCAGAGCCCTCCTTTCCTGGGCCCTCCCTACTCTACCCCCCATGCCGGGGAAGCCTGTCAGTGCACCCAGGGGACCGAGGTCATTCTCCTGGTAATGACTGCTGAGATTCCAGAGATATGTGTCAGCACCCCAGGACTGTGACAGCTGTGAGTGAAGCCGGCAGGAGGAGGAGGATGAGACAGTAACTGTAGAGAGAAGGTGGTGTCAGCATGAAGCTGAGCATTTGGGTTCTCCTGCAGGGGCGGAGACGCAGAGAGAGGAGGCCTGAAAGTAGAAGGCAACTTTTCAAGAAGTTTGCCCAAGTCTGCCCCAGGCTCTTCGTCAATCTCCCCCAGCCTCCAGCGGAGTCAGGGAAGTGTGGAGGAGAGAAAGCACGTGGGAAGGGGTGAAGACAGAGAAGGCAGGGGGTGCTGTGTGTGAGCTTGGCACTGGGCGGGCATGGGGGCCATGGGCCACCTCCGCCACCTCCGAGGGGCAAGAGTGTTATGATTGCAGAAGATGTGATACACCTGTCAGAAGCACTTTCCGTGTTCCAGAAAATACAAAGAGAGAGAAGAGAGATCGTGAACAGTCCCCTCCTGAGAGGATGGACAGAAATCATGAATGCCCCAGGGTTAGGAGGAAAATGCTGGAAGAAAGGAAGGTTCAGGACCAGGAACTGCAGCCCAGGCAGACTTGAGAAGCCCAGGAGGGCTCCCTAGCCCTGGAAAGCCCTCCCTGAGCTCACAGCAGGCCACCTGCTTCTCGGTATTCTGGCAGACAGTCTGCCACTGCCGGGGTTCTGGGAGCAAAACATCCTCTGGTTTCCCTCCCTCCCCTCTCCCACCCAGGTCATCCCCCACATTCCCTTTTTAAAGTATTCAGAATTCCCTCTCTCAGCCCATTACTTTCTGAGCCAATAAGAGTAGATCTATTCCAACCTGGAGACCAGGAGAGAGCAGCCCAGTGGGCGGACGGACTCTGTGTGTCAGGGCAATGCTGAGGCCTCTGGTGTGGATCTGGTTACAGCTCCATCGGATCCGGATGATCTGATGCACCTCTTGTTGTTGTTGTTGTCGTTGTTGTTGTTAAGAAGTGATGGCTAAAAGGACACACAAGGAGAGGGTGGGAAGAGAGGAGAGAAGGAGTCGTGGGGAGAACACAGACGTGTGGGAATGGCTGAGGAAGGAGCTGAGGGCAGTGAAGGGCTGGGAGGGACAGGCTCATATTGAGGGAATTGGGACTGGCCAGGCCCAGCTGCCCGCCGCACACAGAGACGAGGACGCAGGAGGGGGTGAAAGGCTGGGTGGATTTCTTCTGTCTTGGCTTCCCAGATATGGCCTAAGGAGGGGACTTGTCACTACATCAGGTAGGGGGGACCAGGGGTCCAGGTGCATCCCCCATCAGTTTTGTGGATTTTTCCCCTCCCCAGCAAAGCTGTACCCTCCATGCAAAGTTCTCGTTTGCTTTTATTATTGAGTTCACGTCAGGGTTCCTGGCAGCCCAGCAGAGCTCTCCTGGCGTCTCAACTCCCCAGAGACGTGACCTGAGACACCTCATGTCCCAACCCACCAAGGCCCTCCCTGAACAGCTCTCCTCTGGCGCTGCAAGGAGCCAGGTGGTGTGGGGTCCCTGGCTTCTGCTCGGCCACCGCTGTCCCTCCGGCGGCACCTCTGCCCCTCTTGGCTCTGTGCTGAGGCCACTCCTGTCTTGTGACTCTGTCTGTGGGGCTGGTTTCTTCTTTTTCTTGTATTTGCTCTTAGACTAGGTGGGACACCTGAGTGACAGCTGGTGGCCCCCCTGCCTGCTGCCTGATCAAGAGGCTTTGGCTTTCCCTGGAGCCCCACCTTCTGACTCCCTGGGAGTGGCTGTGGTGAAGAGGGTTTGTCCAGCAGCTTGGGCACAGGCCACCTTGCTGATGATCTGTACACTCGGCTTTGGCCATCTGTCATCTCACTGGGCCTTGGGAAGTACTTAAGGAGGGTACTTTTCTCCCAATTTTTTTTTTTTTTTTTTTTTGAGACGGAGTCTCGCTCTGTCACCCAGGCTGAAGTACAGTGACGCAATATCGGCTCACTGCAACCTCTGCCTTCCGGGTTCAAGTGATTCTCCTGCCTCAGCCTCCCAAGTAGCTGGGATTACAGGCATGTGCCACCACACCTAGCTAATTTTTTTGTACTTTTGGTAGAGACGGAGTTTCACCATGTTGGCCAGGCTGGTCTTGAACTCCTGACTTCAGGTGATCCACCCACCTCGGCCTCCCAAAGTGCTGGGATTACAGGCGTGAGCCACCACGTCCGGCCCTTTTCTCCCCATTTTATAGATAAGGAAACTGAGATGTGGGAAGCTTTAGAGCGGTACTGTAGAATAGACACTCTCCTGACAGACTGGAGCATCAGGGTGGGTTTGTTCAGCGTGCTTCAGAAATCCTACAGCAGCAGCAATGTCATATCTGTGTCAATATGGTCACCAGGAGCCATGTGTGACTCTTGGAAATGAAGCTCATGCAACAAAGGGACTGAGCCTCACTTTTATTGGAGTTTAATTAAAGCTTTGGGGACTTCTTTGAGAGCATATCTAATTACTTCTTGAACTGGGACCAAACCAGTGTGTTCTAGGTCACCTGTTCCCACCACAGAGGTCACTGGCAGCCCTAAGTCAGTGACTGGGTTCAGGCCATCCAGATGGCTGGCCTTCTCCTCTTCCTCAAGTCCCACCTGGGCTGATTTCCCCCACTGAGAGACCCCCAAGATCTGCAACTCCTGCAGTAGGGCGGTGGGCAGAGGGTTGGAGGCTCCTGGGAATGCTCCCTCCTCTGAGTCTGACCCTCCCACCTGCTGGAAGAAGAAGGGCAGGATGAATGAGAGCCAGGAGGTGCCGTGCAGGTGTGAAGTCCACCGGAAGGGGCTGGTGGGTGGTGCTGCCGAGGGTGGGGGGCTAGGGAGGTCTTTTCGAAAGGCCCTTTACATTCTCAGAAGGCAGAGTGAGCCAGCCAGAGTCTGCCTTCCCATCCCCACCCTATGACCACAGCTGCACCCTTTGCTGGGCAGCTTTCACTCCATGGAGACAGCCCCCACTTGCTTCCCACTGTTTTCTGGGTCTCCTCCCTCTCTCCCTAAAAACCAGTTCTCAGTCAACAGCCTCACAACTGAGTTACAGGCAATGTTCAGCCTCACAAACTCAGCATCTTTGCAGGAGACAATTTGTATTTTAACCAGTGGGAAGCAGTAGAATATTAGGCATCAAAAAGCTCGGCCAGGTGCAGTGGCTCACACCTGTAATCCCAGCACTTTGGGAGGCCGAGGCGAGTGGATCACCTGAGGTCAGGAGTTCGAGATTAGCCTGGCCAACATGATGAAACGCCATCTCTACCAAAAGTACAAAAAAAATTAGCTGGGTGTGGTGGCACATGCCTATAATCCCAGCTACTTGGGAGGCTGAGGCAGGAGAATCGCTTGAACCCGGAAGGTGGAGGTTGCAACGAGCCTAGATCATGCCACTGCACTCCAGCTTGAGTGACAGAGCAAGACTCCATCTTAAAAAAAAAAAAAGAGAGAGAGAAAGTTCAAAAGCAGGGAGGCTTCTCACATCTCTAAAAGTCCTATCAGAGTGACGAGTGGCATGGGCAATACATCCTGGAAAGTCTGTGAACTTCTCCAAGCCTCAGTCTCCAGCTGTACCCATCTGTCCCACAGGCTTGAGTGAGGCATACTGAGGTGACATTTGTGAACTTTCTCCATGAGCTGGCAGGCGGGACACAGATGCCAGCGTTCCACTGTCACCTTAGCACTGAGTCCCGTGAGAGCTGGAAAGACATCCCCTGAGTCACCATCGCCAGGTGCAGGCTCTCCTTCCTGTCCGCACCTGTGCCTGCAAGGTCGCCTCATGTGGGATGGAGAGGTGCAGGGCAGGGGCGAGGGCAGAGGGCTGGCCAGAGGCGGTTGTCACCCATGATTTCCCCTTCTGGTCTGGTCCAGTGTTGAGGATGGTCCAGCGATGCAACCGTAGCACTTCCGGGATGACAGCCCACCCCACACGATGCAACCGTAGCACTTCCGGGATGACAGCCCACCCCACACGATGCAACCGTAGCACTTCCGGGATGACAAGCCCACCCCACACGACTCTCCTGACGCAGACAGAGGCACTCGGGATGGATTCACTCGGCATGCTTAGGAAATCAGAAGCACGCGCCGCAGTCACAGATAGATGTTGTCTTGGTTGCCTGGTGCAGGGCAGACCCCCTTCCATGCCCGGAGTCGGGGGAGGTGAGGAAGGGCACAGAGACTCAGGCTTTTCTTTGGGTTTCCGGCTCCCTGCTTGCCCGTGGTTTGGGAGGTTAGATTGGTGTTTTCTCCGTCCCTCTCTGCTGTACAAAGGGGAATGGAGTGGCATTAGGAGGAACTGCCCAGCTAGACACAAGCCCCGACCATCTGCAGCCCTGGCTGCGTGGACGATGTGTCTGTAGAAAGAAATATCTGTTTTCTGGGCTTGGGAGGTGGCTCATGCCTGTAATCCCAGCACTTTGGGAGGCCGAGGTGGGCGGATCACTTGAGGTCAGGAGTTTGAGACCAGCCTGGCCAACATGGTGAGGCCCCGTCTCTACTAAAAATACAAAAAAAAAAATTGGCAGGATGTTGTGGCACATGCCTGTAATCCCAGCTACTCGGGAGGCTGAGGCAGGAGAATCGCTCGAACCTGGGAGGCAGAGGTTGCGGTGAGCCGAGATCATGCCACTGCACTCCAGCCTGGGCGACAGAGTGAGACTCTGTCTCAAAAAAAAAAAAAAAAAAGAAAGAAAGAAAGAAAAGAAATATCTGTTTCCTGGTTTGTCCCAGAGAAAAGAGTGCAGTGAATGGCAGTGTGGAGGGGAGGCAGAGAGTGACAGAGAGATGCACACACAAAGAAAGATGTAGCGGGAGACACAGAGAAGAGACAGACAGAAAACAGCATGTGGACAGCCCCGACGGAGGGCTGCATGTGAGGATGCCTCTTATGTCTGCACCTGGCTTTCTGGGGAGAATCACAGCTCACAGGAACTGGTGCACCTCCTTCCATTTTACCCACGCGTGCCCAGCCACCCACATGGGCACAGCCTTAAAACAACACGCAAGGAGCTGCCACCATTCCTCCCGGGCAGATACCAAGCAGCCCCAGTGCCTACTACTTCCCTGTTAGCAGGCGTCAGTCCACCCGGGGTGCTGGAGGGCAGTGCAGAGAGGTGGTCTGTGGCTGGTTTCCACTTGGTGGGCCCCAGTACACTTCCACGGCACACCCCTCACCACACCGATGTGAGTTCTGAGAATGCAAACCAGTTTGAGCATAATCCAGAACAAACAGTAATTAGGAAGGTAAACCCGATGTGAAAATAAGCATAATGCATTCCTAATTCAAATAAGAATTATCTGTAGACTCTCTGCTCTTTCTGAATTATCAGTGGAACGTTCCACTCCATTGGCATAGATAATTGAGAGTTAACTGTACTTTCTGTACCAAGGCCTAGGAGATGAGCAGGGCAAGTGCAGTCCATCCGGGTGAAGAGAGGAAATTTCATCAGCAGTCTCATCTGGGCACTGCAGAGAGAAGGGACCTAGAACAAAACCAGGCACTTGGGGAAACTCAATAAGTATTTGTTGAATTAATTACCATGATTTATTGAACATCTACTATGTGCCAGCTGGTTTGTATATGACATGTTTTTGAATCCTCACAAGGTATTGTGGGAATGCGATACTGAGAGAGGTACTGCCGTCCCATTCTGATAGACGCAGACACCAACACTGGAGATGTTTAGTTGCTCGCTCAGAGTCCCACGGGTGGTCGGGGCAGAGATGGGCTGGACTCCGGGTCTGTGACTCCCAGGCTGGAGCGGGCCCCACTTTCTGCTGGAGGAGGGTGTGAGAAACAGCTGTGGCTGGGTGTGTGGTAGAAGGTAGGAGATGCGGGACTACAGTCTTCTTAGGAGCTCAAGATGATCCAAGCTCCACTCTGCTGCTGTTTCTCCAGTAGAAGGGGGCAGTGACTCCGACCCCGCATCCCGGCCTCCACTTCCCATCTTGGGACACTCCTCTACCCTGGGTTTCAGCTTCTCCATCCAACGAGATGGGAAGAATAATATTCACCCTCCCACTTCCTTCCCTCTGCCTTCAGAGGAGGCTGGGGTGGAGCATGAGGCTGAGGGTGCTCTGGGTGCCTGAGATCCAATTTGTCCAGGGTGTTCTGATGATGATAATTATCGCCATGCCCAGTTTCACTGGAATGGCATTTCCGAGGCCTCTCCTTCTACCTCGGAGAGAAAAATCAATAAGCTCACCCAGCAGCCAAATGCAAGCGAGTGCAGCCGCACGGGAGCTGGCCACTAGGACACTTTCTCCTAGCACAGGTCACAGGTTAGGAAGCAGAAGTATTTGCCTGTGAGCTCATCCCCAAACCCCAAAACAGAGTGCTGGTTTCCTGGTGCTGTCCGGTCGTAGGGGAGGGAGCACAGAAGGAAAGCCACCCCCGCCACCCCACCACTGGCCTCAGCAGACACTGTGTGCCTGCACAGCTGCAATGGTAGGACAAAATAAGGAGGCCCCAGTCTCAGATATCAGGATAGAGCAGACAGAAACCAAGAAACGTAGACTGAAATGGAGCAGACCCTTTTGCTGGGTGTCTGTGTTTTGGGATGGGGAGATCAGGGCAGGCTTCCTGCCCACACAGACTTGCGTGCGGCCTTACTCTAAGAAGAGACCCAGTTGGCTTTGCATTTTGCATTTCTTCTTCTTCTTTTTTTTTTTCAAGATGGAGTCTCACTCTGTCACCCAAGCTGGAGTGCAGTGGTGCAATGTCAACTCACTGCAACCTCTGCCTCCTGGGTTCAAGTGATTGTCGTGTCTCAGCCTCCTGAGTAGCTGGGACTGTACGCACGAGAGCCACCACCATGTCCGGCTTATTTTTTGTATTTTTAGTAGAAACAGGGTTTCACCATGTTGACCAGGCTGGTCTCGAACTCCTGACCTCAGGTGATCCACCTGCCTCAGCCTCCCAAAGTGCCGGGATTACAGGCATCAGCCACGGCACCCGGCCTGCACTTCTTCTTGAGAGGCTACCCGTGGCCAGGCACCGCGCAGGCAATGGGGATGATAGTGAGCTGATGTCGGTGGGGCTGAGCGGAAAGACATCTGCCCATGTTCTAGACCAGAGCTGCCCAATAGAAGCATAATGCAGGCCACACATGGAAATGCTTAATTCTTCAGCACCCACATTGAGAAAGTAAAACAAACAAAACTGGGGGCACTCAATTATACGCTTTATGTAACCCAATATACCTGAATATGATCATTTTGACATGTAATCTAGATACAAACTATTTTTTCACTCTTTTTATGGTCCCAAGTCATCAAAATCCCATGTGCATTTCACACACACACACACACACACACACACCCACACACACAGGGAGTGTCTCAATTAGAACCGGCCGTGTTTTAGCTCTGAATGCCCACATGTGGCCCGTGGCCCCTGCACTCAACAGCACCAGGTCTACACAAAACTCTTGAAGAACCAGGAAGCAGTTTTTTTTTTTCTTTTGAGACAGACTCTCACTTTGTCACCCAGGCTAGAGTACAGTGGCTGGTGCAATCTCAGCTCACTGCAACCTCCGCCTCCCAGGTTCAAGCAATTCTCCTGCCTCAGCCTCCCCGGTAGCTGGGACTACAGGCATGCCCACCATGCCTGGCTAATTTTTGTATTTTTAGTAGAGACAGGGTTTCACCATGTTGGCCAGGCTGGTCTTGAACTCCTGACCTCAAGTGATCCACCCGCCTCAGCCTCCCAAAGTGCTGGGATTACAGGTGTGAGCCACCGCACCTGGCTTCCAGGAGGCAGTTTGTACCTAGATTCCTGGCAGAACCCCCTTGCTCGGAATCTGGGCTCCCTTATCACAGACTCCTGCTCCACCTCTCAGCCACTAAGGCCCTAAAGAGCTGCAGAGGAGATCAGAGGCAAAGTCCATTTCTACCACAGCAGCTGTGGGAGCGAGGACAGCGCCATGTGAAAGGAGAGCAACATTGGTGTCTTCATGATAAAATCATCTCTGTTTTTTTACCAAAATTTTTTTCCAAGGAAAATGAACCCACAGGGCAGGGAGAACATCAGGGTTTCGGTGCTGCCTTCTGTCAGGCTCGAGCTGCACCACAGTGGGCCTTCCCTCTGCTGGTGATGCCCTGGCCTTCCTCCCTTCATGCTCTCCCACTCCCACCTCCTCCACCATCAGGCCTGCTCCCCTAGCCCGGAACACCTACCTCCCCCAGTGGTTTCCAGCCACCTTCCTGTGGGCCAGCATAAGTGATTCTCCTTCTAAATTGCCTCCCAATAGGCAGTGAGCAGACCACTTTTTCCTGTAGAGAAGAACTTGGCCTACTCAAGGCTCCATTGACCCTCTCCACAGCATTTACTCTCAAAAACACAATTCCAATACAGTAAAGATTCTAGTCTTCCCAGTGTGGATTTCCAATTACCCACACTCAGCCAAGTGGCAGCCACTTCATTATAATTCTGTAATTGCCATATAGAATTCCCATAAATTTGCTGTTAATTTTTAACCACTGCATCCTTCTCTTAGAAAGTGTAGCAATAATTTGAAAATCCATAGACAATATTTTTAAGTGGATAGAGGCAGAGCAGGGGGAATAAATCCAATGGGGCTGGGTTTAGAGAAAATCCTAATAAAACAGCAGTAGGGGGTTGGCGGGGGGAGGTGAGTATGGGGCTTCCTCCAACTTCAATGCAAACATTTCTTCCTAATATATGGTGTGTTGGTGGCAGCAAGGATTGATCAGAGTCTGATCCGGGAAGATCCTGCTCTTAAATGAGAATGGCTGTGTGCACCAGGTTCTCTGTTAATAGGCACATTCCCTGCCCCCACTGGGAGGTAATTTACAAGCCCGGCTTCCGAGCGTAATCTCCCCACATTGTGCTGCTCCCCGGTGCCTCCCAAATTGCAACACGGACCAGGTCTATAAAAGGTGCTTTGGAGGAAACGGCAGCCATGCCGGCATGCCTGCCCCTGCCCCCACCGAGCAAGTGAACACCCAGGTGCTCAGCAGAGGAATTAGCCTGCCTTTCAGGAGATGCTAATGAGGCAAGTTGGAAGCGGATGAGGTTCAGCCAGGAAGGAAACTGTTGGCCCCACAGAAGCCCTGGGCACCAGGGGCTGGCACAGAGGCCAGACAGATAGTCCTCACAGCAGCCTGCTTCCCTCTGGGGGTCAGGGATGGCAAAAGCTGGATCTCCTAAAGGGAGACAGAGCCAGTGAGAGTGTGCAGGGCCCCAAAGGGAGCAGCAGGCTAACTCAACAGGCGAGGATGTTTTGGTAAAAGGTGGCCATCAGCAGGGCTAGCCGCTGGCCACCCCTGCAAAACAGAGAGTTCACTGACACCCGTGCTTGTTTGGGCCCAGGGAGACAGAGGTGTAGGCAGCCACGGCGGCTCCAGGGTCTGGCTGGAGCTGTCCCTGGTGCTGACGGTCTCACTCTCGTGCCCGGTCCTTCCAGCTCTCGTTCCGTGCTGCCAGGAGGGTTTCAGCCATGGACATCCACATCCAGCCCCCGTGTCCACCCCTAGAAAAAGGAGCTATTGCCTCCAAGCTGGGAGGGTTATCAGGCAGCAGCAGCAATAAGAAATTGGGCCACAGAGCGATTTGAAGGTCCTGGTGTTTGATCTATTGCGGGGCTGGCTCCTTGCAGCTTTGCTGCTCCCGAGTTTGGTGACCTGAGAGAATTAAAGCTGCCTTAAATACAGTCTCTGTTGGCTGTATATTAATCAAGCAGGAATCAAAAGTCACAGCATCCTAGGGAAGTAAGAGCAGGAACAGACGGCTCCCCCCCATCCTGATGCAGCAACTCTCAGTGGGAGGAAAGGCCGGGAGCGGCTAAGAGCAGCATAGGGCCCTCAGCTGGCTGCCAACTTCCCACACCTCCTTGCCAGTGAATTCTCAGAAACCTCATGCCTTGGAACTGGAGAGTTGTGTTGGGGCCAAAACATCGCTGGACCCCAATGCTAGAGTGGATCAGGAAAGGGGAGGGATTTTCCTCCCAGGATCAAGAGGGAGGAGACGGTAGGGGGTTGGCAGGGGTGGCAGCCTCAGAATAGCTTCACACCTAACTCAAGACAAGCTTCCACACCCCCACCAGATAGGCACTTCCCCTGCTCTTGGGCAACTTTTAGGGACTAAAACACATCAGCATCCACTGCCCCATCTCTGCTCACCGGGCAGCAATTCACACAACTTCCCTGGTGTATCTTAGGCTGCCGGGAGGGAAGAGGCTGCCCAGGGTCCTGCCTAACCCTGCCTTCTCCTTGCTCTCAAAGCCTGAGAAAGGAACTCTTATCTGGCCTCTGTCATTGTGGAGGTGTGGGGAGGTGAGTCTGTAGGTTACCGTCTGCATCTGTTCCTTTGCTTCCTGGCAGATATGCTCGTCCCCACTCCCTTGAGTCCTGGGACAAGCTCAGCTCCCATGAGGCTTCGTTAGAAGGACCTTGCACCCCTACCTCCCGCCGCCGGCCGCCTCGTCACTCCATGGCCCGGCCCCTGTCTGCAGCTTGGCACTGGCTGCCTAGCAGTGCATCGGCCTCCCCAGGGCCACGCACTCTGCCAGGACAGTAATGCCTCTCCGGGCCTTTGTGTGCCTTGGGCTCCTAATGAGCTTTTAATGAGCTGACGCTTTGGCTTTAGGGGGCATGCAGGGGCAGGGGACGAACAGAGTGCCCGCCCCTCACATTCTGTTTCCCGAGGCCTTGCGGTTGCTTTTTAACTCACTGAGTGCTGGGGCTGGGGCTACAGGCAGCTGCTTTTTCCAGAGTCTTTCAGGTTTGGTCAGAGTTTGAAGGTCCTAACTTCCCAGTCCTGGGGTGCGGGGTACCCCCGGGCCACCATTCCCTCTCTACAGTGCTGCACGTGCTCTCCATGTGGCCTCTCCTTGCCCAGTGCTGGAGGAAGGGATATTGGTTTCTCTGTTAAGTAAGATTTTCTAAAAATTGATGGCAAATGGGAGCACCCAGCCACTTCACTGCTGGAGGTGGACCCTTGCTGCCTCTACCCAGGGGTCAGCTCAGACCCACCCGCTGTTGATGGAAGAACAAACCTTGACCTCTTCCCATGGGTCTCTACTCAGGAACCCTGAATGCTGTTTCCTCAGTTCAATTCTAACCAAACATGGTGCAAATTCATGCCGGCCGTAGCAATGGGAGCTACCCAAATTGTACCCACATTGTGTGTACAGTCTTCCCTTTTGGACACCCTGAGAGTGCAGGGCTCCTGTTCCCCATCGGTATGCAAGAGCTGTGCTCACTCAGCCCCCTCCCTTTATGCACGGCTTTGCTCTACAAGTTTTGGTCAGTGGCCCCAGTCCCTCCTGGGAGCTACAGGGAGCGGCAGTGGCTTCAGCTTCTGGTCTAAGCTCCCCCTTGTCACTCTTTCAAAGCCTTCACCCTTTGAATAAAATTAAGACGGAAAAGGTTTGTGTACCACGAGGCAGAGTTTCTTGGCACTCAGGGTGATAAAAACCTAACTGGGCTCCCCGGAGAGACAGCAGGGTCTCCCCCAGTGGAGAGCTTCAAGGGGAAAAAAAAGAGAGCACGTGTCTCTGAAGGCTTTGGTGTCTGCCAGCTAGAAGGCCGGGGACTGGGCGACGTGATGCCACTTCCCCTTCCAGCCCCATCACTCTTGTCCCTGAGGACTCCTTTCTTCTTCTTCACTCTGTTTTTTTGTTTTTTTTTTTTTTTTTGGTGAGACAGAGATTTACTCTTGTTGCCCAGGCTGGAGTGCAATGGCGCGATCACGGCTCACCGCATCCTCCGCCTCCCAGATTCAAGTGATTCTCCTGCCTCAGCCTCCCGAGTAGCTAGGATTAAAGGCATGTGTCACCACGCCTGGCTAATTTTGTATTTTTAGTAGAGATGGGGTTTCACCATGTTGCCCAGGCTGATCTCAAACTCCTGGCCTCAGGTGATCCACCCGCCTTGGCCTCCCAAAGTGCTGGGATTACAGGCGTGAGCCACTGCACCCGGCCTTCACTCTGTTATTTGATTGGGGGAAAGAGGTGACCTCAAACAGGAGGCTGGAGTTGACCCTGATGCTGAAGGAGAGCAAGTGGGGGTACCAAGAGTGATGTTAGCGGTGCATGCCTCCTGGGTGGGCTGCGTGGAGCAGCGAGTGATATGGGTTTTCCTTGGCTGGTGCGATCCCTGCCCTGGCAGGAGCAAAGGCTGTCATCAGTCATGTCTGCAGTGGGGGCCCAACCATCCAAGGGCACTTCACTGGATACCCAGTCCGAGCTGGAGTCATCATCTCCAAGCAAATATACAACTTCCCAAGCCATTCAGGACTCTCTTTTCTGTAGCCATCTATGGTCTGGGCACAAGGGCACACATGCACAGGCTTGGGCAGGACAGGAGGGCTCGGGGCTGGTGGGTCAGCTGAGCACGGGGTGAGGGCCCAGGAAATTGGGCGCTGCATGGAAGATCAGCTAGGAACGCTGAGGGAGGGCTTCCTTGGTCTAGCAGCAGCTCCTCTCCTTGGCGTCATCACAGGGCTCAGCAACCCACTGAGTCCTCGCGACCTCCTGCCTAATGAGAAAGAGGAAATTCGAGATAATTGCTGCACAGACGGAGCGGTGGTGTGATTAGTAAACGCCCAAGCTATTGCAAATGACTATTACATTAACGGATTTGGTTTGGGGTTGATCCTGTTAGGAGAGAGAGCCAAGGGCTAACGACGAGCATGTTCACAGAAGGGCATGAGCCCAGCACAGTAGTCGAAGGGAAGAAAAGGGCTCCCATAAATCCAAGTTCCAAGTCTTGCCTTCTGGCCCAGACGCTGCCTCTAACTGGTTGTGTGACCTTGGACCACCTCTGTGATCCTAAAAGGGTCATCATATATCGAATGGGCATCATTACACCTTCCCTACCTAACTTGTGATGATCAGGTGAGATACATGAAGGCTCTTTGAAAAGGTTAGGAAAGCACTGAGCAGATACAAGGTATTGTTACAGTTAGCAATCAGTAATAATAAATTGCCATTCTCCCCCTTTGTGTGCTTCTGTTCCTGGGAAGTTTAAGCAAATGGCCAGGCTCTTGAGCCTTCAGATGAGAGACAGAAATCAAAGTGCCCCCCTCTTCCTTTGGCTTCTGTGGGATTCTGGGCCCAGTTTGCCAAACGGTGGCTTGGCCACAGCTGGCACTGAAGACCAAAGATCTGTTTCTCCCAGGCTCTGCTCAGCCTAGGCTGTCTCCTTGCCAGGAGCTCATGGCCCAGATGCAGCAGGAGCTTGCAACGAGCTTTCCAGGGCCGCAGCTTCCAAGGCCTCTTACCCACCGAGCCCTGGGGTGGAACATCACAGTGCTGGCTGCTTTCAGATGTTCCTTTTGCTCGGTGTAGAGCTCGCTCGCCTTCCACAGAAGAGGAGAAGGGAGAAGTCCTGGGGGCTCATTTAAAATAAATAAAGCTTGGCAACAGTGCGGAGTGGAAGGAGCAGAGTGAGCGGCACCCACAGCCCCTTCTCTGAGCGCATTCCTCCGGCTCCTGGGCCCCCGAGGGGAGAGGAACTTGCAAGAGAGAGATGTGCTTATAACTGCAACCCTGTGCAACTCCTGGCTCTGCCCATATATCTCAAGTGTGCCCTTCGCTTTCAGTCTCCCTGTATTTATTATGTTTAATTTTGCTGGGACATGGTTGTAAGTGAGACGGATGGACCCGAATGTGGCTGGCAAACGCCTCTTAATTAAACAGATAAATAAACTTCCTTTGCACGCCGATTTTTACTTTTGCTGCAGTCTCTGCTGGGGCCAGGGGGACAGTGCCAGTGGGTGGGGGACCCCCGCTGAGCCGGAAGGTGAGTGCTGGCCCCGGCAGCTGGGCTGGGCTTAGCTTTCCCTCTGCACTGCTGAGGACCCCTGGCAGAGGGAGGCAGAGGGGGTTGGGGGTGGGGAGCACCCCAGCAGCCCTTCCTCGCAGGCCAGCCGGTGAAGGTGGTGTGAGTGGGCCCTCTGCTGGCCACCTCCAGCGAGGCCTCGCCTGCCAGGGCTGCACCGACGGCTCATCCCTGGGCTTGCTTCACCCCTGCTTGCAGGGACCCTCTGCCGGCTTTTCTGCCCTTCTGGGGAGATTAAACAGGCCAGAACAAAGTGGAAGCAGCCCCCGACTCCTGATATAAGGAAGCCGCCTCCTCTGGGAATGTGAGAATTTCTACATTTTTTTAAAAAAAGGCTGACGAGTTTCCCATCCCCAAGCTGACCTTGCCCCATGGTGTCTGCCGGGTTTCCCATCCGCAGCCTGACCTTCCCCCATGGTGTCTGCTGGGTTTCCCATCCCCAGCCTGACCTTGCCCCGTGGTGTCTGCTGGGGGCATCCCATGAAAGCCTGAGTGGGGGCTTCTCCCTGACTCCAACCCTGTTGCCCTGGCTGCTGAATTGGGACATTAATTCCCCTGCAAAGTGTTCCATGGTGATACAGGACTCCAGCTGGTCAGAGTGGCTTCTTGGCTCTCCCCACACCCCATCACACACACACAGGCACGCACACATCCTCCCATCCCTGAGCCATGCCCACCCCACCCCACTGTGGAGATCTAGTTCTGCCACTCTGCCTCTTTCGTCCCCCAGTGCTCATGCCCAAGCCCAGGCCAAATACCCCAGGGCTGGGGCAGGAAGGTCTGGCTCTGCGGAAAGCACGATGTATTTGTCGATGAAGGCTCGGCTTGGCGCGGCCAAGCACAGCTGCAACCAGAGACTGTGAGCTCACTCCTTGTCCTGGGAGCGCTGCTGCCAAGCTGCACACTGTCCTCACGGCGCAGGGGAAGCCTGAGGATGGTCGGCCTGGGCGCCTGGAAGGGGAAAGAGGGGCAGGAGCATGAGGAATTCACCTCCCTTCCTCCCCTAAAGGGAGTGTGGAGTTGCTTCCTTTCTACTATGATTTGCCACTTGCCACCTTGGGAATTTCCAAAGGACATGGGTAGGGGTCAAAAGAAATACTCCCCCAAGTCATCTGACCACAGGACTCATTTGGCCCACCTTTTGTTAAAAACACAGGCCACCTTGGAGTCTAGTATTCCCCTGCACACCTTTTAGCAAATGCTCTCCCAGGGAGAATCCTGTGTGTCCATTTCACAGAGGTACACACTGAAGAGATTCAGGGCATCTGGCAAGGTTACGTGGGCCAGAATTTCCCAGGCAGGCACGCTCAGGGAAGCTGGGGAAGACACGCCCTGCCCAACTGGAGGAGAGGCAGTGCCTGCACCCTCCAAGGCCCCTGCCAGGGAAGGTGACATAGGATGGGGGCAGGAAGGAGCCAGGAGATCTCCAAAGCCTTGGAACCATCGGAACCTTCTGAGGTGCCTCCCTTGCCTGATATTTATAGTGGTGCCCAGGAGCGCAGAAATAATTACAGCTCAGTTCCTGCCTGCCTAACAAGGCCCTTCTCAGATTCAGGGCGAATGGGGTATTTTTTCTTGCCTCTTTTTTTTAAGTAGTGAATATTAGCACTGGAGTGACAGCTCTTCCCAGCACGCAGCCTCCCTCCGCCCCAGGAGCGGGGGCAGCACAGCCACCAGGAGCACAGGCTTCCCCCACCCCCTGCTCAGGGCCACCCACCCCAGTCCACAAGGCACCAGGGGCTCGGGAGGGCTGCATGGGGCCTGGAGAATCTGAAAAGCTTCGTACCGCCCTGGTGCCAGGTACTGGAGGTAGGAGGTGATGAGGGCATGGTTCCTGCCGGTGGGGTCCGCAGAGTCAGGCCTGCGCGACACTCTGAAACGATCACAGCGGAGCACTGAGGTGCGTGCTGTTCGCTAACTGGCTCGTGCTGAAGCACAGCGTAACAGCCCCTGTCCCAAGAAATAAGCCAAACACACACGTTCAGATCCTTTTTCTGGAGGTATTATTTTCATTCCATTCTGCTATTCTCAGTCCTCTCTCTCTGGAGCTGGGTGTGATGAGCCGCCTGATGGAGGCAGGTGTCCAGACATGCTCCTGGGCCCAGTGCAATCTGGAGGTGAGGCTGGAAGGCAGGTGGCTGGGCAGAGAGGCACACAGGTGACCAGATGCAGGGCTGCCAGAAGTGATGCAGATGCAGATAGTGGGGACCACCCTGGCTTTCTTTGGGCCAATGACTGAGCTCAGGGGTCCAGGAAACCTTCCCTGGCCACACCCCAGATCTGAGCTCTCCCTGTCCTGGGCTGTCAAAGCTCTCAGTACATTAGGCTGCAGTCTTCGTTTACAAGCTTGGTTTCCCCCACTAGACGGTGTGCTCACTCCAGGGCAGAGAACTTGATTTCTGCAGCCCCAGCACCGAGCACACTGTCTGCATATAGTGGGTTCTCAATAAGGAAAAACAGTAGCGTTGACTCAAAAAGTGGCTCTGTGTCAGGCATGGCTTAGGAAGCACTCCCAAATCCCTTTCTGGAGGGGATGAGGCTTGGATTCCACAGGAGATACTTGGTCATAATGGTCATAATGGCAAATTAATGAGCAAATGATTCACAGGCAGGGTGGATCTGGAGCCTGGGTTTCGGCTGAATGCTATGTGGCTGTCCCGAATTCCTGAGCATCCTCCAGGGAAGGTGCAGCAGGGCAGTGGTGACGGACAGGTGCCCAGAGAAGACAAAAGAGGGATGGCTTCTGGAACAAGCAAGAACAACCTGACTCAGGAGGGAGGCAGCAAGGGCCACTCCAGGGCACCACGCTCACGAGGAGCCCTTCTGCGAGGCTCAGGTGGCAAATGCTACAACCCACCTCATCTTCCTGGCCCAGGCATGCCCGGCCCTTGCGCTGGGACCCCCACCACTGTCCTAGGCTGGGAAACCAAGTTACTGACAGCAGGGAGGGCCTCATCAAGTCCATAGCCAAGACCCTGTGGAGACAGACCAGCCCCCTATCCTTGTCCTGTGCCAGCACCACCCCAGAGGGAACACAGAGCAGGATTGCAGGTCAGACCACACGGCTAGATGGCCAGCTCGCCTGCCTCGTCTCTCCCCTGAGCCTTCTCTCTTCCCCTGTCTGCCTCCCTCCCGGACTCCACATCCCAGCTCCTCTACGAAGAAGATGAACAAGGGGCACCTGAGAGAATGGTCCCAGGTGCCTGCACCTACCTGCCTTGTTCAAATGGAGCCTCCTAAACTGGGCGTGGAGAGGCCACCCTTCTCTCCCTCCCTTCCTTGTTCCCTCTTCCTCAATGGCCCTCAGGCCACGTGTCCTGCAGTGGGTGCAACAGGGATCTCAGACAACATCTGACCCATCTCTCGGGCTGGATGTGGAAACCAAGGCCCCAAGGGGACAATCGACCTTCCTGAGATCACACAGCAAGTGAGGGTCCGACATGACTGCCGGGCCAGCCATCTCCCCACTGCCAGGCGGCCCCAGGCCTGCCTCCCTCCAGCTCAGGGCTCACTGTCTGCAGTGAGAGGAGGGGAGTCACAAGTGCCCTAAGGTAGGACAGGTGCGTTCAGAATGGGTACTGGGTGCCTGGGATCTGCCCCTTTCCTGGAAGGCGTGAGGTTAGGCATGAGCCACTGGCTCTGCCTCTGACAGTGGCCACTGGCAGCCCATCCCTCTTGCAGCCAAGCTCACCTGTGGCTTATCCTGGTAAACTGAGACTGATCCACGGGGCCTCTGGTGAGTGTGGACTCGGGGCAGGCCAGTGGGTGTGTGTGTGGCCGCTGAAGCTGCAGGTGTGTGCACAGTCACAGTGGTGGAACAAGGGGCACTGCCGAGACCTCTGCCACATGCTGAATGGGGCAAGGAGGTGGGGACCTATGCACGCCTGTCCCGTGGGAGCGAAACACGTCAAGTCCAGTGTGTCTGGGTACAGGGAGGGGAGGATGCATTGTGGCCGGTGCCCGTGTCCCCCACCCCCATCTAAGTAGCCACAAGACCAGGTGCCTGTGGCAGGAGGCTGGGATGTATGATGGGGTCTGGGGGCCAGCAGGAGGGCAGGAGACGCTCCTGGAGGCTCTGGTTGGATTTCCAAGCCCTGGGCAGCCAGAGAAGCCTTCCCCAGCGCGGAAGCCTCTGCGTAGATGCCCTCGGATTACATCACCGACATCCCCGCCACTGAGCCGGCCTCCCTTAGGAAAGGCGCTTCTCTGAACGCGAAACAGGACGAGGCGCCTTCCGGTCGGTCGGCCGCAGAGCCGGCGGAGCGGCTCCTCCTCTCCGCAGCGGCCGGAGAACGGAGCGGGGGCAAAGGGAGATTCCAGACCCCCCAGGCCAGGAGCAAGTGCTGGCAACGGGGGGGAGGAGGGGCGCGCAGGGGCCCGAGCGTGGGAGGGCGCGAGGGAGGGCTGCCCCGGTGCCGGCGGGCGAGGGGTTAAGTGTGGGATCAGCTGTTGTGCCGTCGCTCCGGATTCTCTTCCCTCCGCGCGGGGCTCCGTTTGATGTTGGAGTACGCCAGGGACTCCCCCTCCCACCGCTACACACGCGCGCACACGCGCGCACTCACACACGCACACGCACCACTCTTTGCAGACAGGGCTCCGGAGGCTCCAAAGTGACTGACTCCTGCTCTCGCCCGCTCGCCCGATCTCTCGCGCACAGACTCTCTGGCCGTATTCTCGCGCGCGCTCTCTCCAGCCTCCCCGCCCGGGCAGGGGGAACACCGGGCAGAGGCGCGCCGCTCTCCTTTCGATGCCTCCCTCTTAAAGAGCGCCACGAGGGGGAGGGGAGGCCCAGAGGAGGAGGAGGAGAGAGACCGGGAGGGCGCCCGGGAGGCAGGGCGCGCGCACACTCCGAGGGACGCAGCGAGCGCAGAGCCGCCGCCGGGCGCCCCCCTGCCGCCCCATGCTGTGCTCCATGGCGAACTCGGGCTGCCTCCTGCTGTCCAACTCCGGCAGCATGCTCCCGCACTCCGTGCCCTGCCCGCCCGCCTTCCTCTACCTCCAACAGGTAAGCGGCCCCCCGCCCGGCCCCGGCCCCCGGCCCGGCGCACGTGCGCCCCGCGCTGCCGCCCACGCCCCGCACTTGGCCGCCTCTGCGCCGCCGCCGCCACCGGTGGCCCCCGCTGCGCTCCCCGCGTCATGGCGCCGGGGCTGGGGTAGGGGGAACTGCGCCCCTGCGCGGCGGCCGAGCGCGGGGGCGCCCAGGGCGCGCGCGGCGCGAGGCGGGGGGGCCGGAGTTTGGGGCGTCGCTCGCAACTTTTCCGAAGGCGCGGGAGGGGGCGGCGGGCGGAGTCTCCGGGGAAGCCCGAGGGGAGGGGGCGGGGGTTCTCGGCGCCCGGGTCACTTTGGGGAACTTCGCGCCGGGCCGCTGGGGACTCGGGGCGGGGAGCGGGGCATCCTCCCTGGCAGCGTCGGGAAAGCCGGGGGGCGCGCAGAGGTGGCGGCGGGGGCGCCGAGCTCTGCTGCAGCGCAGACCGCGCGCCGGGCCTCCGGGGAGGCGGGGGAGGTGGGCCACCCGCCTGGCGAGGGAGGCCCCAGGAGCTCTGGCCGGGGAGGGGGCTGGGGCCAGACTTTTGCAATCTTGGGGGCTGCGCAGGAAGCTCCGGCTGGCGAGTTGGGGTTGGGTGGGGGCAGGAAAGTCGGCGACTCTGAGCCACCAGATCCCCAGGATGCCCCGTGGGGAGGTGCGCACAGAGCATCAGCAGCCGCCTGCCCGCCGGCCGGCCGGGGCGTTGGGGGAGGGGACGGGGGTCCTGCGCTGCCACCCAATGCGGAATTAGTGCAGTCCCAGGCCTGCACTGGGGACAGAGGGGGACTCCCTCGTCTCCCCCAGGCCCCTCGGCCTCTGTGGGCCGCAGTTCCCGGCGCCAGCCTGGCCCGGGCTTCAATACCCTGGCCTCACCCACCCTGGCTGCCCACATCTCTGGGCCTGTCTCTTCCTCCTGGCGCTGTGGCGTCTGCCTTGTTTTCGGTTCCCACCCTCACCCTCTGCTTGGGCCTGCAGGGGTGGGGGCGGCTGCTGGAGGAGCCTGGTGGGATTGTGAGCACTTCAGGCTCATCCTGGGGCCTGCAGGGCCCAGTGAGAGGGGTTCCCATAGGACGCGTTCTGCACCCCGTGTTGGGGGCTTCGAGACTGGAGAGAGAGAGAGTACAGGGTGCCCACCCCAAGGAACTTGGCCAGGCCAGGCCAAGAGTCTCCATGAAGATGTCTCCCCACCCCCGCTTCCATGCACACGTTGGAGGAGAAATGGAGAAGAGTGATTGTGTGTTTGTGTGTGTGTGTGTGTGTGTGTGTGTGTGTGTGTGTGTTTCTTGGAGACAATGAGAGACTCCAGGGGTCTGGGCCTTTGGGTGATGGGTTCTTACCCGTTTGTGCCCCTTGGCCCTCCAAGGAGCTATAGAAGGTGGTTTAAGGTGGAGCAATGGACAGAGAAGGCAAAGATGGGACCTTCCGAGCTGGCCCAGGGCAGCTAGCCCCTGGGCACTTGGGTCAGCCCGTTACAAGGGCCCATGCATGAGGGACTGCCAAACGTAGCAGCCGCAGAGGGACAGGGGAACTGTGTGATGGTCAGGAGCAGAGGCTGGTCCAGGAGCAGAGGGTGGCCAGCAGTGGCAGAGGGTGGCCGGCAGTGGCAGAGGGTGGCCGGCAGTGGCCTGCAGCCCAGGGCCCTTGATCTTTGGTGCCATCTTCCCAGGACCACCTGTGACATCTGGGGACTCCTGGACACAGCCCAGGAGCCACTGGGGAGCCCCCAAACTGACAGGCAGGAAGTCATCCAATCCCAGGCCATGGCCATTGCCCTAAATTCCCAGTTGACACTGAATCACAGGGAGTCAGGATAGGCCTCCGAGGTCAGGTTCCCAGCCCCTCCCGGTTTTCCATGAGCATAGGACTGACTTGGGAATCTCTGGGGTGGCCAGGTCAGGTTATTGGGGACAGATCTGCTGTACAGCCACCCAGGCATGGCAGGAATGTCCCAGGCAGCAGGAAGCGTAGCTCTGGGTTTCTGCAGATAGAGTGTAGGATTTAGAGTAAGGGTCCTGGTCTGGAGACCAATCCATGGTTTATTGATTCTGTTGTCTTAGTTATCACCACTCTGAACCTCAGTGTCTTCCTTGAATGACATAGTCCTCACTGGCTGAATGTGAGGGCTGAGTTAAGATGAAGTAGAGGCAAGCCTCCGAAAAATGGCAGCCACACATTTGGCGCTGTCTCGGTAGAATTAGACCAGCGCTCATAGTTGGGGTGAGTCCACCAACATGACCCACGGGGAAGACACCCCGATTTCTCCAGAGCTAGGTGAATGCATCCCTGACTTGTGGCATTTGGAGCTTTCTGTAGGGGCAGTGGGAAGGCAAAAAGATGTCCACGGAGCCATAGCCATCCCGAATTGTCCCTGGGAAAGCCAGAGCCTGCTGTTGCCCCGGGCTTTGAGCATTCACTTTCCTTCCCTCGCCCGCGGCTGTTCTGCTGGGGTGGTTGGCCATGTGTCTCGGTGGACTCCGGAAAGGTCTAGAATGCAGCCATTTCCTGGCTATTTGTGGGTGTATGTTTTTAGGTGAGCACACACAGCTGGGGCGGTCCAGAACCGTTAAGAAACAAATAACGACATTTAGTTTGGGAACCCGCTTATCCCAAACCACCTTTGGAATGAGCCAGAGCCTGCAGCAGCCCCCGGAGGTAAAGGCCACAGGAGGAGGGGCCTAGGGCCATACCCGGCCAGGCCTCTAGAAATGAGAGCCTGTGGTGCTCCAGCCTCCCAGGTGGGGGCTGCAGGTCCTCTGCGTGAGTGTTGGCACCATATGTAGGCTGTACATTCAATCTCAACAGCACATTTGATAACAAGAGCGGGAGCAAAAGACGTGAAATCAAGCAAGACAGGAGACGTAGTTTGAGGCACATTAAGATGCAGCATTTAAACAGGCTTTCTAAGCCTATAGTCTTTCACACTGGAAATTACCAACTAAAACCTCACCCAGCGGAATTCCGTTCTACTGAAGCATGAGCCTTTTCCTGCTGCCTTGGGTTGGACCCTAGGTAGGCTGGGGATGGGGTGTGTCCCTCCTGAGACACAACAGTTCTGTGATTAATTAGAGGCACTTGTTGTTGGTCCCTCTGTCTTCTCAGCCCCTCTCCCAGCAGCGGAGGTGATATTTCTGAGTTCCGACCATCCCGGGATGATTTCGGATCATCTGACACCAGGAGAACTCCAGCTGTGCATTGGGCTCTGGTGTTTGTTAAGAGCTCATGAGGGGTGACCCTGGGCCACACTCACTTCATGCCCTTTGAAGCTTTCCTGCCCACTCAGCCCACCTCCAGGAGCCCCACTTGGGCGCCGGCCTAGCTCCCTGAAGGGTAGCCCCGTGCCGTGGTCCCCCAACATCTGACCCCTCCTAGGAACCCTGAAGCTTTTGTTGCTGGTGCATGATGGCCAGTGAGGAGGGTTGGGGCTGATACTGGTCACCTTTCAGGGCAAGAAGGAGCTCATCTGAAAATCTAGACCATCAGCAGGACTCTCTGGGAGGCCCTGGCCTGGGATCCAGTGGACCAAGTTTGAGAGGATAGGAGGAAAAAACCCCAAGCTCGAAAAATGGGATTTTGTCACGGTAATTACTTTATTATTAAACTGCAGTCTCCTATAAAAGAGAATCTTATTCCATCCTATTGCAAGCCAGTAAATGGCTCCGGGGGAGAGGGCTGTGAGTGCCTTCAAGTATTGTAAGGGGAGGGGAGGGGGCTGGCCGGGGGAGAGGGACTGGCCCTGAGAGGACCCAGGGTCTTCCTGGGGGACGCGTCGTGAATTCCGTTGCTTTTGCTCTCCGTGTGTGCTCAATCAAGGTGAAATCACAGATAGTCTCCCTTGCTGAGGTAAACATCACCAGGCACCGGAAGCTTCCGTGGAGGATGCGGCGTTTCCGAGCGGCTTCACGGTGCCCAGCAATTGCTTCTTGGAGTTGTTGATGGCAGAGCACGTTCCCTCTGGTTGTGGAACCCAAAGGCTCCGCCGAGGGGCAGGGGGATTCTAGGGTCTGTTCTGAGATTCATTAGGAGGCACTGTTCTTATTAATAATCATTCTCTCTTCCCTCTAAGGTAGCGAGGCTGCTAATCACAGGCATTTTTAATCAGGATTAATTACTGTGGCAGACGTAGCACCACCCCTTGCACCTTGCGTTTAGTCTCTGTTCCCTGGGCTGTTGATGCTTCCCCTGTTGACTTGGTGGGATTCCAGGAACCCCGTCTGAGACACGCTGGCTCGCGGGTCAGCATGGGTGGCTAGAGAGTATCCCACCACTGGCCAGCGGAGGGAGGAGGGCACTGAACAGCAGCTCGTGCACCCGCGGCAGCATCCATTGCTGCCCAGGTCTGGTCTGCTGGCTGCAGCCACATCCGAAAAATTGTCCTGTTCACTGGAGAATTTAACCAGACAAGTAGTTGAGGTCGGGTGATGTTTATTCTGAATGAACCCACGCAGCGGTCCTGCGCCCTCACTCCCTGGGAATGATTGGGGGGAAAGGATGGCACTTGGTCCTTGCTTTGAGCCACGCATCCGTACAGGTGAGACCTCTTTACCCTGATGTCATTTGGTTACTGAAGTAGCTCGGTTACATTTGTGGGTTCTTCCCCAGTTTCATTCCTTGGCAGCTGACGTTTGTTCTGGAATCTGCTGAGGGTGTGGACATGCATGTTTTCAGTTGGAGAAACCGAGGCACTGGGAGGTTAGGTCACGTACTACCTCGGGAAGCTGCTGAGAAGCAGAACCTGGATTCCAGCCCAGGCAGCCAGATTCCAGAATTGGGGCTCGAGTCCATGTCGCTTTCTCCTGAACAACGAAGATTCAGGAAGTTCTGGTCCTTTTCCAACCCCTTTTCTTGGCCATGTGCAAAAGAAAACATGCATTATCTGGAGGCTTCTTGAGGCTTAAGCTCTTTCTTGGCTTTTCCTGCAAGTCTTTAGCCTGATCTCCCCTGAACCCTGACACCCAGCGAAGTTTAGGAGATTCCTTTGGGTTCAGAAAAGCGGAAGGGTCCTGTCTCGGAAACCTCCACATGGTGTCTTGTTCCGTGGGGTGAGTGAGTTTCTCTGAGCAGGGAGCTCTGGCTGGCTGGACACAGGATAAGCATGGCTGGTGGACGTGGCGGCGGGGAAGGAGCCCGTAGGAGCCCGGCAGTGATGGCCGAGGAGAAAGCTCCGGCCCTGGACACAGATGGGGGCTGCTCGGTGGAGGATCGGCGGGTTGCTCAGTGTTGAGACTCGGCGGGGCATGTGGGCTGTGCGCAGCCAGCAGCCTCGGACCTCCAACTTCCCTGGGGGCCGTCTCTGTCCAGAGACTGGGGCTCCTCCCAACGTGGACAAATGTGTGTTTCTCAGGGGCTGGAGAGGGCCGGGGCCAGGGATGGTCCAGGCAATGGGGAGCAGCTAACTCTGCGCTTGATTGAGGGTGGTAGGATTTTTCAGGTCCCTTAAAGAGGCTGCAAAACCTCATCCTGATGGCTGAGCAGACTAAGGTTTGAATCATGTACCAGTTCCCAGGAACTACTAGTAAAATCTCCCCGACCCCTGCCCATGGAGGGTCTAGGAAGCGGGTCCACCTGCACCCAGGCTCTGGGATGGACATGGGAAGAATGCCCATCCCGACCTGTCCCACCTGAGGACCTGGGCTTGGTGGGCAGCATGGGTGTGCCAGTGTGCCCCCTGGCTCTCCAACCGGTATGGGCCAGAGGAGCAGGTTGGGCTCGCAGAGGGGGGTAAGCTGACGGCCATTCGGCATGCTGGGAGGTTAGCAGAGGGCAGGGGAGAACGCTGCAGCCATGCAATGAATGTGCCTCCCGCCTCTCCTCTCCAGCCTGGCACAGCGGGGTGTCTGCTGCCCGCTAGACCTGCAGGGCAGACGCTGAGCCACACAACTTGGGAAGCACAAACGGCTGCCGTCCTTGGAGGAGGTGGAGGCCAAGATAGCCCACGTGCCCTTCTGTCTCCTGTCCTCTGGTCCTGGGGACACAACCCAAAGGTGGCTTAAAGCAGAATATCAGGTTCCAAGGCTGGGGAGAGGGCGGGGGGGGAGAGGAGGAGGCCAGTGGTGGCCTTGGGCCAGCTCTGGGGAGGTGCTTGCAACCCCTGGCACCCAGCTCAGCCCAGGCTAGGCCCATGTGGCACCTGGGCCAGGACAGACAGTCCCATGGGCAGGCGTCCAGAGGGAGGTCCGGAGCTCCTGGTGGTGTGGGACCCAGGGGGCATAGTGGGGACTAGGGGAGGCCAGTGGATTCCGACCCAGACCGGGACAGCAGCTGGGACCTCCGTGAAGGAGATTACAGGTCACCGTCTGTCTCTTCTCTTGGCTTCCTTCTCTGGAGCACCTGTCTCGGAGCTTCCTAACCGGCCTTAACCCTTTTTCTTCTGCCTTTATGATCAGCTGTGGCCCCTAGAATTTTCCATGCTTTTAATCTTCTCCCTTTTCACCTTTTTCTTCCCTCCCTGCCTAATTTCTATTCTCTCTGCCACGGTCATTTTTTTTTTCTCTGCTTCTCTCCTTCAGGGAGAGCCACCACTACTTCCTCCCGGAAGATTCCAGCCCCTCCTCATCCCCCAGGCTCTAACTAGGCCCCTGGGAAACCCCCTCCAGCCAACCCATCCACCAGGCAGACTTGGCTTGTCGGGGGCTGTGTGTATCTTGCAAATCGCATTACTCGAGACCAGAAGGACTGACTCCGACTTCTTGTGTCACCAGCGCAGCTGGAATATGGCCATTGGTTTCACAGTCCCTCCGGGGCAGCGAGTTCGGCTCTGGAAGGAGACCCAGTTGGGGCTGGGGGGCTTGGGCCTGGGCAGGAAGGCTGGGACTACTCGGCTGAGCTGCTGGGCTCATGCCATGGGCCCTGCTTGGGGGGTGCTGGGGGCTCTGGTGCCAGCAGGTCCAGCTTGAACTGTGGACAGTGGGTCCCTTACCAGCTCAACAGAGATGGGCCCGACAGCCACAGAAGGGCAATGGAGCAAGTCTTGTCTCTGCTGGGCCCAGACCTCTGTGGGGCAGGCAGGGTCTTTGTATCCAAGGGCCATGCCCTCGCCCTGGGGTCCCTGCACAGCTCAGGGAATCCACAGAAGAGGAGAAGGCAAAGAGGTGGGGCGTCACCGTCTCCAGAGGACCCCCTTCCGCAAATTCCTCCTGGAGCTGCCGTTTGGGCCAAGCACCACAGTAGGCCCTGAGTTTAGAGTCCAGAGTAAAGGACCCTGTCCTGCCCTTCCTGGGGTTCACAGACACAACTCAGTCACAGAAATTGGTCCCCAGGGTGACAAGCACATCTCCCCGGCACTGGCTGTGAGGGTGTATGCGAGCCCCCAGGTGGTCAGAGAGAGTGGGGAGTCCACCAGCCGTCTTGCCCTTCCAGCCGGGGCGTCTGTGTCTAAGCCTCTGAGGCAGGGTTTTACATCTTCTCTCCAGAGAGCTTTTGGGGCTGCAGAGGCTACTGCGCCCCGCAGCTCGGACCTGCTGCCCACCACCAATCCAGGCTTTCTGAACAGCCTCTTAATCACCCTCAGAGGCGCCACCCCAAGAGCCGGCAACTCGGGCGTGCCCAGCTTCTGAGCTGTGGTGAGTCAGCTTCAAGCATCTGACCCTGGGGAGCTCGTCCAGGGAGCACTGGGGAGCCAGGGCAGCGGGGCAGGAGAGGGGTGGTCTAGGCAGTGTGTCTGCCAGGCCCTGGACCGCCTGGAGACAGGAAGAGGGCTGCTTCATCACACTCCAGTGGGCAGCACGCCCGCGGGAAAGGACCCCAGTCACCCCACCCTCGGCCAGTGCCCACACCGGGAGATCCCAGGAGAGTGACTCCATGCCAGCCTTGGGAGTGGTCATAGGTCCGTGTCCATCTGAAGCCGTTATGACAGGGACTCCAGAGGAATGGGATGGGTGGGGTAGTCTGCTGTCCTGGGCCCTTCTGGTGACCAGCCTGGTGGCCTAGCGTGAGCTCCCTGTCCCTGGAGCCTCAGTTTCCTTATGTGAAAGAGCGAGGATGCCAGTTGGGAAATGACAGGTGCTCAGGGTCAGGGACCTCATGCTGCCCAAGCGCTGTTCAGCCATGTGTCCTTTGGCCATCGCCAGGTACTCCCACCTGCGTGTCAGACCCCCATGAGTCACCGCTGCCCTGGCGGAGTTATCATGTGGGTGGGGAAGGGAGATAGAGTGTCACTAAAGAGGCAGATAGACTTGCCAGGTATGGAGGAAGAGGAAGGAAGAGGCAGGAGGGGCTGGGGCATGCCTGGGGGTTGGCACGGGGGCCTCGGAGAGGGGCAGAGGAGGCCCCGAGCTGAGGCCTGCAAGCAGGGGAAGGAGGAACCGTTCCAGGCAGAGGCCACTGTGGATGAAGGTGCATTTTGCTGGGATTCGTGGCTGTACCCTGCAAGGGGACGCTCAGCTCTCCTGTGCCCAGGTCGCCTACTCCTAGGCCTCAGTCTCACTTAGACAAACGTCACCTGCTCCTCACTGTGCCGGGCCCTGTGCTAAGTGGGGCAAGTGTGTTGTGTGTGCGTCAGTGTATGTGTGCGTGTGAATGCATTGTGTGCATGTGTCTGTGTGTGTGCAAGTGCATGTGAGTGTGCATTGTGTGTGAGTGGTTGTGTGCATTGGGTGTGTGTCAGTGCATGTAAGCGACTGCATTGTGGATGTGTGTCAGTGTGAGTGGTGTGTGCATGTGTCAATGTATGAGTGCATGTGAGTGTGCATTGTGTATCAGTGTGTGACTGTGCATGTGTCTGTGAGTCGGTGAGAGTGCATTGTGGACATGTGTCAGTATGCGTGTGTGACTGCATTGTGTGCATGTGGCGTATGTGATATGCATTGTGTCAGTGTGTGTGAGTGCATGTGTGCGTGTCTGAGTGTGAGAGTACATTGTGGATGTGTGTGTGTGCGCATGTGTCTGTGTGCACGTGTGGCTGCATTGTGTGCGTGTGTCTGTGTGCATGTGAGTGAATGCATTGTGTGCATGTGGCATGTATGTGAGTGCATGTGAGTGTGCATTGTGTGTGTGCCTGTGTGTGTGGGACTGACCATAGGGCAAGGCAGAGGACAGCTAAGTGATAGTGAGCACTTCGTCCCTGCCCCAGGAAACCTTCTACCAGGTGTTTTCACCCTGGAGGTTTCCCTGGTCCCCACCACCAGGCCTGGGGAGAGGCCCTGTTCTCCCCATTTGGGACTGAGACGCTCGCCGTTTTCCTCTGTGTCTCCTGGTGTAGCTAATAAGCGGATGGGACTTCACAAGGAACTAGACCAACAAATTCAGGGGAAGCAAAAGGAAACAGAAGATCCAGTGACCCTGGAGTCAAGGGTGACTAAGAGGTCGCTGACACCCCCACCCCCCACCCCCAGCAGGGCTCCACTTCAGCACGTGGCGTGTGCAAAGCTCTGTACTCAGCGTGGGGAGAGGGTCTCAGAATGACCCATGGAGAGTCCATTCCGATAGGTGGATGATGTAAAAAATGAAGCCATCTCCAGCTGCATGGCAAGACACGGTGGGAGAAGGCCTGGGGTAAAATCAGCAAAGTCTGAGATCCAGGGGTGGCTCCAGCTCACCATTTTCCTCCCAGGCCCCCTGCCCCATCACCCAGTGAGCGGACGGGATGGGGTCAGAGCCACCTAGACCCGCTGGCGCATCCAGTGCCGTGCCGTCACTGCCAAGCCACTGTGTGTTTTGGAAGGTTGACCGGGAAGATCAGCTAAAGGCATCAGGGGCATTTAACTGGGATCTTAGCTGATCATCTTCAAAAGTCTGCAGGTGGGCCCCTTAGAGAGAATAGGCCCTCCCCACCAGGCAGCACAGGGCTAGCAGGACTAGAGGGTGGGATGGCAGTAGGAAGACGACCTCCAAGGGCGTCTCCAGTGTTAATGCCTTTAGCATGAGCTGTCTCATGAGGTGTAAGTTCCCCATCACCAGAAGAATTCAGCAGAGGCTGGCTGGCTCTGTGAAAGGCTCCAAAGCAACGCTGTCAAATGGAAATACAGTGCTTGTCACAGGGAAGTTTACATTTTCTAGTAGTATGTACGTATGTATGTATGTATGTATTTATTTATTTATTTGACAGTCTCGTTCTGTCTCCCAGGCTGGACTGCAGTGGTGCAATCTCGGCTCACTGCAACTTCTGCCTCCTGGGTTCAAGCGATTCTCGTGCCTCAGCCTCCCAAGTAGCTGGGATTACAGGCGTGCGCCACCACACCCGGCTAATTTCTTGTATTTTTAGTAGAGATGGGGTTTCACCATGTTGGCCAGGCTGGTGTCAAACTCCTGACCTCAGGTGATCCACCCACCTCGGCCTCCCAAAGTGCTGGAATTACGGGCATGAGCCACCTCACCCGTCTGGTAGCCATTTTTAAAAGGTGAAAAGAAACAGATGAGATGAATTTCAATCATACATTTTGTTTAACCCAGCATAGCTCAAATCTTATCCCCCAGAATAATCAGGATGAGATAAACTATGAGAGATCGTTAACATTCTTGTGTCTGTACTGTCTTTGAGATTGGGTGTAGATTTTACACAAACAGAATATCTCTGTTGAGACAAGCCACGTTTCCAGGACCCATAGTCATATGGGTCTCCTGGTTAACGTACTGGCCGATCTAGAACATTCTTTTCTGTTGGACACAGCAACTCTAGGGCTCTGATACTCCCTCTGGTCCTGCAGTGAGGAGAGCCAGCTAGAAGCGCAGACCCTCCGGCTCCCCAAGCCGCCTCCCTTGGAATCGCCATCAGATGGAGGCCCAGGGAGTCACGCTGCTCTAGAACATGGGGAGCACCAGGGGGACGTGGACAGGGTGGCCTGGGAGAAACTCCCATGACCACAGGCCTCAGACCAGACTCAGACCGGTCCCCTCCCAGCTCCTGCACCAGGCAACAACACGCTGTGTCTGTGACAAAGGTTTCACCTACCTGTGGCAAAGTGGGCAAAATCAGAATAATGTAGTCATGGTTTTCATAAAGATGTTTACTTTTTGTGTTGAAATGCCCATTTTTGTGATAGTGATATCTGCTGTTCATTTTTTAAATGTCCTCATTTGGGAAAATAAAAGGTTGGCGTTTTTTTCTTTTTCTCTTTTTTTTTTTTTTTTTTTTTGAGACGGACTCTCACTCTGTCGCCCAGGCTGGAGTGCAGTGGTGTAATGTCGGCTCACTGCAACCTCCACCTCCCGGGTTCAGGCAATTCTCATGCCTCAGCCTCCCGAGTAGCTGGGATTACAGGCGTGCACCACCACCCCTGGCTAATTTTTATATTTTTCGTACAGACAGGATTTCACCATGTTGGCCAGGCTGGTCTCGAACTCTCCTGACCTCAGGTGATCCACCTGCCTTGGCCACCTGAAGTGCTGGGATCACAGGCGTGAGCCACCGCACCCAGCCAAAGGTTGGTAATTCTAATGGATCTTCCCCCTCCTCCACCCTTTTTAAATTAAATATTACAGCTGGGTGTGGTGGCTCACACCCGTCATCCCAGCACTTTGGGAGGTTGAGTTGGGAGGATCACTTGAGCCCAAGAGTTTGAGCTCACACATGTAATCCCAGCACTTTGGGAGGTTGAGTTGGGAGGATCACTAGAGCCCAAGAGTTTGAGACCAGCCTGGGCAAAGTGGCAAGATCTATTTTTTTTTTAATTTATAAAAAAAAAGTAATTAAATGTTAGTAATTAGTGTGATTCAAAAGTCTGGAAACCAGAGATCTAGTGCAGGGGTCTGTGGAACAAATCTGTCCCACTGTCTGTTTTTATTTTTTAAAAGTTTTATTGGAACACAGCCACGCTCATTTGTTTACGTGTTGTCTGTGTTAGCTTTTGCCTGGCGACGGCAGAAATGAGCAGTTGCAGCAGAGACCATATGGCCAGCAAAGCTCTAAATATTTGCTCTCTGGCCCCTCGTAGAAAACGTTGGCCAGTCTCTGGCCTACACCAGCCCTGTCCGCAGATGGCAGCGTGGTGAAGCCACGGGTGATGTTACGTTTCCTAACAGCCGCATCTGCAAAAGTAAAAGGAAGCAGATGAAATTCGTGCTAATGACGTGTTTGTGTAACCCAGTCCAAACTGTTTTCATTGCAGCATTTAATCAATATACACATGATTGAGATATTTGGCATTCTCTTTTCATGCTGAATCTTCAAAATCCACTGTATAATTTTCACTCACAACCCACCTCAATTGCTCGACAGCCACATGGGGCCAGTGGCTGCTGAAGTGGACAGCTCAGATCTAAAAGGAATAAGGCTTATCTCCACCGGAGACCTAGGCAGGTGTCTCAGGAGCGGGGCTCTGCCCTCTGTGTTTGGGGTCTGGACCTGTGGCAGTGGATCTGTGAACAGGACCATCCACACGGAGGCAGCAGTTTACGTGGAAAGACAGGGTTGAGTGGGTTCACGGGGGTTCCTGGAGCACCTGGTACCCGGGGTGCGAGGGAGTGAGTGTTTTGGGGCTCTAGGCTGAGAAATTTTGACTTTTTCCAGTAGGCAATAGGGAGCCACAGAAGGTCTTTGAGCAGGGAGTGAGGATCAGATTTACAAGTAAGGAAAGTTCATCTGGGATAGAAAAGGAGGGGCCAGAAAGCTACAGACCAGGGGCGGCCGGAACAGGGGTATGGGCAGGGGCAGCAGTAGGGACAGAGAGGGGTGGATGGGGAAGCTTTAGCGGGAGAGGTATACCTGGGAGGCCTAACGGACACACCACGGAGGGGTCCCTGTAGAACAGCTGGTTTCTGGCTTCAGGACGGTGCAGACGCGTGGTGGATGGGATGCTTGAGCCTGCACTGACCAGGCCTTGCCCCCCCAGCCCTCAAGAGCCCCCAGGCCGTGGCTCCCTGATGGAGAAAACACCTTCCCTCCCCTGGCCCTGGAGCCCTCCCTCAGGCTCCAGGCTGGGCTGCAGGCCCCTGGCAGGGGACTCTCAGGTCCAACTCCTTCCTCTATCTCCCCTCTGGCCCGTTTGGCAGGACCGGAGCCGGTACCCCAGCCAGCCATGAACACTTGGCCCTCCTGGAAGCTGGACACCGTTAACCTGTTGTTCTCCGTGAACATCTGGCCTGAGCCCTACTGCAGCCAAGGCAGCCTCTTCCGGACCCTGCCCTTCCTTCCCCTTCCTTCCTCCTTCCTCCTCCCTTCCTTCCTTCCCTCCTTCCTCCTTCCTTCCTTCCTTCCTCCTCCTTTCCTGCTTTCCATCCTTCCTTCCTTCCTCCGTTTCCTTTCTTCCTCCTTCCCTTCCCTCTTCTCCTTCCTTCTCTCCTTCCTGCCCTTCCCTCCTTCTTTCCTCCCACTTTTCCTCCTTTTTTAACTCTCTCCTCTTCCTCTCTCCTTCCTTCTTTTCCTTCTTTCCTTCTCTTCTTCCTTCTTTCCTCTCTTCATTTCCTTTCCTTTTAATGATTTGTATCTGTGGGCTTTACGTATCGTAACATTTACCCTTATGAAGTATACGGTTCCGTGGTTTTCAGTATATTCTCAGCGTTGTGCAGCCATCGCCACTTCTAGTTCCTGAATATTTTCACCATCTTAACAAGAATACCATGCCCAGTGGCAGCCACCTCCCGTTCTCCCCACCCAGCCTCTGGCAGCCTCCCAGCCCACCCGTGTGCGGCCTTCCTGCCAGCCTCTGTGGATTTGCCTTTTGGGGCTGCCTCATGCCACGGGACCACACCAGGTGGGGCCCTCGGTGCCGCCTCCTGTTTCTCGAGGGCTGCAGTGTGCAGGGTCCCATGGTGGGAGGGTGTGGACTCTGCACTGAGGGCTTGCAGCCCTGGCGGAGGCAGGCGGGGTCCTGGGTCCTGGGTCCTGGGTGGGGTGTGTGATCTTAGCTGGCTCTTAGAGGGGTCTTGTGGGAGCAGTTTGAGGGCCTGTCCTGCCCGCAGTGGGTGAAGGAGCAGGGGAGGAGGAGAGGGACTGCCCACCGCACAGCCCAGGGGTGTTCCCTGCCCTTCCCCTATATGGAATCCTCACCGCTACCCCAGCATCTGAGTTCAGGATGCCTAAGGTGTGTGAAAAAGAAAAACCCAGCCCCTCCAGTGAAACCCGGGTTGCTGACTGCCCTGGGCCCAAGCAGAGGTGGGCACCCCCCTGCATGTCTGAATCAGGGCTGTGAGTGCTGCCTTTGTCCCTCTTACAAATCCCAAGTAGGAAATGACACCGGGATTCACACAGTCCCCACGGATCCGCCCTGTGCAGCTGGGCTCTTTCCTGAGAGCTGAGCAGGGCCAGGGGGCTGTTTGGAAGGTCCTCCACTCAGCGGCAGTGTGGCGAGAGCCAGTGTGCGTGTTTGGGGTGCTGGT
The DNA here is from genome assembly GCF_000001405.40 of Homo sapiens. Taxonomy (NCBI): domain Eukaryota; kingdom Metazoa; phylum Chordata; class Mammalia; order Primates; family Hominidae; genus Homo; species Homo sapiens. The sequence continues at coordinate 79,168,992 of NC_000017.11, read as the reverse complement.
TGTTTCCAAGGGTGGCAGGCATGTATCACGGCTGTGTGTCTGGGGCCACGGCTGCATTGCTACGGATCTGGTACTGTGAGTACCAAGTGGGCTCTCTGCCCTACCTGCATGCATCTGCAGTGCCTTCATGACCCAGGGCCAGGCGAGGGCGCACCCGGCATGTAAGCCCAGCGGGAAGACAGGGTGAGCTAGGAGGATGAACCAGCAAATGGGCCATGTTCCCAAACACACTGGCTGACAGAGGAGACCATGGCTCTGTGTCTGCCGGGCCACCCGCAGAGAGGCCGCAGCCCCGTGCGGCTGGCCTGTCCAAGGTGGCACTGTCCCACCTCAGTGCATTCATCAGCGGATGTGGACAAGCGGGCCAGGCCGCCCACACCTGCTCAGTGACCCCTCTCCCCTCAGAGCCTCAGTTTCCTCATGGACCAGTGGGGGTGAGGACACCTCCTGGCTGGCAGGGTCAGGGGGCCACAGGACATAGGGCGGCCGTGGGGCCAACCCCCTTGGGCACGGGCCTCTTCTGTTCTCTTAGGCTGTGGATCTATGACATCAGGAAGAGAAATTGCTAAGATAAGGTCACAAAATGTGTAGTTTATCTTGACTATTTCCATTTGGTCAATTCACAATTTAAACCCATACTCAGGCAGGTGCCATGCAATTGTGCTATTCATGAGTTGGTGGTGGGATTTATTTTAATTTAGGGTTGGAAGTATGCTTTGGAGGCACTGGTCGCAGGTTCCCTGCCCAGTGGGGGACCCACCCATGGCAAGCCGCACCTGCCTCTTTAGGGCCCTGCCGGTCAGGGGTCAGGCAGCAGCGGGGTCAGGGCCCTCAGGGATGGACCTCCCGAACGAGGGTCGGGGCATCAGAGCCCTCTGGGCTCCTTAGCCTCTGAGCCGGCCCCACTGTTTCAGGACCCCGTAAATAAAGTGCCAACCACCCTCCCCAGTTACCCACCCCTCACCCAGCCCTGGGGCTGGGGTCCAGCCGGGGACCCCCACTGCCCCCCACTCTGTGGTTGGAGGTGAAGGGAAGGGCTTTTACCTGGGGGAGGCCCATCTTTGTCCTGCCCCCTCCTCGGAAATCCATAGAGCCTTTGGAGGTTCTGTGCTTCCCCTGGAGGGTCCCGGATGAGCTCTGAGAGGACCTAGCATCCCAGAGAGGCAGCTTCCAGGGTCCCGGGGGCACCTCCAGGCCCCGTGCTCCGGCTCCGGGGTGCCCTGGACCCCAGGTAGGGCCAGGGTTGAAGAGGCCCCAGGGCAGCTGATGGGGAGAATTTAAAGCGAGGAATCTAGACGGGTGGCGGGACTGCAGGGGACCCACCAAGCACGCTTCCTCTGCGGGGGCAGGCAGACTGCGGCCGGGGCTGTGAGTGAGCCCGGGGTGAGAGAGACAGACCAGAAGACAGGCTTGAGTGCCCTCATCTGTAAATTGGAGTCCTCAACCCCGCCAAGCCTGTGATGGCCAGGAAAGGACTCCATGACCCATGGGAGGCTGCTGGGGGATTATGCGGCCCCACTAGAGCCAAGGTCCCATGGACCCACAGCCCTGACATCAGCCAGGGCCTCCTTGGAGGGTGCTCAGTAGGACCGTAGAGCCTGATAGAGACCCCAGAGGGAGAGAAGGAGGGGCCCCCAGAGCCTGATAGAGACCCCAGAGGGAGGGGAAGAAGGGGCCCCCCAGAGCCTGATGGAGACCCTGGGGAGAGAACAAGGGAAGAGGGGCCTAGCACTCCCCGAGCCTGGCACTGTGCCTGGCACTGTACCTGGGCTTGTTCTTGGCCATGTGCCTGGCACTGTCTGGAAGTCTCTGACTTGAGCCTCCAGCAGCCCCAGGATATGATCGATCTTCCCATTTCACAGAAGAGAAGAACTGCGGCCCAGAGTAGCTGAGAAGGTTGCCCTTGTGAGCGCGTCTGTCGTGGGGGTGACGTGCCCGCCTTGCCGGGGGTCTTGAGAGAGCTGGGCTCTCTGGATTTCCTCATGGTCCTTTGTTTGAGGCTGTCTCTGGGCCCCCGGAGGCATGGCCACTGGTCTGTTCACCTTCTTATTTTTAACAGCTTTATTGAGGTGTAATTTGCATACTGTAAAATTCACTCTTTGGCAGGTGTGCAATTCGGTGACTTTTAAGGAATTCACAGTTGTGCAACCATCCCAGAAACCCGTTTTTGAATTTTCATCACCCAAAAAGTTTATTGGCAACTTCCCTTTGTTTCGATTCTCCCACTGAGCCCAGCCTGGCATCCGCACTCTGACCTGGCTGGGGCCAGCCCTGGCAGGAGGGGTGGATGGGCTCTGAGTGGCCTGGGGGCTTCCCTCGGCCAGGTGGATGGTGAGGGTCAAGGGCCTACATTCCGACCTGTGCATGTTCATAGGGGCTGGGCTCCTCCTCCGGATCTCGGTGCTGGGGTGTTGGGCCTTCACCTTCCCTGAGGCTCTGCCCTCCCTCGGGACCCTTCCGAAGCCCCCTCATTCCCTTCCCCCATCTCAGCTCCCCGTGGGTGGCTCTTGGACTCCCCTTCATCTGTGGCTGAGAGCTGAGCCTACTTAAGTCTTTTGATCTTGGTTCAGACATCATCCCCTCCGGCCATTCCCATTGCTGCATGGCTCAGTCTCGGCTGCCTGAGTTGGAGCCCGGGGCGGCTACAGCTCCTGGCGGGCTCCCCACAACTGCCCGGGCCTCCTTTCCTGAGCATAGCTCCTGCCAAGGCTCCCCTCCCACGGGAGGCTGCGCTGGGGGGTGCAGGAGGGAAAGGAGCCCCTCCCACACTGGTGTTTGCTTGGAGTTGCATCCTCCAGTTTGTCTGGGGCCAAGGTTCGCCCTTACCTGCCCGGGGGGGGAACAGGAGGGGTGGGCGTGGGCCAAGCCCAGGTTTGTATCCCTCTGTTGTACCTAGTTCCAATCACAACTCTGCCGCACGCCGGGTACAGATCTGTGCAACATCTCACTCCAGCTCCCTGGGCCTCAGTTTCCCTCTGTGTAAACCCGGGGCCTGTGGACACATCCCTCCCCGGCCAGTGCACGCGGGTGCCCTGCAGGGCCTTGGCTCACAGTGTCCTCAGCAACCCCGCCGCGTGTCACCGGCTCCCAGCCCTGCTGCAGGCAGAATGCCCACAATCTCAGGGCGTCTCATGGTATCTGCTGCTGCCCTGCCCTCCTTTGGGGTGATCCAGGTAGGCACGGGACCCCCAAACCAGGACTCAGCCCCTAATGATCCTGTGACCTGGCCTGACTTCTGGAAGCTTCCAGAACCTGGGGGTGGGGCATGTCCTGGACATAGACCCCAAGCCCTTGTGCAGGTCTGAAGATCGTGTCTGAGGCACCTGCGAAAGGAGCCAGGGACCCCGGCCGGCGAAGCCAGAATTTCTCCAGGGGGCTCCGGAGCCAGAAAACAGGAGAGCACTGAGAATGGGATTTAAAAGTTCATCCCGTCACCTCCCGGGATGGCTGGCATGGAGGAATCGGGATGTGCACCTGCCAGCTCTGCCCAGGGGCCCCCGCCACCTGTCCCCCAGAGGGATGGGACCCCGCTGTGCCCTCCTGCGGCCTCCCCAGGCACCCCCTCCTTCCCAGGCTTTCCCAGCTCAGTCTAAAATGAGAACCAAAGGAAATGAGGAGCCGGCACTTCATTTGTGCACTGCATTGTGTTGGGGGCTCTTAATTAGACCTAATTAGACTAATTAACTTTCAAATGAGAAACTCGGGTTTTTTCCTCCTCCCTCCCTCTTTCTCTTCTCTCCCCTTTCAGAAGATGACACAAGGATAAATATTTGAATGGCTCACCGCAGCCTGGGAGGTGGAAGCCAGCCCAGAGGGCTGTGCAGGAAGATGCTGGAGGGCAGAGGACACCAGCCCATGTCTCCCGCCTCTCATCCCTCCCGGCTGCTCCCCATGCCTCCCCCTCCCACCCTGCCTGTTAGGTGTGGCCCGGCTGCTTTTGTTCAGGGGCCATGTCAGAGGCTCCTTCCTCCTGGCTCTAGAAAGATGAGCGTGTGGTCTGGTCTTTCCTTAGCAGATGTTATTCTGAGGGTTCATTTTCTTCCCGGCACTAAGGGTGGAAAGATGAGTGAAACGCTGGGTCCCTTGGGTGATTCTGGTGCAGGGAGAAGAGGGGCGAGGGAAGTTAAGGGTGAGTTCTGCCTGCTAGGGCCACTGCATTTTCTGCAGTTTGGCTCCCCCTGGCCCTCCCAGCCCGCTGCCCAGGCACATGGGAAGACCAGCTTCTGGGGCATCAGGGCAGCCACCACGCGGGTGAGGCTCCCAGGAGGGTGCCTGGACCCCCGGCCTTCCCACTTGGGACCTCCACTGCCCTCACCAAGAGAAGGGCTCACCTCCATGAACCGAGGAATGCGTGCACTTTTGTTTTGCTCCGCCGTGCTGTGGCCGCACCTGACGCTGGGCCTCCCACCAAGGGCCAGTGGCACCGTTTTCACTGGCACAGCTGGCCATGCGCCAAGGCACCCAAGGTGTTAATTATGTAACACCTCCCCCCAAGACTGAAGGGGTGAAGTGCCGCCCACCCCCAGGAGCGTCTCTCACCAGGCCGCAGAGCCCCTGTCCTGCACCCAAGCTGCGGACTGCACAGCCAAGGACAGTCCAGCACCTGTATCTTGGGGGTCTTCAGGGTTAAGTGGGATGACCCCACGAGCTCAGCACGGTGCTGCCCACAGGAAGTCCTTAGCCTGTTGGCTTCTCCCAGCTCCCCACTATGCCCTAACCTTGGACTCCTGAAGAGCAGCTGCACTTTTCTGCCCAGGCGCTACCGCCACCGCCCCTGCCAGGTGGGGAACCTGGGGTGCAGCCATGCCCACCCCTCCCAGAGGCCTGGGATCTCTGGGATCTTCTTGGCCCATTCTTTCCCTCCCCCATCCCAAACCTTGAGCTTCCCCATCTCACCCTTTTCCGAACCCTGGTACAGAAGGATTCCTGGAGCCCACACCTCTGTCTGAGCTGTGGGGTGGAGGTGGGCCTGCCTGCAGAGGAAAGCAGGAAGCTGCTTCTGCTGATATTCTAGAATGTGCTGTATGGTCAGGCTGTGGGGCAGGGGTCCCCACCCTCCAATTGGCCCCAGCCTGTTTGCATGGCTCAGCATAAGAGTTCAGGAGGCCTGGGCTGGGTGGGCTCCAGCAGGCCTGTCTGGACACCATCTGGCCCAGAGACACCCACAGCACCTGGGCAAGGAGGAGCTCAACGCAGGAGACCCGTTCTGCATCTGGCGGTCCCAGGTGCCTGAGGGAGGTGGGGCACCCTGTTGGCAAAGCTTCCGCATCAGCCAGGAGGGAAGCAAGTGGGGTGCGGGCGGGTGGGGGGCATCCCTCTAGGCCTTCCCCACCCAGGCAGCTCTGCACCCAGTGCTGGGTGGGCAGGGTGAGGAAAGCACCAGTCTGGTCCAGGTGGCAACAACCTTCCCGGTTCCCATCCTGCCCTCCAGCTCTGGGACTTCCCTGACTTTTTATGTTGCCAGGGTTTCTGGGGAAGAATGTTCTCCTGAATGACAGGATCTCTGCAAACCAGAAGGGTCTGGGGCAGCGTCAGAAGGACATTCGGATGCCCTGGCCTCTCCACTCTGCCCCACCACAGCCTGAAGAGCATCCCTGGAGTCTTGTTTCCGGGATCTCTCAGTTTCTCCAAAGGCTTGGGGTCCACACCTCCCCTCTTGACACCCTCAGAACACTGAGGCCGTGAGGCCCCGGGCCTGCGGCTTTCCCCAGGCGGGGCAGGAGCGGTTGCCTCCTCTGTGACACTTGGTGTTCAGCCGAGTGTGCTGCCCGGCCCCAAGGAGGGAGCTGGCCAAGGCCAGAGAGGGACCCGGCTAGGGTCCTGGGGCCGGATGCTCCCAGGTGAGATGGGGGAGCAGTGGCCACACCCTGGCCAGAAGTTGCTTTTCTCCCCCAGCTTGAACCACTCTGTTTCAGCTTGGCAGTGAGGTGGGCACAGTTTTGGTCCCGCCGTCACCCTCTCTCCCCCAGACAGCCCTGGCGTGTCTGTGCTCAGGAGCACCCGAGAGCTGCATGTCACAGACCTCGGTCTCCTCCGTGACTTTGTCCCTCTCCAGGTGGCACTGGAGGATGTTCTGAAAACTGCAGTTTGAGAACCGCTTGATCAGAAGCCGTGCCACTGGCTTTTTCCATTCCAGCACCTACTTCCCCAAGCCCTGAGCTGTCCTCTACCCCTCCCGGCTCTCCCAGCCCTGCTCTCTCCGCCGTCCCCTCCTTCACCTGCCGCGGGAGACCCCCGCCCGCCCACACCACCCACAACACCCGAGGGCTTTGTTAGCACAGCTCAGTTCAAATGTCTGATTAGTCCTTAGGAGATCGAGGGGTCAATTTTCCACAGCTCCTTCCTCTCCATTTAACTAATTTAACTGCGCGATTGTTACAAATTCCATTTTATTATAGCCCCGCTTCTCAGTCCAATTGAATTACTAAAATCTCATTTTCTCAGAAGTGCTGAATATGTAATTAGAGGAAAAATTATGCTCCTGCCTGCCTATTAGGATGGCTCCATGCATGTGTGCTCCATGTGACATGTGACAGCCACACTGACGTCCTCTGTGTGGTGGGCCTGGCTGGAGGCAGGAGAGAGGCAGGGCTGGGCGCGGCACTCCACTCACCGGGCTGGGGGCGGCCTTGTCCGACGTCTCACCTTGCAGGGTGGGCCCCATGCTCCGTCCGGGTGAATGAGAACATGTGTGTGCAGGCGGCCCCATGACTGCAAGAGGAGAAAACCACATTAACTCCCAGATTACAAATTAAACAATGTCTGTGGGCCATTGTAATTAAAGGGAAATTCAATTCCCTTCTAATGCCCCATTATGTCTGGCTCTGCAAGGTAAAGCTGGGATTGTGCTGCTAGTTTAATGGGACCAGAGGTTACAAGGAGCATGAACATTACCCTGAGATTTGGCCTCCTTTTTCTGGCTCCCAATTCTCAGCAGGGGCAGCTGGGGGCAGAAGTCTGTGAGCGGTTTTGTAATCTGTCTAGTCCTGAATTTCCTCCCATCCCTGTCCCCCAAAAGTCCCGCTGGGGCCTCATAGCCTCCTTCGACTGTTGTGGGTTGATTGTGGCAGGAGGCCCTGGTCCCCACAGAGTGTGGGTGTGGCCAGGCACGGTGGCTCATACCTGTAATCCCAGCATTTTGGGAGGCTGAGGCAGGCGGATCAAGAGGTCAGGAGTTTGAGACCAGCCTGGCCAACATGGTGAAACCCCGTCTCTAGGAAAATACAAAAATTAGCCGGGTGTGATGGTATGCGCCTGTAGTCCCATCTACTCAGGAGGCTGAGGCAGGAGAATCGCTTGAACCCGGGAGGCGGAGGTTGCAGTGAAACAAGATCGCGCCACTGCACTCCAGCCTGGGTGACAGAGTGAGACCCTGTCTCAAAAAAACACACACACAAAAAAAAAACGGAAGAGCCATAACCGGAAGAGCAAGGGCACTTCAACCACCAGCTGCAAGAGCAGGCAGGCCAGCTTCCGGGCCTCCACACACCCCCGAGGGGGTTAAGTTGCAGGAAGACGCATTGTATTTAAAAGGTGAGGTCACTTCCTGGAGCAGCATCCCCAGCTGGTATGCGGAGACGGAAGTGATGGGATCGGGGTGTGTGCTGGAGCCATGCGGTGCTTCCAGGCCTCCATGAAGGGTTCATTGGCAGCAGAGGACGGGCTTCATGGGGCCTCTCAGCATCCCTTCTCCAACCTGACCTGTCCCCTGGGCTCTGCGACTTGACTCGTGCCGGCCCCTTCCTTGGCTCACTCACTCTTGTGCATCCTTCAAGGCTTTAGCTGGGCCACCTCCTCCAGGGAGCCTCCCCTGAGTGCCTCAGGCTGGATGACCCCACCATAACCAGGCTTTGTTTTCTGTCCTGCTACAGATTATCTGCAGAGGGGCTATGTTTCTAACCTCCAAATTCCTGGTGGGCAAAAACCAGATAGACATCTTCCTTGCCTGGGTGTTGCTAGCAGTTAGCACTGTGCCCAGCCCACGAGACTTTTTTGTTTTTTTTTTTTTTTTTGAGATGGAGTCTCGCTCTTGTTGCCGAGACTGGAGTACAATGGTGTGATCTCAGCTCATTGCAACCTCTGCCTCCTGGGTTCAAGTGATTCTCCTGCCTCAGCCTCCTAAGTAGTTGGGATTACAGGTGTGCGTCACCATGCCTGGCTAATCTTTGTATTTCTAGTAGAGACAAGGTTTCACCATGTTGACCAGGCTGGTCTCGAACTCCTGACCTCAAATGATCCACTCACCTTGGCCTCCCTAAGTGCTGGAATTACAGGCATGAGCCACTACGCTCGCCAAGATGTTTATTAAGAAAAAAATGAATGAATGAATGAATGAATGAATGGGGGAATCCCAAGTCCTGCTGTCCCTTCTCAGAGAGTTTTCTGGCCTAAGAGTTGTTTGAGAGTGGGCAGGTGGGATATGGGGGTGCCCCGGGAACCCAGGCCTGCTCCAGGGTGAGCTCGGGATGGATATACAGCAGGAGGGACAGCTGCAGGCTTGTGACCGCCCCACATACGGGGGACTGCCCAGCTCTTAGAACTTAGGCCTTGGCCGTACAGGATAATTGAGACCCCATCCAGAGACCACGTTGGGTCTCTCGTGCTCTGCCCTGCAGCTTGAGGTGGGACCACACTGCCATGCTGTCTGCTGCACGCTCACACGCTCGTGCCTTGCCTTAGTGCCTGCATGGCCCCCAGGTCCACCCCTTGGGTGCAGAGAAATGTTGGGGTCCTAGGCGTCAGCCCTGGCTCCAGGCCACCTGCATCGCCCCACGTCTGGGAGGGCATCATGAATCACACATGGATTTTTCCTCCCGGCCTGGAGCTATGTCTGCTAATCCCCAGCTTCATCTACTCACAGATCTCAGGAGAATCCCCCGGGGCCGGAGCTAGGCAGTCACTTACTACTCGAGCGGAGCGTTCCTGGGGAAGGCAGCCCTTGCTGCCTGTTGGCCCTTCCTGGGGCCAGGGAGGCCCTGAGCAGAGCTGCCCTCCGTTTTGTCTGCACTTCAGAGGGCAGTGGGGGCTGTATCAACGGTGCTGGGGAGAACTGTCCCGGGACGCTGGAACACTCGGCGGACACGCATGCACCCTCGCTGAAGCCTCTGAGCCGTTTTGCAGCTCATCCTATGAGGGAGGTGGGAGTAGCGACCTGTCCTCACCCTCCTCAGCAGCTGTAGGGTGTGAGTGTGGAGGTAGTGTGTGTGTGAGTGGTTGTGAGCAAATGATTTAGTGTGGACATGTGTGTGACCAATGTGTGTGTGTAAGTGATGGGTGCACGTCACTCTGTGTGTGTGTCCCCCAGCTGCGGGCATGCAGCCCAGGCGTGGGCACGGTCCTGTGCATGTGTCCCTACCACCCCAGTTGAACTCTGAGTGTGTGAGTGGGTGGCAATCAATTTCCTGGATTCAGCTGAGACCAGGTGAGCATTTTCCCAAAGGAATATTGCTTGAGAATGAAGGGAGAATGCAGGGGTGTTCCAGGAGTCTCCAGGAGCCTGCCACAGATGCGTGTGGAGTCCAGCCCTCTCTGTGTGCCCAGACTTGGTCCACAGGATGGCTTTCCTGTGCGGCTTGGGCTAAGCCGGGGGCATTGGTCTCAGAGCTCTTGGAGAGCCAGGGCCGCAGGCAGGCATGCCCCTGAGCCATCTCCATCTCCGGCTATAGAATCTGTGAGGAGGAACCGCCCGGGCCAGCTCTACCCCCAGGACTCTCATCCCAACCTGCCTCTGCCTCCTGGTCTCCCATAAGTGGACACATGGGCACCCCCAGGTCAGCTCACCTGGTGCTGGGCATTGAGTCAGAGCCTCCCTGGCCACCCAGCACAGCTCTTTGGGTCTCCGCTCCCCAACTCACACTAACTCCCACTACCCACCTGCCACAGAGATGCCCTCTTGCTTCTCGTGTGGCCTCGGTAGCTGCATCACCTTGGTGCCTGGGTGGCCTTGGTGTCTCTGTCTGTGAGCTGGACATGGCCTGCAGCCTCGCCTTCACTGTATGAAAGCGCTTAGTATACAGCAGGTGCTCAAGCAGTGTCGGTTGGGGCTTACAGCACACTCCACACTGTCCTTCCTTTGCACCCCTGGAAGCCGTGAGAGTCCATCTCTGGGAGTCCCAGCAGCCATCCTGGGGCCGCAGTTAGGAAGTTAGAGAAGTGACTGCCACGTGGGCTGAGCCAGGTCCCTTTCCAGGTCCCTAAAAATCACATAAATTGGGGCTGTACCTGCAGCTGGGCTCCTGTCCTGGCCACCTCCATGCCCTGCTCAGCCCCGGAGCCCTTTTTCATTTATGTTTTAATTTCTCCTCCCAGAAAACAGTGAGCTCTGAGCCCTAGCCACCTTCCTTGCCAGCCTTGGTCGGGCGTCCTTAGCAAGGGCTGTCGGGAGCAGACCCTGCCTGCCTCTGCTCCGTTTGGCTGTGTTTGTAGGGGCTCTGGTTGGGGTGTTTAGGAGTAAGCTGGCGTGAGAGCTGCAAGCAAGGTGCCCAGTGTCCCCGGCCTCTGAGTCGTGGGGAAGTGTAAGAACAGGAGCAGGTTTGCAGTGCCCCTGCTCAGCCTGCTCCAGGCTCTTCACATCTTAACCGGCTCACCACAGCCCAAGAGGTGGGCACATTGCTATCCCATTCTACAGTAGAGGAAACTGAGGCACAGAGGGCATAGGAAGCCTGCCCAGGGCCAGCCGACTAGTAAGTAGCCGTATTGGTCTGCCACAGACCAGGTGGCATAAACAACAGGCGTTTCTCCTCGCGCAGTTCTGAAGGCTGGGAGTTTGAGGTCCAGGTGTGGGCAGGGTTGGTTCTGTTGGAGGCCTCTCTTCCTTGGCTGTGGATGGCTGTCGTTGCCCTGTGTCCTCACATGGTCGTCTGTCTGTGTGTGTCTATGTCCTAATCGCCTCTTCTTGTAAGGATGCTAGTCATGTTGGATTAGGGCCCACCCTAATGACCCCAGTGTAATGTAATCACCTCTTTAAAGGTCCCGTCTCCACGCACAGCCACATTCTAAGGTACTAGGGGTTAGGACTTCAGCGTAGGAGTTGGAGCGGGTGATACAGCTCGGTCGTTCTCAGCAGCAGAGGCAGCTCCCCAGGGCCGTCTAGCCCCATCCTAGCTTGCAGTCGCCTCCCCTGTGCTGCGTCTCCAGACGTGCGGTGACCATAAGCAGCACTCATTGTTCATCTGGGGCTGGCCAGCCAGGGAGTGGGGTGTCCTTGGTCATCTGGGCCAGCATGTGCCGAGCTGGGTGGAACATGGCACTGCCAGCCTTAAGAGGTGGTGGTGGGGACAGCGTGGGCCTGGGAGGGACTGTTGATGCCCTGGCCTCTGTCCCCCGGCAGAGCTGGCTCTCCTGGGACAAGGAGAGGAGCTGTGCTCAGGGCCCAGGGCATCTCAGCTTTTAGGGACTTAGGGAAACCCGGCCCCTGTACAACCTCACCCCCGGGTCCTCATACTCTACCACGCTGAGTCCCTTGGGCACATCAGTAAGTGGCACCGGCCAGTTCTCGCTGTGGGCTAGATTTGGTGACCCAGGGGGAAGCCAGGCATCTGTGTTCTTGGCAGGTTCCCTCGGAGGGTCCTGATCAGATTCCGGGGCCTTACGGGGAGAAGCTTTGTGGTCAGTGTCTGTGGAAGGGGTGCATGGACGGCAGCTGGGCTCTCCGCAGAGGGGATGGACAACTGTGGGCTCTTGGCTAGGCCACAGGGCCAGCTGCAGAGTGGACAGTGCCTGGGTGCTGATGGACGCCAGGCCAGGGCAAAAGCAGAGGGAGCGTGAGGACAGAGTGGGGGCCCCTGGGGTGGGAGACGGGGAGTAAGAGCAGAGCCCAAAGTGAGACACGCAAAGGAGAGAGCAGGGAGGTGTCAGGACGAGGACACCGGAGGGGTTTCTCTGAGTCTCTGGGGGCCCTCCAGAGGCCCCTGCCCTTCGGCCACCTCCACCGCCTCCCTGGCCCACAGCAGCGGCTGAGGAGAGCGCAGGGGCTGCTGCTCTGGCCAGGGAGGCTGCAGACCAGACAGTGTGGCTCTGTAGCTTGCCAGGGATGAAATTCATTCTCACCCAGCCACCACAGCGGGGCAAACACAGCCAGCCAAGGGCACAGAGTCCCCGCGCCTGCCAGCATGCCGTTTCCTCCCGGGACTCCTGAGAAGGGCCAGTTCCCATCAGCAGAAGCCAAGGACTCCAGCAAGCCAGGCTCACCCTGTCCTGCTGTCCAGCTCAGGGGCCGGCCAGCCAGCCCAGTCCGTACGAGGCCAGACAGCACCTGGGCTAGTCTCTCCGGGCCACACAGCCTCTGCTGCAACTCCTCAGTGATGCGGTAGGGCGAGCACAGCCGGAGACAATATGTGAGTGAGGGGGTGTGGCCAGGTTCCAATAAAACTTTATTTACATAGAGAAGCAGCGGGCCAGATTTGGCCCAAAGGCTGAATTGTGCGTATCCCTGGTCTAGCTGACCATGGGGACCCTAGGCCTGCCCAACTGGAGACGTGGAAGAGGGGTGAGGGCAGCCAAGGAAACCCAGTTCCCAGCCCAAGCAGCTCAGGCGAGGTTCTCCCCTGCCCCCGCAGTGTGTGGGGCTGCCAGGCCTCTGGGGTCACTGTCCCTGGGAATGGGGACCCTCCCAACCAGGGGCTCTTCCTCTGGTGTAGGCCCCGGGAGGCTGGTCCAGAGAAGCCATGGTTGGTGCCTGGGTGGATGAAGAATGGAGGACTGGGGTGGCCACCATGGAACCCCCAAACCTGAGTCCTGGACAGCAGAGGCTGAAGGACAGTTTCTCTCTGGGTGACCTCTCTTGGATGCCAGATCTCTCTGCATCCAAGACCCCCAGAAAGTTCAGAGCGTAGCAAATGAGGCGGGCGCATCCTCCTTCCCAAGACCTTTTCCCCGTCACCCCCAAGTGTGTCAGTCCCCAGAACAACAGCCAGATTGGACTCAGGCACCAGGGGATGGCTAGGCCTGGCCGAGGGACGAGGCCGCTGAATGATGCCCACCTGGAGGGGCCAGGGAGGTTCTGCACTTGGGGCCTCCCCGAGAGGCCCTGCTGCTACGCACCTGGGAGGCAGCGATGCTGAATTGGCACCAAGGCTTTGGCCTGACACCCGAGCCCCGTGGCAGTCAGAGAGGAGAGGTGCGGGTGGGAACAGCTCTACCCCCAGCCACCATCGGGAGGGGAGTGCGTCTGGGGTGCCTCCAACCTGGGGGTGCAGGGGTGGGCTGCCTCCTGCCAGGCTGTGGCACTCTTGGGGACTCCCACCACCCACCCTCCAGTCCTTGCCTCCCCCGTCTTGGAGGTGCTGGCACCTCCATTCTCTTGCCCACCCTGGTCAGAGAGTTGGTCGTTCTCATCTCCGTGCCCCTAAGGGACAGGGTCCTTCTCCCCACCCACTTCGTCTTCACCCTGAGACCCCCCTGCCCCCAGCTGTGGCCCTCCGGGCTGCACCACCTCTGCCGTACAGCATTACCATTTCATAATACTCTGAAATATACATGAAGTCGGCTGAATGCAGACAAAATTGCACCATTTACTGCATGAATATTTCATGCTGGCTCCGCTCCGAGGTATCCGTCTGATGGAGCTGGGAGCCTGCCGCCCCGGACCTCCCTGCCCACTGGCTTCCTGCCCGAGAGCGGGCAGTGCCCAGCTCCACTGTTGAGTTGGGGTTGCCCGAGGAGCGGGGAGGGGAAAGTGTTGAGGAGTCTGAGTGATTGCTGGGGGTACTGTCAAGGCTTGGGGGTGTGGGGCGGGTTCTGAGCAGCGCCCTGGCAGCCACACCCCCACCTTGTGGGCTCTGTGTTCACAATAAAACCTCACCAAGGCACAGAGCCCCGGGCGGGGAGGGACGCGGCACTAGCTGGCCACTTCAACATAGTACTTAGGCGGGAGCTGCTGCTGCCCCGGGAACCGCTGGGCCGAGCTCACGTGCCGTGGCAGGGAGGCCGCCATTCACGGCTGCCCACTGCCCCCTCCCCCACCCACCCTTTGGATGCCTGGCACGGCTGCCACCCCTTCCTCAGACGCCGAGGCTGGGCTGCCAGCGCCACCTGACGAGGGCTGAGGTGTCCTGGGAGGCGCAGGACCCCGGGGCCTGTGGAAGAGCAGGGAGGGAGGTGGGGATGTCCTGCCCACCTGTGCATGTGCACCTGTGCAGGTGCCTGGGAGGGTTCGCACTTGCTCAGTAGAGGGTTTGGGGGAGGCCCAGACTCCTCAGTGGCACCTCCTGCCCACAGCCTCCCCTTCCTCAGAGAAGCAGGAACCAGCCAACGGGGCAGGGGCCAGCAGCTCCAAGGCCTGAGGTCTTTGGTGCGGCTGATCTGAACCCACGCCAGTCTCCCGGCCACGTGGGGACCGGGCAGGGCGAGACCCAGCCAAATACTGGCTCGTCCTGGCTCATGCCCGGCTGGGCAGCCAGCCAGCGTCCTTCATTCTGTCTGCCCTCAGCCAGACCTCTCCAGTCAGGTTCTGAGCCCTTCAGCACAGGCGCCCGACTTCCTCCCTCCATCCACCCTTCCCCACTCGTCCACTTAGGCACTCACTCCTTTATTGAACACCTGCTATGTGCCGGGCATCGTGACAGCACCTCGGTGCAGCAGAGAAAGAGAGATGAGGTCTTGGTCCTCACAGGCTCACAGTCTGCGGGGTCCCCGAGACAGAGGGCTAACAGCAGAACCCACTTCAGGCAGGGTGGCCAGGGAGGACATCTCTGAAGGGGCAGCTTTGAAACAGAAGGAGCTGGGCAAGGAAAGACTGAGGGAACAGCATTGTGGGTACAGGGAAGGGCATGTACGAGGGCCCTGAGGCCATGGAGCTTAGCGTGTTCGAAGAACTGAACACAGACTCTGGTGGCTGGAGCCAGCCAGGTGGGGCGGGACTGGACAGGGAGGGAGGGAGGGAGGGGACCAGCAGAGCCTTGGGGGCCGGGGTCAGGAGGGTACATTTCTTCAGAGTGAAGGGAAATCATTAGAGGTTTCAGGCAGCAGAGAGGCACGGTCCAGTGTGTGCTGTTTTAACCATCTCCCTGGCTGCCGTGGGAGCCGGACTGGGCCCGCCCCTCCCATCCCCTCAAGACAGTAGGGTCTGCGGTTGTCACTTGAGGGTGGAATGGATCATGGGGGCTGGAGACCACCATGGGCAGCCGGGGCTCAGGCCTGTGTGGGCATGTGGCAGGAGAGGGCTGCAACCACAGGTGCCAAATATCAACATCCATGGTCCCAGCCGGGTAGAAAGCCCATTGCCAAAGGTGGGAGGAGGAGGTGGGAAGTCAGGTGCCCAGGTGCAGGTGGTGGGATTGGTTACACGTGATTCTTTCCTGGTTTCTTTTCCTGTGTGTATAATGTCCGTGCAGCAAGTAAGGATTGGGAGGAAGGAAAAAGAAAAAGCCGGATGGGAAATCTGGGAGCTTGGTGTTCTCAGTGCTGTGTGTCCTTGGGCAAGCCCTTTAGCCTCTCTGGGCTCTGATAAACGGGAAGCCTGGCCCACCCTGGTTCCCAGGGCCCTGTCAGCTTTAGCCACTCCTGTCATTCTGAAGTCCCCAGCCCTGACACCGAGGCTTAGCTGGGCTCACACCTGTTATCACCCCACCAGCCCCAAAAATGGGCTTCTCGTGGAGAGAATTTTCTAGTAGAGGGAATTTGGAAATTCTCTCAATGAGGCATGAAGTTCCTTCAGCACCTTCTAGAAGGCCTGTGCTGTTTACCTCCCTGGCCACACCCTCTGCACATCTTGGCCAGCACAGGGTGCAGGGAAATGGGGTGATCACAGGTGGTCGTTGCCTGCTGTGTCCGCCACCCACCCCCAGCCAAGGATCTGGGGGTCAGCAGTTCTGCAAAATGGGAGGGACCCCAGAACAGGGCCAAGGGTCGGGGGCAGACACAGCTGGACCAGGGTGAGGCAGGAAAAGTGAGCTGCTCAGTTGGTGAGGGGCAGGACGGGGACAGAGGAAATAGGGCAGCCCCAGCGGGCAGATGTCCTGCCCTGCACTTAGGGAGTAGGGTGGGGCGGGGTATCTGGACAGCGGGCCCACCCGACCGCAGCCACCTCCAGACCTCCCCTGCCTCACCAGAGAAGGGCTGGAAACACCCCCAGCACAGGAGTGCTGGCAGCCTGTAAACACCCGCAAGAAAGCAATGGGCAATGCGGCGAAGTCCCGGAGGCCGGCGCCGTGTTCCTGGTGTGGGAGGATGGGGCAAGTCTGGCACCTGTGCCCAAGCCACTCTGCCTCTCGGCCCTGTCTTCGCCTCTGGCCCTGCCTCCTTTGTTATGTGGATACTGCTTCGGTGCCCCCCACAGCTGTGTCTGCCCTGCTCTGGCCCTCTCGCTGGCTGTGACATTGTTCTTTCCCTCTCTTTCCCCTTTTCCGTCTCCTTCTGGGGACCCTCCACCTCTCCCAGCTCCCAGAGTCTCTGCTCGCCTGTGCAGCTTACAGACTTGCACAGAGGGTTCAGGGCGCTTGTGGGGCGTTAAGCGGGGTGAAGAAGCTCACAGAATGAGTGCCCTCATCCCAAGTTCGGGGTGACCCCCGGCCCAGCTGGAAAGGGATACCCCCCCACCCTAGTCCCCCCTAAGGAGGTTGCTTCCTTGCCTCGGCTGCGGCCCGCACTGCTCCTATGACTCTCTGGGCCTCGGCTGGCACAGTGCTTTGATTTCTCTGGAAGGCAGTGTCCACGTTTGCTGACCCGAAGCAGCCGCCTCTCAGCTTCACTGAGGATGGGCTGGGGGAGGTGCCCCGAAGTCTCGCCCCGGGGGTGGCCAGGCCCCAGGTGCTAGAGAGCAGCTGGGCTTGGACATGGCTTGAGACCCTGCAGGGACAGAGCCCTCTGGGGCTCCCCAACCCTGGCCCCTCTCCTGGGACCCCACTCGCCCACTTATGCACAGTCTCAGGCTCCCAGTTGAGACTGGCTCTAGTCCATCAGGTATTGGGACTGGTGGGTGGGGGGAGCCCTGAGGCCTCCCAGCCTCCCATCACCCCTCCTGCTTCCCCATTTCTTAGCGTTCTCCCCTGCGGGACAGGGGGCCTTGGGGATGGGGGATGTGGGAGCTCCCCCTGCACCTCCCATCCGCGCCTCCCTCTGTAGGTCCCCTCCCATCCTCGCCTCCCCTCCTCCCCCTGCAGGTCCCCTCCCATCGCCTCCCCTCCTCCCCCTGCAGGTCCCCTCCCACCCTCGCCTCCCCTCCTCCCCCTGCAGGTCCCCTCCCATCGCCTCCCCTCCTCCCCTTGCAGGTCCCCTCCCATCCTCGCCTCCCCTCCTCCCCCTGCAGGTCCCCTCCCATCGCCTCCCCTCCTCCCCCTGCAGGTCCCCTCCCATCGCCTCCCCTCCTCCCCCTGCAGGTCCCCTCCCACCCTCGCCTCCCCTCCTCCCCCTGCAGGTCCCCTCCCATTGCCTCCCCTCCTCCCCCTGCAGGTCCCCTCCCATCCTCGCCTCCCCTCCTCCCCCTGCAGGTCCCCTCCCATCGCCTCCCCTCCTCCCCCTGCAGGTCCCCTCCCATCGCCTCCCCTCCTCCCCCTGCAGGTCCCCTCCCATCCTCACCTCCCCTCCTCCCCCTGCAGGTCCCCTCCCATCCTCGCCTCCCCTCCTCCCCCTGCAGGTCCCCTCCCAGCCCCGTGCCTTTGCTCTCTGCCGGGAAGCCCCTTCCCCTCCTTCCCGTGACACCGAACGTGTCTGGACCCAGAGCCGTCGGGACCACGCGTCCCGTGGGGCAGCTGACCCAGGGTCCCTTCAGCCCCGGCACTGGATTTCGCTTCTCCCCCTGGACTGTGTGTCTTTTTCTTCTCTTGTGTTCCCCTCAGCCCTCCCAGGGCAGGGGGTGGTCAGCACGCAGGGTCTGATGCCGGCTTTGTTGCTTGCCCCGAGTAGGGGGAGCAGCGCGAGGATCAAACCCAGAATCTGCGCCAAGAGCTGCATTTATTGTGGTTCTGAGAGTCCAGGGCCCAGCATGGTGGAGGGATGTGTGTGTGCTGAGCACTTGCGGAGCGTGGACTGGGGAGGTGGCCTTGCCCTGGTGAGAGCCGCACAGCAGCGGGGCGGCCACCAGCACTGCCCAGCCCTCTGTGGCAGGCAGCAAGCCAGGCTCGTTGCCCAACTGAGGCTCCCTCGCAGGCGGCGCTAGGCATGAGCAAGCCCTCGTCCTCCCATTGCGCACACGGGGACACTGAGGCTCGAGCTGAGGTGACCCCCCTGAGGCCCCATGGCCAGTCAGAGGCACCCTGTGGCCTCTGCAGTTCCCTGCCCCCCTCTTTTCTCGGAAGTGCCCATCCCTACCTGCCTCTTCTCTGGCTAAGAATGTGGGGCAGGTGTGGGGTTGCTGGGGAAAGGAGGAGATGGGAGGTGAATCTGTTGCCCCTGCCCCTGGCAGGCCTGGCCTTGCCCCCAGAGGTGGTCAGGTATCCCCTACTTCAGTGACAGCTCTGGTGGCCCTGCACCTCCCATTGTCTCCCCTGGTTCTCAAAGAAGTTGAGCCAGCGCGGCCACCTGTAGAGTGTCCGGCAGTTCAGCTGCCTCCTATCTTGAGTGATGGGCAGGCGGGACCAGGGTGAGGTTGAGGCACTGAAGGAACCTCCTGGGCTGGGGAACAGGGTATGGGGGTTGCGGATGGAGCTGAGTTAGGGGGTTGGCCGCCTGCAGAGCCCAGAGAACGGCCAGGCCTCTACTGTCTGCGTGTCCCAGGCCCACAGCAGCCACTCTGCCCCTTGACCCAGAGCGTCCTACCCAAGCAGAGTGGCCTGGGCCCCAGCCAGGACCCCCCACGAGGCTTTGTGCCTTGAGGGCCTCAGTCTCCTGGGACGTGGCTGCTGCTCTAGGTCGTGGCCCACAGCTGCCGCCCACCGCTGCCCACCACCCTCTTGTCCTGACCTCAAGGGCAGCTCCTGGTTGCCCCTCCCCTGTGGATACCTGAGAGTCCCTCCTTGTCTGCCTCCAACTAGATCCACCCCAAACCCCCACCCTCAACCCCCATCCCCATCCCCCACCCCCACCCCCCACCCTCAACCCCCATCCCCATCCCCCACCCCCACCCCCATCCCCATCCCCACCCTCAGCCCCCATCCCCATCCCCACCCTGGCACTTAGCCTGAGTCCTCAGCGCAGCCACTGTCACTGCTTATTATAACACCTGTCCCCCTCCTGTCTCCAGGCCCCAGAGGAGGAGGCTGGCAGCCATCTCTGTCCCCTCACCCTGGCACTCAGAGATGCTCAGTGGAAGCTCAGCTCATGGCGATGCCCAGCAGCCGCCCTGCCCTGTCCTCCCAGGACCTGCAGGTCCGTTTACTGACCCCACTCGACATCCCAGGGTCTTGGGTCCGACAAAGTGAGAGAAGGCCTGAGCGGGCGGGCATGAGCCCCTAGGCCACCCCCAACCTTCTGCAGTGTGTGGGGACGGTCCAGCTGGCGGGGAAGGCAGTGGTCAAGCAGTCCCGAAGGAGGAATCGTCCACGGACCCCCCCAGGCACACTTCCCACTGCCCCACCCACTTCACAGCCTGAAGCTCCTCCCCACAGCCCACCAAAGTCCTTCTCACTGAGGCCAGGTCCACTCTCGTGTCCAGCCCTGCTCCTCCCCCAGGACAGCAATGCCCGTGTTCCAATCCAACGAGTGGGGAGAGCCACCAGGAGGGGCCGGGGCTGGGCCTGAGCCAAGCCCCCCTTTGTCCTCCCCCGTGCCCCCACTCCCCCCACTGCCTGCATCTGGGCTCCCCGTGGCTGCACCGGGCCAGGGAGGGGTCCCGAGATGCTGCCTCCCACGCTCTACTAAGCCCCAGATGGATGCCCTGCCACCTTCCCAGGCCTTTGCTAATTTGGAAACACCATCCCTGGTGTAACCCCGGCAATAATAGCACAGACGTCGCATTTTCCTGGCAGGCAGCGGGGGTCCCAGCCTGGGTGCTGCGGGAGCCTCCATGCCCTGGAGGATCTCCTTGTGCTTCTTAAGCTTTAGAGTGCGCTGTTCGTCAGTGGTGGGAGCTGCAGGCTGAGTGTTTGAATCCCACCCAGTCCAAGCCCAGAACAGCATGAGGGTTTTATGGTTAGCGTTTCTTGAATGAATTATTCCAGCCCCTTGAAGTTCCTGGAGAAAGCCCCAGGCTGTCCCCCTCCATCCCCCATGACCTTACAAACTCAGGACCTGATCAGTGCCAGCGAGGGTGGTCTCAGCCTTTCCCATCCTCTGGGGACTTTGGCCTTAGCCTACCCCAGCCAGGCCCGCAGAGGCCCTCGGAGGCTGCAGGGAGCCCCGGCGGGGTCGGCCTCCCTCCCCTGCGTCCTCAGACTCTGTGGCCTGTGCTTCTGGGATAGAGTCGCCCAACTCTCATCACTTCCAGGAAGCAACTGCCTCATGTCGGGCACTGAGATTAGATCTTGGTCTTAGTTTATTCTCAACAACCTGTAAGGTGGCCCCAACTACTGTTAGCCTCAGTTGAAGACTAGGAAGCGGATACCCAGAGAAGTTCAGTGGCCTTCGGGAGGCACTCAGTGGCCGGGGACAGAGGCAGGATTGGAACCATGGTCTGGGGGGGTGTGGGGTGCTTCTCCCTCCTCCTGTGGCTCAAACCTGGGTTTGGCTTCAGGCTGTGGCATGAGCCCTGCCCCTTCCACCCCCCAACTTCTGTCACCCAGGCCCCAGCAGTGGGGCACAGGGCATGTTTGAGCTTCTAGAAACATCTAGACTTGGACCCGCCCCAAGCCAGGAAAGAGTTTCTGAGTGAGGCCTGCAGGAGGCAGCCGAGAGGCTTGGGAAGGGACCTTGGGAGGCTGGAGAAGGGACTGTGGGTGGGAAACGGGACCCCAGTCCTCCAACCAGAATGGAGACTCCAGGCACAGAACACAGCTGCAAGGAGTGTTAGCCATGACCGCTCCCAAAACCTAGAGAGGCTACCGTGTTCCTGTCTGCCAGACACCTGTCTCTGGGTCTTTAGGGCCGCACGCACCCTGGGGTCCCACGGTGAGGAAATCTTGGTCACAGGCCAGAGCCTGGCCCTGTACATCCGCCCTCCCCCCGGGGCCCCACGGCAGCGGCGGCTCTGGATGGATGGTGCAGCATTTTGGGTAATGAAATATTCACAGGTCAGTGATTCCTTGAGAAATGATGGGGATCAGTCAATTCCTTTTCAGGGAGTAATTTTCTTCCCCTTCACAGCCTCTGTTTCATGTTGACAGTCATTAGCATGAGAGAGAGGCTGGATCGAAGGCGCTTGGCAAAGCTTGCACCAGCTACTGCCTCGTCGCCCACCGGCAGCCCTGGCCAGGTACTGGGCACCAGGGGCGCAGAGCCTGCCTGGACACACTTGTGGGTGGCGGACAAGGCCCTTGGCCAGCCCAGAACCAGGGGTGTGCAAGGCTGATTGGGCTCCACGTGCTCTGCCTTTTGGGGTCTTGCCAACTACCTGCTTTGGGCTTTGCCAAGGGCAGGGGACAGCCATGGCCCCCAGGATCCTCTTACCAGAAGGTGAGCCCCCCCCCTCCCCAATGAGATCCTCCCGATCTCTGGACCAGGGCCTGCCTCTCAGGGCAGCAGGGAACTCCCCAGGCCTCTTCTGGCGCACAGCATGGGCCAGGCTCCGGAGGGGTTGGGGGAAGGCTGGCGGCCTCACTGCCTTTACAGCCTCTTCCAGGCTTTGGGCTCAAACCCCAACTCTGATGTTCCCTAGTTAATTATCTTCTCTACATCTGGGTTTCTGCTTCTGTAAAATGGGCTGCGTAGGGCTGGTGAACTGAAGCTGTCCTCCCGGCCACCTGCAGAGGTGGGCACTGAATGGATTTCCTGCCTCCTCCAGAAGGCCAGACATGGCCAGCGCCTCCTGTGACCACAGTGTCCTCCTGACTTGGGCCGTGCCATCTCTGAGGACGACACGGACGGGAGGGCAAGGGAGCAGCCTTGGAATTGGAGGGTCCTGGCTCTGGTGTCCAGACAGCAGCACAGCAGGCTGGGAACCTGGCACCGGGGGCTGACCCCGGGACACCCGGAGGCTGGTGCAGTTTCTTATTTTGTCCCCTGTTCCCTGTAAGATCCAAAGTAAAGGATCTCACCCCTGGGTGTGTCCAGGAGGCAGGCAGGGGGCCCGTTTTGATCATGTTTTGCTAAAGCCAAAGGGGGCAGCCAAGGAGCTGCCAGACACCCTGCCCAGGGGCTCACAGCAGGGGCACCCGCCCTCCTCAGGCCTCTGCCCCCTCCTCATGGTGAGGTTGAGCCTGCAGAGAGGAGACCCACCATCTTCCCCAGCTTCTGCAGGACCTCCCAGCAGCAGACCCACGTGACCAGCAGGCTGCAGGCCCAGGCCCCCATGGAGAAGCTTTTCTGGGCCCTGGGCAGGCACCAGCTCTGCTCCAGAGCCAGGTGGGGCTGGACTCGCAGATGGCAGCTGGTCACACACAGACCAGCCCCTCAGCTGCTCCCCAGTGAGGCACAAGGCTTGTCTGGCTGCTTTGCACACACCTGGGAACCGACTGGCTTTGCCTGGAACCAGGATGGCATGTAGGGTTCTTCCAGGCCCTTAACATTGAACCTGACAATTCAGAGAGGGAAAGAACAGGGCTAAGACTAAACCCAGGTCTTGAGTTCAAGTCCAAGCAACACCCATTTAGGATGGAGTCACGTACCCTCTTGCAGACTCGGTCTAATGCAGTGGTGAAACGGGGGCCTGCCGGCCCCTGGGGAAGCTCTCCCTCCTGTCATTTGGCCCAGGGCACTACTGCCAGGCTGGGTCAGACTCTGATGGGCGTCTGTAGGAGGTGGAGCAGCATCTCTGGCCTCCCTGCATTCGATGCTAGGGACACCCCACGTTGTGACAACCTACGTCAGGGGTCTTCAACCCCTCCATGGCTTGGTGGGAACTGGGGCGCACAGCAGGAGGTGAGCAGCGGGCAGAGGAGTGAAGCTTCGTCTGTATTCATATCCGCTCTTCATCGCTGCCGTGACCACCTGAGCTCCACCTCCTGTCAGATCAGCAGCGGCATTAGATTCTCAAAGGGGCACAGTTCACGTGTGAACTGCACGTGCAAGGGATCCAGGTTGCATGCTCTTTATGAGAATCTAATGCCTGATGATCTGAAGTGGAACAGTTTCATTCCAAAACCATCCCTCCCCAACCACCCCCCTGCCCCCGGCGGCCTTTGGAAAAATTGTCTTCCATGAAACCAGTCCCTGGTACCAAAAAGGTTGGAGACGCTGACCTACCCTGTCCCCAGCAGTCATCAAATGTCCCCTGCAGGGCACCGTCGCCCGGCTGAGAGCCCCCGTGTGGGCCGCATGGATCCACGTGTCAGTGGGTCCAGGTGCTGAGTGGGAACTATGCACTCACTTTGCCGAACGCCTTGCCTGTGGTGGTGGCAGAAAAAACACAACCACAGAGCGGCGAATGCCCCATTTCCTCCCTGCTGCCACCACATGCGGGGCCAGTGCTCAGCAGGCCTCTGCGCCCCCAGAAGGAAGGCCAGGGCGGTGGGGCGGGGCCCCCTCTCAGAGCCGACTGGGCTGGCCTGTGGGCTGGCTCCGGAGAACACGGAGAGCAGGTGCTTCCCAAACTCGGTTGCACATTGGAATCACCACAGGAGCCTTTAAAGTCCCTGTGGCCAGACTTCGCCCCAGGCCAGTGGCCTCAGACCCTCTCCAGGGAGGGCACCCAGGCACCAGTATGTTTTAAAGCTTCCAAGGCAATTTCAGGGTGCGGCCACGTTTCAGAACCGCCACGCACATCGGGAACTTATTTGAAATACACTCAGCCCATCCCATACCACTGAGTCAGAATCTCTGCAAGACCCCAGGAGACGCAGGTGCACACTCGGATAGGACGTGCGCAGGCTCCTGTGTTGGGGGTCCTGGCTGAGCTCGATGATGGGACAGAATCTGTGCCCAAACTCGGGCTCTGGGCTTCCTGAGCTGTTTTTCTGGGCAGTTTCTCAGTTTCCCCTGATCTCCTAGGACAGGCAGCGACTAAGGACCCCGCACACCCTGTCCCGCCCCCACCTTGCTGCGATTCAGTGCCAGTCCCTGCTGAGAGCCTCGAGGCATCATTGTGGATTCTCCTTCCCTGGCTCAGGTGGGAACCAGCGTGTGGGAGCACAGGTGCGCTCGTCTCCTTTGGACTCGGAACCTGGTGACAGCTCGGAGGTGGGTAGGCAGCGGCCCGTCTGCCCCTTTTGTGGGCCAGGAGACATCTGTGAAGGGAGGGCGTTTGCCTCGGGCCCTCAGCTCTGACACATCTACACTTCAGGCTGGTCTTTGGCACCTGAGCTCTGCCTTCCTGTGCCCGAGTGGGGGGCACCTAGTCCTCAGTTTAGGACTAGGAAACAGAAACCCAGAGAGGTTCATTGGCCTTCAGGAGGCACTCGGCGTTCGGGGACATAGGCAGGATTGGAACCGTGGTCCCAGGGCCGGGAGAGGGGTGCTTCTTCCTCCTCCTGTGGCTCAACCCTGGGCTTGGCTTCAGGTCTGCGGCATGAGCCCTGCCCCCTCCACCCACCAACTCCTCTCACCCAGGCCCCAGCAGTGGGGCGCAGAGCATGCTTGAGCTTCTAGAAACATCTAGACTTGGACCTGCCCCACACCAGGAAAGAGCTTCTGAGTGAGGCCTGCAGGAGGCAGCTAGGAGGCTTGGGGAGGGACCTTGGGAAGCTGGGGGTCATGTGACGCCTCTGTGGTAGGCGTCTCCCGCCTACTCTGCCCACCCCACCCTCCGTGGCCGTCCTGCAAAATCTTGGCACATTTTTAAACAAGGCAGCCATGGGGCGGGGGTAGAGCGGGACAATTCTTCAGGCCTCACGGATCCTGCCTCGAGAGCAGGCCCATTGGCCACCCACTGATGCCAGGACGGCTTGGAGGGCCTGGCCTGGCTCAGAGGCAGGGGGAGGCAGGCCCCCCTCTCTGGCCAGGTCAGCGCATCCCTCCACCCACACACGACATCCTCTGCAGGGAGATCTCTGGACCCCTCGATGCCAGTGCCGGGCCTGTGGCTTAGATGTGTCCTCCTCTGGAGGGTGTCACGGGCAGAGCTGGGCACGGGGGCCTGTTACCATCCAGGCACCGGCCAAGCAGGTCTGTCCCCCTTCGTGGCCACCCTTCAGTGGAAGGATGGGGGTGTCCGTCCTGGCCTGCAGTTAAATAGGAACAGGGGTGGCCGTGAAGAGCACCCTCCACTGGGGTGTCCTGGCTTGAGCCCAGGCACTGCAGGTCGGGGGTCCTCACCGACTGAAAATGGAGGGGGTCTTCATGAGTCAGTGCTTCCTGCAGGAGGGGCTCCGAGGGCACCACCCACCTTCCAACCCAAAACATGCCCAGCCTCAGATGCAGAGTGGCTTCCAGGTGTGGGGGCCTGTGCTGGAGGACGACGGTCCCCTACCCCGTTCCTGTCCCTAGGGAGCTCCTGCACGTGGCGTTGGTGCCGAGCGAAGGGGGTCACCTGTGGCCAGAGCAGAGGTGTCCCTGGTGGGGAGAACCCCGATTCTGGTGGCCAAGGCCCAGCCTCATCAAGGAACTGCTCTGCACAGGGTAGTGGCGAGCCTGGGAGGAGACCCCCACGCTGTGGGTGGGTTGGCTTCTGAGCTGTGGGGGCAGCAGGGAGTGGAGGAAAAGAGGGTCAGAGGTGGAGCTGGCTTGGAGAAGGAGAAATGCCTGAGATGGATTTATAGAACCCCCCCCCACCCCCCGCTCCACCAACAAGGACAGCACCATCCACAGAACTGTCCCCAGAATATCCAGGTCCCCCAGGAACAGGCTTGGGGAACTCTCCAGGGGGCCTGTAAGGACAGAGGCAGGGTGGGCAGAGAACGGGGTGGACTCGGGCGAGCTGGCACAGCCAAGATCCGGTCAGTGCTAGTCGCCACGGTCAGATGCAAGGCTGCCCAAAACACAGACACAGGGACCCCCCTTCTTGTGGGGTCCAAGGTATGGCAGGCAGGTGGTCCCACCCTTCTTACTGTTAGCCCAGCCCTTGCAGCCTGCTGTGAGTCCCCTTTACAGATGGGAAGCAGATGTGCAGGGACCAGCATCCTTCACACAGCAGCCCACCGTGCACCAGGATGTCCCTGTCCTGGGCCTCCCTCTTCGTCTTCTAGTCCTGGGACCTGGACTCAGTGGGATGCCAGGCAGGGCCACGTGCATGGGTGGGAGGCCGTGGTCTTCAGGGTTATGGGGGGCATTACTCCCAGGGGCCTGGTTCTCCCCCCATCCTTGAACATGGCTCTTGGTAGAAAAGTCTCTTGGGAACCAGAGGACCTTGGGGGCTGTGTCCCTGCCCCTGTGCCTAGAAGCCCAGACCCATCTTTCAACAACTTCGTAAGAGCCCCAGACTGGGTCAAGAAGCAGCAGCCCTCGGCCTGTTCAGAGGAGCCCAGGTGCACCCCCGGCACCCCCCAGCTGGCCAGCCAGTCTACGTGGAGAAGACAGACTCTCCACCATCCAGCCCCTCCCCACCTCCACACACCCACGAGTGGCCTCCCGCCACCGTGCCCCGCTGGCGGAGTTTAGTTGCAGCGTTGCAGCCCCAGTAGGGGCAGATCTGCTGGCCTGGTGAGTCCTGCTGGGGTCAGCAGGCTGGGGAGGGCTCGTCAAGGAGAAGGGGCGGCTTAGGATGGAAATTCCATTAGTGCTCAGCCGTGGGCAACAGGGTCTGTTTGAAGAATACATTCAATTAAAAATTGATTTTTCAGTTTAATCTCAATCATAATGAACCATGTTCAGACCCCTCCTGCCTCTCCAACGGGGCTGCTCCCACCCCTGGAGGCTCCGCAGCCACCTCCCCATCCCCAGAGGCAGGTAATACAGTCGGGCCAGAGGCCGGGGACCGGGAGGGAATAATTACAGACAAGGCACACAGGGAGTTTTGTGAAATGAAAGTGTCACGGTGGTAAATCGTCTTTTTATTTACTGCAAGGTTGTGTTTTCGGTGTGGCTCCAGTTAAAAGCTGCGATATTTAATTTCCCTTCATCCAGACGGTGTTTCAAAGCATCGTAAAAGGATAGCAGCACCAACCTTTTCCCTCCCTTCCCACAAACTCAGAGGCAGCGGGCAAGGATCCCGTCCTGGGCCCCGCCCCGTCTCCTCCTCTTTCTCAGGGTTTCTTTGCTTTCCTACCTGTGTGCGTCCCTTTCTTCCTGTGAGGTCAGGTAGGGGAGGCCAGGCTGGCTCTCCAGAGCTCCCTTGGGGTGCCCAGGCAGCAGGGTTCTTATAGATAACGCTCACTTTCGGCATCACTGTCTGTTTTGCTTGCGACCGGGGGGCACTGTGTCGTCCGCTCACCTGTGTTAACAGCTTTAGTCCTCACACAGCCTGCCCAGGGAGGCTGTCTTATGCCTGCTTTACAGATGAGGAAACAGGACCCCCAGGGAGGTGAAGGACTTACCGAGGGACCCCCAACTTCTCAGGACTCAAGCTCTAGCCTGCCCGACCCAGGCACATTGCCAAGGGGCTGTGGCTTTCTGTAAGTGTTTGGACATCAGGAGACCCAGCCCCACCCCAACCACCTGACCCTCCCCTGCTGATGTGCTGTGTAACCTCAGGCCCCATGCTGACCCCCTCTGAGCCACTATAAGAAGAGAAATTTAACACTGGCTTCTTGTGATAGAACTGAGATTTCAGAATCAGATGCCCAGAAGAGACCCTCCCGGAGCCCTAGGCAGGGCCTCTGCCTTCTGCCTGTGTGAACTCTGTAGCCTTCCCTGCTCTCTGGGTAACTCCCAGCAGCAAAGGGGGCTCCTGGCTGGCCCCCAACAGTGTCCTGCTCATAAGCATTCCTGCCCCAACCCCAGCTCCTGAGTCCAATCACACTAATCTTAGGTTCAGCCCTCTCGCTTATTGCAGAAAGACCAGTCTTTTGACCCCTCCCAATTCTGTCCCCAGCCACAGTGCTCATCAGTCCAGGAGCTCTCAGGCCTCCGTTCTGCCTGTATCGACAGCCGCGTGAGCCACGGTGCATCCCCGTTTACCAGGCAGCTGCCACCCTGCTGGGCCCTGGGCTTCCCCTGCACTCTCCAAGTATAGAGCTTTGTCCCCAGAGAGTGCTCAGGAAATCCCAGGACCATCCCTGCGAAGCCACCCGGGCTGCCTCTGTCACCCAGCAAGGGTCTTCAGCATTGGTAGGAGAGGACCTCTGTGAGCACAGCCAGGTGTCCTTTCAAGGGACCAACCCCAGCCCTCAGCATGGCATCTGGCTCCGTTTCCCAAATATCTCTACTTCTGATAGGTCTTTGGCAAAAAAAAGAATTCCGGGTGGAGAAGTGTGAGGGATGGATGGCATGCCCAGCACAGTTAAACCTGTCTCTCCACTGCGGAACTTCTCCGGGCCTTTTCTAGACAGCATGGTGGCATTTTCCCCAAGAAGTTTGGCCATGGAGCACTTTTCTAGAACATGCTAGGAGACTAAAGCTCTGTGGCACACGCCTGGGTTGGTCTGTCATGCTGTGCTTCCGAGCTGTGGGACTGTAGGTTGTCCTTCTCTCTCTTTGAGCCTCAGTTTCCCTGTCTGCAAAACCAGGGACTGTCACCGCCTGGGCCATCGTGAGCTTTACAGCTAATGTGGGTGCCGGTGCCAGCCTGCAGCAGGTGCTTGGCACACGCTGTGTCTGGCCCACACATGCACCTGGAGACAGGTGTGTGATTGGTGCCCAGGAGGCAGTGGCATCTCAGCTCAGAGGCTGGGTGTGGCATCATACAGGGTTCACCCTCCAGGGCCAGGGCTGGAGATACAGAAATGGGGCTCAGAGTGGAGAGATGGAAATGGCCCTGGGCTCAGAGATGAGCTGAGCTGTTATACTTGAGCTGCGTGACTTGCCCATAGCCACTAAGCTCTCGCAGCCTCAGTTTCCTCACCTGTACAATGGAGATCACAGCACATTCCCCTCAGGTATGGTGAAGACTCTGCCAAGGGCTGCGCAGGAAGAGTCTGGTCAATGACATGCGAGGCTGTCATTGCTGGGCGGGAGAGCTACCCATGGAGATGCCAGAACCCTCTTGGGGAAGCCACAGGGCGGGGTGGCCTGGCAGGGCCGCGGGACCAGGAGAGATGGGCCTGGGAGTGAGACAGAGCTGGACACCAGGCCTGGCCCTGCCCCTTTTACCTGCAGGGAAAGCCTGAGACTTATTTGGCTTCTCTCGGCGTCAGTTTTCCCATCAGTAACATGGGGATAGTGACACCCACGTCGTCTGGCTGGGATGAAGTCAGCAAGACGTCCTCCCCGGGCACACACGGTGGTTCTGCCCCTCCGGCATCGTCAGTGCAGAGATGCTCATCCTGCCCTGGGCACAGCCACTCCTGGCTGATCCCTAGCGGCAGAAGGGCCCATTTCTGCCTTTGGGAAGGATCTCCTTTTTCGCGGTTGGTGGTGGGCAGATCCTGGTAGGAAAGAATTGTCCCATTGGTCCCCCACTGCATCACAGCCACGTGCCCACCCACAGGAGAGTCTGGCCGGCAGTGCATCCTCCTCCCTGGCTCTGGAGCTGTGACCCTGCCTGCCCAGTTCCGGCCAGCCTCACGGGGAAGGAGCCCACATCCCGGTCAGCAGGAGAAGATGAATGCTTTTAATTCAGAGAGCTCTTCACGAGCCAATGAGAAGGTGTAAATCGTCCTTCCAGGCCCTGGAGCCCAGAGCTGGCACCCAGTCACAGCAGGAAGTGCAGCCAGCAGGGCCAAGATGCGGCTGGGCAGGTCATCTGGATGACAGGTGGACCTGGAGACATAGTCACCTGGCATGCAGGCATCCATAGCAAGCTCTTCCTCCTCTGGGGTGGGCACAGCCCTGCCTGATGCCTGTGTATCTGTGGTCTCCCTGTGTCGGGGTGGGGGGGGCCCTGTGTTTGTGGGGAGGGTGCCTTAGGTGAGTGTGTGAACTGGAATGTGTGTGGACATGGGTGTGAGCCCAGGTGTGAGCATGCCAAGGCAGGACCGTGAACGCATGTGCTGTGCGTGTGTGGGTGAGAGTGGGTGTGAACATGTGCTTGTGTGCATGTGTGTGTGGGTGAGGGGTGTGAACACGTGCTGTGTGCGTGCGTGTGTGGGTGAGGGCATGAACGCATGTGCTGTGTGCATGTGTGTGAGGGGGTGTGAACGCATGTGCTGTGTGCATGTGTGGGGCTGAGGGGGGTGTGAATGCATGTGCTGTGTGCGTGTGCGGGTGAGGGTGTGAATGCATTGCTGTATGCCTGCGTGTGTGGGTGAGAGGGGGCGTGAATGCATGTGCTGTGTGCATGTGTGTGGGTGAGGGGGTGTGAACGCATGTGTGTGGGTAAGGGGGCGTGAAGGCATGTGCTGTGTGCATGTTTGTGGATGGTGGTGTGAACACGTGCTGTGTGCATGCGTGTGTGGGTGAGGGGGTGTGAACGCATGTGCTGTGTCCATGTGTATGGGTGAGGGTGTGAATGCATGTGCTGTGTATGTGCGTGTGTGGGTGAGGAGGTGTGAACACGTGCTATGTGTGTGTGGGTGAGGGGTTGCATCACCATACAGGTGTAATGTGTGTTTTGGTTGTGTGTGCTCAGGAGTGAGCATGCACAGTGTATATGCGTGTGGATGCAGTGTGGGCTGTACGTATTACCTGGACATGACTGTGACATGGTGTGTATGTGCATGAGCTTGGGAGTGAGTGTTCACAGTGTGAGAGTGTGGAGTGAGTGTTCACAGTATGAGAGTGTGCACTGTGTATGTGTGGAGTGTGTGCGTGCGGGTGTTCACACCTGCGTGTGACATGGTACACACGAGCGTGCTCGGGTGAGTCCACACAGTGTGCGAGTGTGTACTGTGTGTATGCACATGGGGAATACAGGTATGTAGAGGCATGCACGGTCTGAGTGTGCGTGTTGCACACGGATGTGTGCAGTGAGTGTGCAGGCATGTACAGGTTGCTCCTGCGGTGGGAGTGTGCCTCGCAGGCTCGGTGACACACGCCCCTCTGGGTGCCTGGAGAGGCTCCCAGCTGCAGATCAGACCTGCCCACGAGCGTGCCTTGTCCGCGTGAGTGGGCGTGTGTGTGCCTGGCGTGTGACGGAGACAGTGCTTGGCGGGGGCGGGCTGCCTGGGATGTGCCTCCGCCTGTGCAAGCACACATGTGCACATGGCTTCTAGAGAAGAAGATGTTTAAAAATGGAGTTGTCAGCCCCGAGTTGACAGGCGCAATCAGCAAAGTGCAGCGTCGGCAGGAACGGGCCGCGGCTCCCTCAATTACCCGGGAGGAAATGGCCCCGCTTTGTGCTGAGAAGGCAGAGTGTGGCTGGAATAAAGCAAGTGGAGCAGACCCAAAAACTTCATTAATTAAAGAAACTCATTAATGAGGGACATTTAATCAGCTGAAGATTAGATCCACACTCGCCTCTTCCATGAGCCAGGCGCCTAACGGGAAAAGAAGCCATCCGCCTCCTCCCCCGACACCCTCCCCGCGTGCCCGGGCCAGGCCAGGCGCCAGCAGCTTGGCTGGGAGGAAAGGAGGCGCTCAGGCCCCGGGGGGCAGGCAGTGGAGGGCAAGCCCAAGTCCAGGCAGGTGGACTGGGGGGTGGGAAATGTGTGTAGGTGTGCAGGTGCACTGCTGCGTGCACGATCACTGCAGGCGCGTGTGTGTGGAGGGGTCGGGTAAGGCGTGTCTGGGTCAGTGATTCTCAACAGGGGGTGATTTTGCCCCGCCCCCTGCCTGAGGATATTTGATAATTTCACAATGGCCTGGGGGTTGGAGGGTGCTCCTGTCATCCAGGGGTGCTTGTGTGAGAATGCACTGGGAATGTGTGTGTGTGTACACGTGTACAGGGACTGCATGTCTTGTGAGTGTGCATGAACAGGGCTGTGTGTGTGTGTGTGTGTGCATGAAGAGGGTCTGTGTGAGCACATGTCCACGAGGCCTGCGTGTGTGCACAGAGGCTGCGTGTGTGAGTCCATGCATGTGAGCACGTGTGTGTGTCTCTGTGAGGATGCATCCAGGGGCTACCCCGCTGGGGTTCAGAACCCAAACAGGGGTGCCTCTGGTGAAGGGAAGATCTCGAGCCGGAGGAGGGCCTGGACCTCTGGGAGTCCTGGGGGATGCCAGGGTTGTGAAGGTCAGAGGCGTGTGGCTGAATGTGCAGAATCCCAGGACCATACAAGCTGTCCCCACGCCCCTGGGATGGAGCCTCCTTCTTAGAGCGAGTGTGAATCGTCCACTCTGGCTTAAGACTGTGAGAGGGGTGGCCCCTGCCAGGTGGTGACTATCTCCTAGGAAGTGGCTGTCACAGGCCAGGAGGAGCTTGCTACTGATTGATGGGAGCAGAGCAGGCTCAGATGAGAGCTGGCCTGGCACTGCCGCCTGCCCTGGGGCAGGCATTTGAGAGGACTGAGACATCAGGTCGGGGACCCTGGCTGAGAGCTCGGTTCCGGGTGAGGATCAGCAGGTTCCCGGTGCTTCCCAGCACCTTCCCCATCTTCTGGCAGTGCTACGCCAGGCTGAGCCAACCAACAGAGCTTGGGCGAGAGACCCAGGGGCCCCAGTGCCTGGAAAGTTGAGTGGCCAGCAGCACAGGATGGACCCATTTGGTGCAGGTTGTCCCACCCTGAGTGAGAGGTCTGGTAGCCTGGGGCCGGTGGGGGGTGCTTCTTCACAGCATGGGGTCCCCTCCGCTCCTGGGCCAGGCACGTCCTCCTTCCTCCCCACGCTCCTGCCACGGTCTGCACGAGCGTGCTTATCCTAAGCAGTTCCTGAGTGCATCTCCCAGTCCAGGCTCCACCACCTTACATAGGGGTGCAACTGGCCGCTCCCATGGCACTTCCTCTGGCTGGGAGGGGTCATAGGGAAGGGGTGGGCCTTGCCCAGGCGTGGGCTGGGCAGTGGATGAAGGCAGTGTGGGGTGCACGCGTACTGCGGGGGCTGTCAGGGCTGAGCCAGGGAGAGCGTGACGGACACAACAGATTCTCCAGGGCGAAGGTGCTGTCACGTCTCTGAGGTCGGCACGTGTGGAGAAGGGAAACAGAAACAGGCAGCCCACGGGATGCCAGGGAGCTCAGTCTTCACCCGTCCAGATGTACAGGAGGGAGACCCAGGCCTCCGCCTAGCTAGGAACAGAACAGTGCCAGAGGAAGTAGGTTCAGACTGCAGCCGGGGGACTCAGGTTTGATGCCAAGAACTGTGACCCCACCCAGCATAAGTGGCCGAGGAGCTGTGGAATCCACAAGCTCTCAGCTCTCAGCAGCTCATAGCGCAGCCCTGGCTGGCGTCTTAGGGAGGGACTCTGTGACCTCGTGTGTCCCCCAGCCTGAAGCATCTATCTCTGAGTCCTTGGCTGCTGTCTTAGCCACAGCAGAGGGGGCAGGGAGCCCTGGGATGCCAGGCCGCTTGTGGATTTTAGGGACGTGGGTGAGGACAGTTTCTGGTCCTTTGGGGAAAGGTTGGCAAGGAATGGTCCCACAGAGATCCTGTATGGGGGTGGGATGGGACATGCCACAGGGAATCCCTCCCCCGATGCCCCCACTGCGCTGGGGAGCACCTGGAAGGAAGGTCGGGCCAGTCATGGGCAGCCCAGGCCTTTGCTCAGATGCCCCCCTGTTGGAAGCCCTGCTTTTGCTCTTGGGAAGGGGGCATCCTGTAAGGGGCTCAGGCCTCCCAGGGAGCATCCCTGTGTCCAGCCCAGAGCAACCCCCTCCAAAGGTGGGGTATGGCTCAGGGCAGGTGTGTCCTGCTGGAGGAGAGGCTAATGGCTGGGGCAGCAAGGTTTTCCTTATGAGAGGACAGCACTTAAGGTGGCCTGGCTCCTTCCCCAGGGACCCCACCGCCACCCATCTCACCTCCCCAGGACCCCACCGCCTTCCCTTGCCTGTCCCATTTTACAGTTGAAACACAGCCCCAGGACGGCCTGCGGCGCTGACTCAGTCTCCCTGGCTGTGGCCGGGCAGTGGACTGGGCAGGTGCTCAGAGGTACAGACAGGTGAAGCAGAGAGCACCTGCTGCCCCCTGGGCCAGGGTTCTAGACCAGGTGGTGCCCCTCACCTCGTGACCGCGTATCCTCATCCTGGGTGTGCTGAGTGTCCTCAACCTCACCATCTGTGGGATCAGATGGGGTCCCACTCACTGTGATTCTCAGAGGACGGCACTCAGAGTCCCCCTCCCTCACCAAGTCTCTGCCCCCTCCTCAATCTCTGCTGTGACTGAGGGTGCCCAGGTGGCCTTTCCCATGGACTCAGAAGCCAGCCCCGCCGTGCTCTTCCTCCAGACCCCTCTTCCAGGCCCACCAGCTGTTTCAGCACCACTGGTGGGAATGCCAGTGTCCACCGGTGGCTGCTGTCCCTGATGTTCCGAGTGGCGTCCTTTTGGGCCCAGGCGCAGGGGGGAACTGCCTCTTCCCCCAGGGGGAACTGTGCCCCTGCATGGTGTCTCTGACACGGTCAGGGTGCCAACTGGCTTCAGGACCCCCTCCCTGGGACAGCTGTGGTTTGTGATTCTGAGGCTGCAGGTCAGGGTGCAGCCCAGGAATCTGCATTTCTAGCAGATGACAGGGTCCGCAGTCCAGACTTTGAGGAGCAGAGTCTCAAAGCTCACCATGCAACACAGACCTCACTGTGTCCCAGCTGCAAGGCTGCAGAGCTGTGTGCACCTGCTGTGCGCAGCCACATGTGACCGACCAGGCGTGAGCACCCAGGGGTTCTGTACCCACAGAGTCTCCCTCCCAGAGCCACTGCCCGGACCACCAACTCCCAAGCACCCCCATTAAAGAAGGGATCATCAGGGGACTGATCCCAAGTGATGAATACATCCAGTTTTCCAACCACATTCCACCAGGTGGGTGTTTGGCTGTGGGACGCATTATGTAATCTTCGTTGCCAGGAAATTTACCTTCCTAATTACATTTTGCAAATGTTCATTTGAAGCCGCCTTCTTGGAGCTCACAGTAACTAGGAGGTGGCTGCTGGAAGCCCCAGGGCACCGTGGGAGGGACAGGGGAACGTCCCAGACCTGAGGCTGCTGGGTGCAGAGTGCAAGGGTGGGGTCCTGCCTTCCCGCCGTCTCCACCCCCTCCTGCCCACCTCATGTCCTGGGCACTGTGCTTAATATCCTGTTCCATTTGCTAAATGAAGACCATGGGCCATTAATAATGCTAATATTCCTTAATGAATATGCAGAAAACAGAAACGAGGATGCCTCTGTAGCTGGCAGAGCAAGCGGCCCTGGAACCCTGGGGGAGAGAGGCCCAGGGGCTGCTCCGATATTCACAGCCAGCGCTTCTCCTCTGGTGGGTCACTTGACAGCTGACCTGTTGCGTTGTCCTCACAAGGCCCTGGGAGGGAGCTTTGGCCTGGATGATGTTCTTGCCATCCCACTGAGTAGGAACCTGGTGTCTCCTGGTCCACCCTCAGGTGTAGGCCAAATGCTGTGTGTACCACGGATGCTGCGTGTACTCACCTGCTTATATAAATTCACAGCAGCATCTCAGCAGGACTTGAGCAAGGATGGAGGAGGAACTGAGTACAGTGGAGATCACAGCTGGGTAGGGGTAGCCTGGAAGGCTTCCCAGAGGAGGTATTTGGACACCTCAAGGATGTAGAGGAGGATTAGAGGAGGGAAGACCTGAGTCACAGCAGAGAAGCTCTGCACAAAGCCTGTCCATGACACCACATGGGGTGGTGTTTTTCACCATGGTGTCCCAGAGATGGCTAGTAGGTGCTCAGCAAACCTAGTAGGTGCTCAGCAAACAGATCTCAGCTGAGTGAGTGGGAAGGTACAAGGTGAGATGGGAGCTGCATGAGAGCTGCAGTGAAGCTCTGCTAGGAGCTGGTAGTGACCATGGATGGACAAGGCTGGGCCCAGGCCTCCTCAGGGACCCGCTCCTCTGGTTTCCCCTGCAGCCTCCTCTGTCTTCTCCCACTGGCCCCTGCCTTGGTAACTTACCGGGATCTCAGAACCCTTGCTCCCCACCCTGCTCCTGTGGGCAGGGGCAGGAGGCCACCATGAGCTCCCCCTCCTCCCTGGAGGCAGAAGGTCTCCTTGGATGGGAAGGAGGCCTTTGGTCACCCCCACGCTGGGGTTTGAGGCCCACCCAGCCTTGGCAGCTCCCCCTACCTGTGTGGCTCAGGCCACTTTGCTCGTGTGTGAAATGGAGAGCAGCCTGGTTATAGGGGCCACGATGAGGGCAAGGGGATCATCCTCAGGACCTGGAGCCTCCCACGGGCCCGCACGCCCCGTCCAGGGTGGAGAAGAGGGTTCCTGCTCCCAGGGGAAGGGCTTTGCTTTTCCTAAGCGCCTCCCTTACCTCTCAGAGGAGTTGGGTGCTCTCTTCCCAATCCTTGCGGCTTTCCTCATGTCGCCTGCACCCCCTCCCTGTCCTCCAGTGTTGCTGCTCTCGAGGTTCTCCTCAGCCCCAGGGGAGGGCCAGTGAGCAGCAGCTGGAAGCCAGGCCGCTCAAGGGCGAGTCAGGCGGATGCCTGCGGCTTGAGGGCAGAGCAGGGGGAGAGAGGACCGCGACACCCTGCACCCAGGCCCTCTGTCCTCACCCCCGACTCTGCCCCCAGCAGCTCTGGCACTCCTGCCAATCTCACCCGTCAGACCAGCAATGTACGCTGTTTCCTGTTGGCTCCGAGGGGAGCCGCCCAGTGCCGGGTGCTGATCCCCCGTGGCGCCTGCACCTGCGTGAGTACACACACGTGCACACTCAGAGCTACAGCCTCAGACCACGGCAGGGACGTGCATGGAATAGGGCTGTAGGCCGCTGCTCATCCGGGGCAGTGATTGGCCCGCGTCGCTCAGCTCCTTTGCTTACCCTAAGTGCAGTGCTCTTCTACGTACGCCCTCTGCCCCCCACCCCACCCCACCCCACCCCAGTCTACCCGCTGCAGAGACCCCTCCTGGGCTCTGTGCCTGAGTCTGACCTCAGCCCCAGCTGGCCAGCAGCCTCAAGCCCCCTCACCCTGGGAGCTGGGAACTGTTGGTGTTTCCGTCCGTCTGATTGACCATCGAGGTGAACTCACCTCCCAGCACCCCGCTCTGCACCTGCCGACCAAGCCCCATCAGCCAGACACCTGGCTCCTTGCTGATTTTCCCCAGGCAAGACGCAGAG
This sequence comes from Homo sapiens, assembly GCF_000001405.40. Lineage (NCBI taxonomy): Eukaryota > Metazoa > Chordata > Mammalia > Primates > Hominidae > Homo > Homo sapiens. Next base: position 79,132,025 of record NC_000017.11, on the reverse strand, counting down.
TAGGTGGAGGTGAAGCTGGTGGGAGAAGAGGATTTATGGAGCCACATTATTTATGATTTGTATGCAGTGAGCTTGGAGAGAATTACCGCTTAATCGTGTGAAAATCTGTCCCCTCGTCTGGCGCTTTTCAGCTGAGATCTGTGCTGACCTGAGCAGGGAGGGACTGAGTCTGGTCTGGGGCTGGGGTTGGGCTCTGGCCAGGTGGCCGGGCAGGATTCGGGGCCATCTCTCAGCCATCAGAGCAGGGAGGCCCCTGGCATCACTGGGCCAGTGGTTTCTACCAGGTCTTGTGCCTTGAACCCCTCAATATCTGACCCCTTCTTCCAATAATGGTCTTAAATGCATAAAATAAAACAGATTATTATGAAGGAAACCAATTGTATTGAGATACAGTTACCAAAAGAAAATACCCGTGCATGAAAACATGATCCGTGGCTTCCTAACGTGTGAGAGACCAGGCCCAGGTTTGGAGTTGGAGTGAGCGTGAAGGTCAGCAGATAGCGGAGTGGCGACGCTTAACAGGAAGGCCTGAGGCTCCTGCGGGTGGTGGTGGGTGCTGCGTCAGGTGGGCTCACGCCGTGGGGTTTGCAGCCGCGTCTGTGGGTGGAGGTGCTACCAACGTTCAGCTGGAAGACGGTGAAGGTAGACGAGGGGCTTGTTTTCCTGTCCAGAAGCACAGACGCTCTAGCGCTGTTCCCAGCGTGCACAGAGCACAGCACACGGAGGGCACATGGAATACACACGGAGGGCACATGGAGACTGAGCGGAGCACACATGGGCACAGAGCACACAGTACACGCAGGGCACACACAGTGCACAGAACACACGGAGCACACAGCATACAGCACACGCAGCACATGGCTCACACACGGTACACACAAGCACACGGGTCACACAGCACACACGGGGCGCACATGTGCACACACGGGGCACACAGCACACACGGGACACGCAGCACATGGCTCACGGTACACACAAGTACATGGGGGCACAGCACACATGGGGCACACATGCTCACACACGGGGCACACAGTACACATGGGGCACACGCAGGGCACGCAGAGCACGCTGCCTTGCAGGTGCGGGGCTGATTCCCGCGCACCGTGTCCTAGCACCACGGCGGCTCTGGATCTTCACTGATGAGGAATTTGTGCTTCGGCTTTGAGGCTTGGGCCAGGTCCCGCCTCCAGGCAGGGAGGCCAGAGCTTAGAGCATGGCAGGCCCCATCCCGCACCAAGCCCGGGCTGAAGGACAGGGCACTCCACTCGTTCCAGGGACTGTGTCAGAAGACTGCTCGGTATCGGGCTCTGTGAGACCCAGGCTTGTCCCCACCGGGGCCTGGAGAGCAGGCTGCATGCCGAGGCCTGGAGTTTGCAGGGAGGTCTGCCCCATGGCCCACTCAGCGCCTCCCTGCTGGACCGCCTGCCCTCACGCCACTGTGGGAGAGCCCTGAGGCCCTAGGGGGAAATGAGAAGCTGTGGACCTGAGCAAAGGAGAGAAAGAGGGTGGGGACATCCACGCTCCTGGCAGAGGGCGGTGGCAGGGACCACAGCGGCCCAGCCTGTGCCCGCCCTCCACTGCCAACAGCAGGCGGCAGAGCATGCGACTTGGTGGCGGGTTGTTGGCTTGCGAAGTGACTGTGGGCCTCGGAGCCCTGCTCACCCACAGTGTGGCTCTGCCTGGATGATCCCTGAAGCCCCTCTAGGTCTGAGGGGCGGGGGCAGGCTCTTGATCTGCCCTGGGCCTTCCAGGAAGTCTTCGTGGAGAAGTCGGGGGGGAAGGGGACCTGAGAGCCGGTGGCTGTGGAACATGGAGACCTAATGGTCCCTGAATGAAGTAATATGCAGTGTGGCGGGGCGTCCGACAGCCCTAATTAATAAAAGATATTAAACCTGCTGTCAGGGGACAGAATGGGTTGGATGGGGTGGGAGCAAGTCACTCAGGTGCATTCCTGCTCCAGGCCTGGGCACCTCCTGAGCCTTTCCCCAGCAAGCAGCGCTGCCCAGCCTCCTCCCGGTCCCCGCAGGGCAGCCCCTGCCCTCCTCCTGCAGAGCTCCCATTTGCTCACCAGCCCCCATTCCTGGGCCTCCCTAGACCTCTTGCTGGGGCAAGGAGAGTGAATTGGAGCCCGACTGGGGCAGGTCCGCCCATTCCTCCCCTCCCTGGCATGGGCTGGGGTGTCATATAAGCTCTGGACTGTAAGTATCTCTTCCCAGCTGCACCTTCAGAGATTTCAGGCTGGTAGTTTAGAACCAGCAATGGTGGGAGTATTTACACCAGGGAAATTGGCAAACGCCACAAGCAGTCTTTTCCCCACGGAGCCAGTTGTTAATGTTACCAGCACACCACTACCTCTCCCCATTGGGGCAGGGGAGGTCCTGAGTCAGCCCCTACAGAGGCTATGGTGTCCTCTGCACCTTGAAGGACAGTGTCAAGCACAGAGGTGGGTGCATATCAGGGTCTCAGGAAACCCTGGTTGGTCACTAGGTTAGAATGAACTCAGGAAGCCTGGACAACTGGCTCAGCAGGAGCCTGGGGGGCTTGGGGGAAGGAGAGAGCGTTGTCCTGCTGCCCACCCCTCCTTCCTCCCCTGGGTCTCTAGGGCACACCCTCTTACTCCGGATTGGAAAGCAGTCCATACCTGTCAGGTAGCAGCAGGTGGTTCCAGGATCAAACAGGCCTGGGTTCAGATCCCAGGTCTGCTACATCCTGGATGTGTGTGCTTGGGCAAGTAACTTCCCCACTCTGAGTTTCTTTCCTTGCATCAAGAATGCCAGTTTAGCGCATTGAAGATTAAATGAAATAATGTACTTTCAGTGCTTCACCCAGTGCTGGGCATTCGTAAGCCTTCAGCCACCGTCCGTCACTACTCTAATTATCATCATCAGCAGCAGCAGCATCACTCAGCATTTACTGAGCACCTGCCATGTGCCTGAACCGGGTCAGCCCCTGGGGACTCAGTGATGGAAGCACAAGCACTTGTGCTCAGGGTCTCGGGGTCTGGGGTGCTACCCTCCACTGCTGAGGTTCTGGAAAGTTCAGGTGGGCTCAGGTGGCAAAGCACCACCAGAGGTTTCTTCACTGTGATCATAGCCTCACTCTGGCCTGAGGCATTTGCAATAGCACCTCTGCTGAAACAGGGCCATGCACCAAGGTCTCTGGCTTTAAAGTACCTGCAGGGACCCCTCTGTACATCCTGCACCTTGGGGATGACTCCCGAAGAGCTCCTGATAAGGAGGCATGAGATTGCCCTGGAGTGAGAGGTCTCCTGAGCTGCCCGTCCTGGCACAGCAGGAGTCCCCACAGGAGCAGGGGCAGGCAGCCCCGGCTCCCAGGCTTCTCACCTTGCTGGCTACGACCTGGCTTTTGGGGGTGTTCCATGCTGGTCAGGGGCCTCTGCTCTCATCCGGCAGGGATGCTCACTCTCCCAGTCCAGCCGGAACCACAGACCTTGGAGTTAGGAGCCTGTGAGCTGTAGAGGTGGCCTGTTTCTGGGCGGAGGAAGCAGCTGAGTCTGAAGGCAGGAACCTGGTGCGGGAGAGAGAGCTGTGGCTGCACGGGCCCTCCTGTCCCCCTGCCACCTGTGACCTCCATCCTGGGAAAGCCCTGGCGGATCCTGGGTCCACAAAGCACCTGGGGAAAACCTGCTTCTGGGACCTCAGTGGGTCGTAGAAAACGCTCACGATGGTTTATTTGTGCTTCTGGGAAGCAAAGTCCCCCCCTCATCCACACATGGGGGATCCTCTCTAGGAGTCACTGAAGCAAATGCTCAATGCCAGGAGGACGTGCCCAGCCTTCAGTTGGCCACTCAGGAAACTGGAGGTTTCGACCAAGCCAAACATAATAGAGGCCAAGTGGGGGACCCCTGAGCATGGAATCATGCATCTCCAATTTAGCCAATGCTGGGGAGGGCTTCCGCCAGGAGTCTGCTCCCTGAGGGTAGGACTCTACCCGCTGCTGTGCCCAGACATCTAGAACCTGGCGCTGAGCGGTCGCATGGTGTGTATTTTGGGGGCAGATTCACGCACACCATTGCTCACTTTCCTGCTGGTGCAGACATGCAGAACAGCAGGGCTCCCTGCCCGCACCAGCAGCGTGACGGGGGCAGCGTGACAGGGGCAAGTCAGCCTCTCCGGTGCCCATTTTCTCCTTGACAAAGTGGACAGAATGTTCTCTGAGACGCCTTTCATCTTGAACCTCCTGGGATCGGGGGTCACAGGTCTCTTATGAGTGGGGCCAGCTCCACCCTCCTCGGAGATATCCAGATAACTCGTGCTGTTCCAGCCCAGTGCAGCTTTAATCATGGCAGGACATCTTTCCTGGAACCAGACCCGACCCCAGCACACGATGTGACATCAGCAATAGGAACCGGCCTCTGATGCGGGGGCTCAAGGGCGCCGGTCGGGGGCACCTGGGCCTTCCCTTGACATCATCATGTTTTCCAGCTTAATCTTCATCCGTTTTAGATAATCTTTTATTTTCCCTAAAACTTCTTTGACCTGTAATATGCACATTAAAAAAAGAAAAGAAAATAGGAGCATCACCTGCAAGAAAATAGAAGCAAATGCATTGTCTAGAAATGCCTGTTCTTCTGTTCCTCCGTTCTTCCCACCTCCTCTCCTCCCTCACCGCTCTGGACACCTGCTTCTCCCTCAGGTCTCCCTCTCATCGTTCCTGTTGATGCGTTATCTCTGGGTTGTCCTCTGGCTCGTGGAAACTACCCACTCTGCTCTTGAACTGGCCACCTGGGCAGGCACAGCTGGGGAGCCCCCCTTTCTGCACTCAGGTATCAAGAAGTGAAGCTGCTCCCAGCCCCTCAGGAAGGAAGGGTGCACCCGGACCTGCATGATGGTGACGTCGGGTGATAATTTGGAAGGCTGGCCCGGATTCAGATCCAACCAGAGCCATTTGCCTGTGACTCTTGACCTGTAAGTTGGGAGTGAATGTGGCGTTGGAGTCGTGCTGAGGAGCAGCCAGGATGGGCAAAGCTGGTAGCAGTTGGCCACTCAGGAAACTGGAGGCTTCACCCAAGCCAAACATACTAGAGAGGTGGATTCTGTGCGTTCTTGGAGGACCAGCCTGCGAAGAGGAGGCTGTGGGATGCCTGCAAAGCCCGGTGCCGGGTGGAAGTTTCCAGAAGGCAGATTTCAGCTCAGTGAGTGGCAGAGCTGTTCTGAGGTGGACTGAAGGAGCCTCCTCGTTAGTAAAGCACCGGTCAGGAGGCTTGTTTGAGCAGAGGTCCGGGGTGCCGGTCAGGGAGGGAACAGAGGAGACTTTGTCTGGCGGGCTGGGCTGGGTGTCTCCTGCAGAAACTACCTGTTCTAAGATTCTAGAACTGAAGGAGTGTTCAGGGTGCTCAATTGCAGCCAGAGACGAGGATGTAGACTCCCTGCCATGCAGAGAGATGGGGCCTCGTTTGCACGCCCTTGGGTGTATAGACAGGGAGGAGGGCAGGACCACCCCTGCTTCCAGGCAGGGGAGGTCAGAGTAATGAGGTCACCTGATCCAGCCATCATCAGGGACCCCAGGGACTGGAACCCACACCCCCTACCTGCCAGAGGTCAGCCCCCGGGTCACCAGCCTCCCCTTCCAACACCAGATTCCTCCAGGATCTCGGGAGGGCTGTGGGCCGGGCAGGGGTGCTCACATCGGGTACCTGCCTGTGAATCGCCGCCTGCCACATGAGGGCACCACACGCTCTTGGTGAGATGGCTCTGGCCCCCACCCCAGACTCTGGAAGTGGACATCCGTCTGTCCTGTTCTGGTCCCCATCACAGGGATATGTGGGGCTGACAGCCTCAAGCCCCCTCCTCACACCAGACTTTCACACGTCTGTGTTCCAACCGCATTCAAACTGGGAATGTGGCAGACGCGTCCAGGAAGTCTGAGGTGTCCCAGATCGTGGGGAGGGGGTGAGGGGCTTTCCTGCTCACGGAACACATAGCTGCTGGCCTCGGTGTCCCCTCTGTGAAACTCAGCTTGTGACATCCACCTCTGCAGGTCAGCAGGAGAATTAAATGTGCAGGGGGTGGTAGTGGCTATGAGGGTGAGGGCAGCACAGATCTGCAGGTGGGTGGACTCACCTCTTGGGCAGGCAGGTGACCTGCATGGGTGGCACAGGCTGTGACACACCTCACAGCTCGGCGGATGGGGCCTGGCGTTCCCCCTCCCTCCCTTCCCCATTTCTGCCTGGAATGGGCTTTGCCCAGAGGTGCTGGAGAAATGGCCCGGTGCCCAGCCTCGCCACCAGCCTCACTCCCACTGCAGCCTGCCCCGCCGGCCCAGGGCCACGCGGCGCCCTTCCCGCAGGCGGGAGCCGTCTGAAGGCAATTAGCTTCATTGTCCTGGAGGGCCTGAGAGGAGAGGGAGCCAGGAAGGGCTGTGCCGAGGGAAGGCGGCCAGGCCGTGCGGGAGGGGCTCCATCCACGGCCAGACCATTGGCCAGCCTGTCTCCTTGCCGCCTGCTCCCTGAGCTCCCTGCCGGCCCGTTGTCCCACACGCAGGCTGGGGGACCTTACCAGGCAGGACCGGAGAGCACATTGGCCAAGGGATAGGCCGGGTAGAGAACACACTGGGCCAGCGACGTGGGCAGACACCTCTGGGGGTCCTCAGCTCTAGGTCTGGAAGATGGAGGGTGCTTCTGCCCGGCCCTGCCTCCAGGCAGATGAGTCATTGTCCCCATCCCACAAACTAAGTTGCTGAGGCCCAAAGTGGTGGTGGGGCTAGTGCACAGGGTCCTGGGACCAAGGACATGTACACCCAGAGCACAGCCCAGGCGAGGCCCTGTGGCTCAGACAGCCAGCCACAGCCCCAACCTGCTCAGGGCCCCACCTGCCTGTCCTGGGCTAGGGAAGCCCTCGCCCCACACCGTCATGTCATCAGGATCCAACAGGCAGCAGGTGGCTCGCTCATTCCCGGATAATTGGAGACGAGTTTATTTTCAAGGAGGCGTCTAGAGGTCAGGGTTGGAGGGACCACCAGGGACAGCACAGGACCCCAGAACTGGCGACGACAGAGCCATCACCACGCCAGGCCCGGAGGAGCGCGTGGAGGAAGCAATGACTAGAGCCAGGGAGTGGGGAGAGTCGTGGACTGGGCTCCCCCCGAGACAAGGTCAGTCCACCATGGTCCAGGACAGAGCCAGCCGACGACAGCCTCCCAGTGGGCAACCAGGGGACCAAATACACCAGACCCACACTCCTCTCCCACCCCCCACTGTCACCAGGAAGCCACAGGGCTACAGGTCCAGGCCAGGCTGCCAGGTTCATGGAGCAGAGGCGGGGTAAGGGGTGGAGAGCGGGCCTGGCAGGCCAGCCACTCCCAGAGCCCTGGCCCTGCCTACAAGGCCAGCCCTGGCCACCCACCCCCGCAACACCTTCCCTCTGCCCCCACACCCGAGCTGGTGCCATCCCTCTCTGTCATGGCCCCTGGTTCACTTTTGCCAGACACGTGGACATTAGCCTTTATGGAGCTCACCACCTTCCAGCCCTTGCTGCTGCTGGCTGGGAATGGTCAGTTCCCTGTGGTACCAGAAATCCTCTAGTGTATAAGGCCCCATCTCGTTCACCTCTAAATACAGGCCCAGAGGAGGGGCTCCATAACTGTTGCTTGAATTGCATTTGATTTTAAAATGTCGAGTGCAGTCTTTGCAGACAGCCTCGTTCAGTGTCATTTATCTGCCACACGTTCAGGCCTCCGGGGCAGCCATGGTGGTCACCTTGCTGTGTGATTGAAGGGAGCTGGGCAGTGGCGTGCCGGTAAATGTCTAACAACCCTCTCTTCTGTGACAAATCCCAATCCAGCCCTTATGTGTGATGTGCAGCCTTTGCCGATTCCTGTGGTGTAAATGCTCCCACCAGGGCTGATTTCAGACTCCCAGTGTGGTCACTAGACCTGGAGTTGTAAAGAGCATGCCCAGTGGCACTCACATGCTGGGATGAGCCAGCCGCCACCTCCATGCCAACTCATCTTGCGCTTCCCTGCCTGCTGTGTTGAAGAGGGTGTGTGCAGTAGAGTGTGTGGGAGGGGGCAGTCTATGTGAGAACCTTGGCTCTGTGACCCTGGGCAGGCACCTTGGCCCCTCTGTAAAAATGGCGTTCGTGGTACCGACCACATGGAGGAATGGTAAGTAAAGATGAGATGATGGCCGCGAGGCAGTGGACACAGAGCAGGCCTGCAGCACAGCCGGGTTTCCTGCACGTCCCCACCTGCATCAATAGCCCCTGAAGGCGGGGGCTGGCCAAACTTTACTGCCTGCCGCCTGCCTGCCAGGTGCGATAGGAATGGCTGCCCAAGCCTCATCTGCAGAGCAAGGCTGACATCTGAGCCTGCCTTACAGGCTTGTGGGGATTCGATGAGATGGCACGTGTGGGGTACACTAGAGCTTGGTCAGCGAGCACGCCCACCGAGACGTCTTTCTTCATCTGGGCATTGATCCATCCATTAGGGCCGTTGTTAGCGTGTCCCCTCTGTGTGTGACACACTGCTCTGGATGCCGGAGATTCAGCAGCAGGAGGGACAAAGTCCTTGTTCTCCTGACTAGTTCTGGGGGCAGAGGCAGACGGTGATCATGGACACCTGGAGGCACTCAGAGGGGGAAGGGCAGAACTGAGCTGGGGGTAGAGGGGGTGGGGAGTGCCAGCAGGGTTTTCGTTTTTCTTACTTTTAATTGTTGTGGGTACATAGTAGGTGTATATATTTATGTGATACATGAGATGTTTTGATACAGGCATGCAGTGTGTGATAATCACATCAGGGAAGATGGGGTGTCCACCTCCTCAAGCATTTATCCTTTCTGTTACACACAATACAAATATGCTCTTTCAGTGATTTTTAAGTGTACAATTAAGTTATTATTGACTATAGTCACCCTGTTATACCATCAAATAGTAGGTCTTATTCATTCTTTCTGCTCTTTTGTACCCATTAACCATCCCCACCTTCCCCCAGCCCACACCCCCCTCGTCTTTCCAGCCTCTGGTCATCATCCTTCTGCTCTCTGTGTCCGTGAGTTCAGTTGTTTTGATTTTTAGATCCCACAAATAAGTGAGAACATGCGATGTTTGTCTTTCTGTGCCTGGCTTATTTCACTTAACAAAATGATGTCTAGTTCCATCCATGTTGTTGAAAATGACAGGCCCTCATTTTTTTTTTATGGCTCAATAGTACTCCATTGTGTATCTGTACCACATTTTCTTTACCCATTCATCTGTTGATGGACACTTAGGTTGCTTCCAAATCTTAGCTATTGTAAACAGTGCTGCAATAAACAGCAATGCAGATATCTCCTCCATATACTGATTTCCTTTCTTTTGGGAACATACTCAGAGGTGGGATTGCTGGATCCTACGGCAGCTGTTTTCAGTTTTTTGAGAAACCTCCAAACTGTTCTCCGTAGTGGTTGTTCTAATTTATATTCCCGCCAGCAGTGTATGAGGGTTCCCTTTTCTCCACATCCTCGCCAGTATTTGTTATTGCCTGTCTTTCGGATTTAAGCCATTTTAACTGGGGTGAGATGATATCTCAGTGTAGTTTTGATTTGCATTTCTCTGATGATCAATGATGGTGAGCACCTTTTTATACACCTGTGTGCCAAATTCCTTAGGTGGCAGCTAGACGTTCAAGGAACAGCGGAGACATTTGTGGCTGGAGTAGACAAGCAAGAGGAGAGAAGCAGGAGCAGGGGTCGTGCAGGACCCTGGTGGGGGAGGGGCCGTCTCAGGACTTTGGGTTCTACTGTGCAGAGGACAGAGTGTAGGAGCCAGGGAGGAAGTAGGAGGACCAGACAGGAGATGATGGCGGCCCGACCAAGGTGGGAGCAGTGGGCGGTTCAGGGCGGCTGGAGGCGGAGCCAGTGGGGTTTGCTACTGGACTGTTTGTGGGGTTTGCTACTGGACTGTTTGTGGTGTGTGGGCCAAAAGAGCCAAGTCAAGGGTGACCCCCAGATTAGGACTATGTGCTGGACTGGGGGGCAGGTGTTTCCTGAGATGGGGAAGACCTCAGAGATGGGTTTGATGGGGGCAATGCGGAGGAGGTCAGAGGTCCCTTTGGGGGCACGTCAAACCCCCAAAGTGTATCAGATGTCCAAGTGGAGACTGCAAGGGGCAGCTGGGATTCTGGGGAGAAGTCCAGGATGGAGATAAAACTTTGGGATTGTCAACATACAGATGTTTTTTTTTAATTTGGAGACTAAATCAAAACCTTCAGAAAGTCAGCATAGACAGGGAAGAAAGAGGTCCGAGTTCTGAGCTTTGGGGCCCATCAGTATCCAGATGTTGGAGAGATAGACAGGAATCAGCAATGCAGATGAAGCTTCCAGTAAAATAGAACCAACTGAGAGTGGGGCAGTGCAGCCAAGAGAAGTGTCTCCACATAGAGGAGCCACCAACTATGGCTAATGCTGCTGAGGGCCCAGACCAGACAAGGACTGGACACATCAGTCACATTGCAATGGTCACATTGCATTTTCAGTATGGTGGATGTAAAAACCTTGACAAAGGTGGCTTCAGGGAATGGTGCCTCGGAACACTGGCTTGGAGTGGGACCAAGAGAGAATGGGAGTGAGGGAATTGGGGCCACAGGTATAGACAACTCATTTGGGAAGTTTTGCTCTAAGGGAGGTGGTGAATTGAGTTTGTAGGATGAAGGAGCCATGGTGTCAAGGAGGGTTTTCTTTCCCTGTCACGGGAGAGACTGCAGCCTGTCAGGGTGCTGGCAGGAGGAAAACATTGATGGCTGTGGAGTGCAAGGGGCGAATTGCCAGAGATGTGAGCATATGATGGTGAGAAGGGCTGGTTTCTAGTGTACAGGTGACGTGGTTGGTCATGTCTGGGAGCACGATGCTCATCCCTGGGGACAGAAGGGAGGGCCTGGTGTAGGTGACGAGGCAGGGAGGTGGGCAGGTGAATGTGGATGTTGTCTCCTGTTTCCTAGAAAACAGGAAGCAAGGTCTCACCAAGAGTGAGGATAAAGGAGAATATTTGGAAGGTTGAGGAGGAAGGGTGAAATCAACATTCAGGTCGTGAGAGCTGAATGGCAGTGCCTGGCCCATGGCAGGGGGTGGTCATGGATTCTGAATGAATCATTCAGGGTGATTTTGTGTTTATCTGCCTCAGTGTGGGCTGTGGAGTAGAGCAGGAAGAGCTGGGTCTTACCAGTTTTGCCAGGCACAAGTGATGATAGAAGAGGGGGGCAAGTTTGTAGAGGAAGGGAGGATAACAACTTATCCATGGTCTTTAAACTCATCCGTCTATCCATCCACCCATCTATCCATTTATCCATCTGTCCATCCATCCACCCACCCACCCTTCCATCCACCCACCCACCCACCCATCTATCCATCCAACCATCCACCCATCCATTCATCCGTGCATCCACACACCCACCAATTTTTCATCCACCCTTCTTTCCATCCATTCATCCATCTTTCCATCCACTCATTTATCCACCCTCCCATCCATCTACCCATCCATTCATCCATGCACTCATCCATCCACCCACCCATCCATCTGCCCTCTCATTCATTCAGCCATCCACCCATTTATCCACCCTTCCATCCATCCATTCACTCATCCATCTACCCACCTTCTGATCCATCCACTCATCTACCCACCCTTTAATCCATCCATCCACCCATCTATCCAACCATCCATTTATCCTTCCATCCACCCACCTGCCCACCCATGTACCCCTCCCATCCATCCATCCATGCATACATACGTACATACGTACGTACATCCACCCGTTCTTGTACGCTGAGACTCTTCTGAGTAGAACAGGGTGCTGTGCTGAGTGCAGGGATATGGGGACAAAGGGTGAGTGAAGTGGTCCCCATTCTCTGAGAATGTACAGTCCCCTGGGGAACCAGATCCTTCCACAAGCTGGTCCAACATGAGGTCATCTGAGATAAGCCCCATAGCCCAGCAGGAACTCCTCCGCTCACACCACCCAACCCCAGGCCCTCATTGACTCTGACCCTAGCAGACCTGGGAAGAAGAGAAGCAATGGGACAGATACTGGCTGCACAGCCTTCTGTGTGCTGGGCATTCACGTACCCTATCAGGATGGGCCTGATACACTTTGCTTTTCTGGTCTGGGGCTCTCCACCAGGGCTGCATGTCAGTCTCCTGGGAAACATTGGTTGTAAGTGGCCTCTGTTGTTCAGGAGTGCGGCCCAGGTGTGGACACTTCTCTAGGTGACTGGGATGTGTAGCCAGCTCTGAGAGCCGCTTGCAGGACCACAGCCACACCAGCACAGCTGTGGAGGACACACAGGGCAGGGATATTGCTTGTCACCCTAAGACCCCCTGAGTCACGCTGGCTGGCTTTCATTCTGCATTTCCTCTGTCCAGGCTCTATTGTGACCATTTGCGGATGGAGAAACCTGTGCAGAGAGGACAGACAGTCACCAGGACCACCTGGTGGCTAAGAGGGGACATTGGAGCCCATCCCCGTGCATTGCAGGGTCTAGACCCCGATGCTTGGCTGTGAAACCTCCTCTCCCTTGCAAACCACCCTGGGCAGGGCTACAATTCCATGTGGAGGTGCATATGGTGGGTTTGGGATCCTGGCTGCCAGTGCTGCTCTCTGGGGTCCTCCCATACTAGTTTGGCAAATCACTTTGTCTCTACACCTCGGTTTTATTAGCTGGGAAAGGGGGAAGTGTCCACTCAATGAGTGAGCGTCTGTAAAAGCAGGGAGCACTGTGGGCTCAAATATGCTGTTTTATTCTAGTGTCACAAATGTCCCTAAAATGTCCCCATCTGCTAGGGACCTCTTGCCCACCACAGATGCCCTCAGATCTGGCACCTACTGCCGGAGCTCCCCCCTTTATGTTGGCGGGTTCGCCTGTCATTTGTTAGCTCAGGGCTCTGGGCTTCAGCCCTGCAGAACCTCAAGTGAGAGTGATTGGCAGCTGTCATTCAGCCCCAAGTTGAATGACAGGGATTAGAGCCCTGCAGAGGGTTAGAGGTAGGGTGAGAAGGAAGCAGATGGGACAGGAGCTGCGCTTTCTTTTTTATTTTATTTTCTTTATTTTTTTTTTTTTTTTTTGAGACAGGGGTTTCCTCTGTCACCCTGGCTGGACCACAGTGGTGTGATCTTGGTTCACTGCAGCCTCAACCTCCAGGCTCAAGTGATGATCCTGCCTCAGCCTCCCACATTACTGGGACTAGAGGCATGTGCCACCACACCTGGCTATTTTTTTTTTTTTTATTTTTTGTAGAGAGGGTTTCACTGTGTTGTCCAGGATGGTCTCGAACTCCTGGGCTCAAGCAATCCTCCCACCTCAGCCTCCCAAAGTGCTGGGATTACAGGAATAAGCCACTGCACCCAACCAGGAGCCCACTCTTTCTCAGGCCTTGGAGGAGGTGGAGGAGGGGGTTGCTGGGAAGACAGTGCAAGGCGGTGAAGGCTCTAATCAAATATTTATCAGCAAATTCATCTCCCCTGTGTCTGCAGGGCCCTCACGCTGTGCCTTCCACACTTTCTCTTGCTCCTGTTTTCCTGATTTTGCCTCTGGCCATCCTGGGTTCTAGATGCTCTCCACCCCTCCTGGGTGCCCTGACTCTCCTTCCCCCTCCTCCTCCCTCATGGATCCACCCCTTCCCACTGGACTCCGTCACCAACACGTTTGCTAACAACGGACGATGGGGCCTCACCAGCTACCTTGGGGCAATGAGCCTGGAACCTCCCACGAGTGTGTACGCATGCACACGTGTGTGCTTCCCTCCCGTGGCTGAGGAGCTTGAATGTCGCCCCAGTTTCAGAGTCTGCAGAGAGAGGGAAGGAGCCAGCTGGCTTTGTGGAGGGGTGGGGATGGGAGGAGGACAGCACTTCTGCTCCTTAGGTTCCCAGTCAGCGAGTCTGTCGCAGGGTGGCGAGCACCGAGACGGCCCCCGCTGCAGAGCCCAGGGCCGGCCGGCACTGGGGGCTTCAGGGAGCAGGGCACGGCTGGGTTGCCCAGGCTCCACCCTTCCAGCTATGCGCACCCACCCTAGGTTGCTGGGCCCCCAGGCAGAGGGTTTGGGGCCATAAACAGAAGGAGGGGGTGGCCGGGTCTGAAGCAGAACACCCAGCCTTGGACCGTCCCTTGGGGCCACCTCCCTGGTGCAGCCAGGTCCCTTGCAGCCCTCAGTGCTGTAACAATGGTTTGACATCGGGTCATTGTTCTCTGAAGCTTTCCTTTCCCGCTGGACTGCAGGCCCCACCAGCAGGGAGCAGGGGCTGTCGGGGTTGCTGTCAACACAGCCCCTGCCCTGGCATGGGCCTGGCACACCCCAGGTACCCCATCAACAGTTGTTGGGTGGATTTGTAGGAACTGAATGAAGGATGCAGAGGACAGGCTAGGGGTGGGGGAGGCAGGACAGAGGTGGACATGCCAGATCCACCTGTGCAGGGAGCATGGGCACATGAGGGGCTCCTCCTTAGCCAGGGGAGGCACTGCCCAGAGGCCGAGAACACAGGAGCCCGGCAGAGGGGGATGTGTGGGTGTGGAGGGAAGCGGGAGAAAGACCGCCCTGCGGGGGCAGCCCCCAGCCTCTGCCTGCACCTAGTAGGTGCTCACTGAACTAACGTGTGTGGTGTGAACAAAGCGTGCGTGGCCCCGGGTGATGGGAGCGTGGGGTGGAGGCGCAGGTGAGGGAGGTGAGCAGCCACTTCCCTGCTGGGCGCTCCTCCTCCCCACCGCAAAGCCCACCTTCAGCAAGGACGCGGACTCCTGCCTGTCCCTGCCAGGGTGGCTGAGCGTCAGACCCATCCACATCTGAGCAGGGGTCCTAACACACTGGGCTGCTCCAGGCAGAGGCGGCATCTGTCCTTCCAGGCAGTGGGGCCTCCTCACCGCAGACTCCTGGGGGGGCGAGTGCCTCGCCTGCTCAGGGGGTCCTGGGCCCCAGGCTGTGTCTGCAGTGGAGGACAGCGAGTGGAGGAGGCCGGAGCCCCTTTCCCTCTGCCGCCTCCGCCTGCACCTTGCTCTCTGGCACTGTGAAAGACCCCAGCCCTCCTCTTGGGATCATAAGGGCTCCCCACCAGGGCTGCTTCTCAGGCCCTAGGTCAGTGGTTCTCAGTGCACGCAGATTGCTGGAGGAGGCCTGGGGTGCGCCCTGGAACCCGCATTGCCCACCAAAAAGCTCCCAGGTGCTGCTGATGCTGTGGGCCCAGGCCACTTTGACAACCACTGCCCTGTATTGCTGCTGGGGTCCTGCCCAAGGGCCTGGGCTTCTAAGAGCCTCTGAGAGTGGCTGCAGGAGCAGTATTCCCCGCTTGGGGCAGCAGGCCTTTGAGGGGGCACAGACAGATCTTTGAGAGTTCCTCAGAGATCCTTGACACAGAGGCTGGAACCCTCCCTGCCCCCCGACACACCTCACTGTCATGGCCATCACTGGCAGGGGAGGCAGGAGGCCCTGAGTTCAGCTTCTGCACAGTCACTTCCAGGGATCCAGGTGCGGGCTGGGCAGCGCCGCCCTCTCACTTCTGCTTTCCAATGACAAAACTGAGGCTTAAAATTATTTGAAGATGAAGTTTCGCTCTCATCACCCAGGCTGGAGCGCAATAGTGCGATTTTGGCTCGCTGCAACCCCTGCCTCCCAGGTTGAAGTGATTCTCCTGCCTCAGCCTCCCGAGTAGCTGGGATTATAGGCACGTGCCACCACATCCCGCTAATTTTTGTATTTTTAGTAGAGATGGGGTTTCACCATGTTGGCCAGGCTGGTCTTGAACTCCTGACCTCAGGTGATCCACCTGTCAAGGCTTAAAATTCTTGAGGTGGGAAGGAGATGGGTTGGCTCTAAAAGGGGAAGAGCAGTAGTCCTCATGCTGCTGGAACATTCTGTGTGTTGTGTGAATCCATGTCAGTATCCTGCTGGTGGTGGTTTTATGGATGTTACCGTGAGGACCCTGGTTACAAGGTGTACAGATCACTGTGTTACTTCTTACAGCTGCACGAGCCTACAGTTACCTTAAAATGGTTAATTTTTTTAAAATCAGGTAGTTTACAAAAACCCTTCAGTTGTTCTTGTACCCAGGTCTGACAAGTGTGAGTAAATGGGCTGAACTCCAGGGGTGTCTGACTCCAGAGCCAGGCTCCCCGGCATTCCCAGCGCAGCACCCCCTCCTGCTCTGAGCTGGTGCCCATGCCGGCGAGCCCCCCTTGGAGGGGCCGGGGAAAGGCTGCTGAAAATACTGCTGGAGAAGCTCTGCTCAGCCACAAGGCCCCATCCTCAGGGGCTCCGGGAAGGGGACAAGATTCTAACCAGGCCTTGCTCTCTCTCCTTCCACAGAGCGATCAGGACGCCACGGCTCCGCCTGAAGCGATGGCCCAGCCCTACCCCCCCGCCCAGTACCCCCCTCCGCCACAGAACGGCATCCCTGCCGAGTACGCCCCGCCCCCACCGCACCCCACGCAGGACTACTCCGGCCAGACCCCGGTCCCCACAGAGCATGGCATGACCCTGTACACACCAGCACAGACCCACCCCGAGCAGCCAGGCTCCGAGGCCAGCACACAGCCCATCGCCGGGACCCAGACAGTGCCGGTAAGGGCCCCCACGACCCCAGGCCCAGCCCTGGAGCTTCAGGGAGGAGCACCCACCCAGAAGAAGGGTGGCCCAGAAGGGCATGAGGTGTACCAGGTGGGCGAGGGGCCTGGGCAGGGCCTCTGTGTGTGGAGGGCAGGCCTTTTACGGGGCTCCTGGGCCAGAAGTCACCCCCAGTGAAGGCATTTCCAGCCCCTGCTCGACCCCCGGCGCCAAGGAGCTTTGTGATGAGCAGGCATCTGGAGGAATGGCCGGGCACCTAGGGGTGGGGTGGCAGCCACCGTCCTCCAGCCGCCTGGGCCTGGCTTCCCTGCTTCGAGCAAACACTCACCCCAGCTGGGAGGTGTCCTCGCTGCCAGAGACCTGTTAGTGGAAAGTGAAGGAGACGGGCGGAGGGCAGAGGCAGAGCCGTGGAGGTGGCCCAGGGCCCTCCGAGCTGCCTCGGGTTGCAGGCCCTCCTATCATTTCTAATCACTTGTAATCTACCTGCTTGGCTGGCCTCCAATCAGATAGCTTCAATTATGTGGTTGTAATGCAGCTCCCAGGCAAAAGTGCTGAGCCCTCACTTCTCAGATTTCCTGAGAGCAAAGAGAGCCAGCAGGGAGTGGCCAAGCGGCTGGCCTGGAGTGGGCTCTGGGTACAAAAACCAGGCCCTGCCTCCACCCACCCCCCAGAGCCCCAGCCGGCCTATTCCTTTTGTCTGGTCCCCTCCACTGAGATCTCCATGTGCCTCCCCTGCCCCTGCTCTGGGGCTCCAGGTTCATCCAACTGTCCCCGCTGGCCCTGTCCCAGCCGCTGGATGTGCTAGCTGGCGGGGCTGGGCAGGAGGCCAGAGCTCTCTGCACTGCCCGGGAGTGGCACCGCCCCGGCGGCTCCCAATGGGGGTCCCCCTCCCGACTGCCTCAGCCCTCCTGCCGTCCAGCCTGGCTCCCAGCGTGCTGCGTGGACGCAGATAGGAGCCTTCCCCCGGTGCATGTGTGGGCAGGGGCTTCCTCCAGCGTCACCCAGGCCCTCTGCCGAGAGAGCCCACCCAGCCACCTCCTGGGCTGGACCCGACCCTCATCTGGCACCCAGGCGGTGCCTTTCCTCCCTGCTTGGAGCCCCGCCCAGCCCGAATCTGCCCCGAGACCATCAGCCTTTCCAGCGCCCCCAGCATCCTGATACCCAGGGTTCCTACAGCCACAGGACACACATGGAAAAGGCCAGGCCCCAGGGTGGTAGAAGCAGGGGCCAAGCTTCCCTGTCTGCTCTGGTTCTTATTCATCAAACCCACGCCCTGTGTGTGCTTAGAAAAGACAGAGATGATCCCAGGAGCCAAGCCGGGTTCACCATAAACAAGTCACGCTAGAGCAGGCTGGGTCTCCTTCTGACTGACTCCAGTAGACACAGCTTATCTGCTCAAACCTCTGACAGCCACCTTATGGACAGACGAGGGGGTCTCTCATGGTGAGCCTCAGGGGTTCGTCCCAGAAGAAAACCAGAAGCAGGAGGGTCAGACACACAGATAACACAGCTTGGGGACGGACCTAGCACTCTAACTGAACAACAGAACCGAGGCCAGATGCCTCCTGGACACCTGGGGCCACCAGACACAGCCTACCAGGACACACATAAAGTCTTCCTTCACTCGGCAGACATTTGCTGAGCACCTGCCGTGTTCCAGGCACTGAATTGGCACTGAGGCTACAAAGAAGAAAGGACCCAGCCCTGTCCCCTAGTTCCTGCCACGCAAGGACAGGAAAGTCAGAAACAGAGGCTGGCTTGGGTCTGGCTTGCCCGTGAGAGGCCACAGACCATGGAGAGAATCCCCGAGTGAGCAGCAGCTGCTGAAAAGGTGAATGCTGCATCCAATGAAGTACTCTCCAACCAGGAGGATGGGAGTCTCACCACCCAGTTATTAGCCTCCAGAGCCTCCCAGGAAGCGTGTCCAGGTGGGAAGCACCCAGAGCCCAGAGGATGGACAGACGGCCTTGACCTTCCTTTCTTCAGGCTGGGGTCTCTCAGGTCTGGCAGAGGGTTCAGGGTCATGGTCTGCAGATCTTTCATCCAGGGACCCAGAGGAGAGAGTCATCCTCCATGACCTGCACCCAGGGCAGGGCTGCAGGCAGAAGTTACGGCATCGGCGTGGTGCCCCACGAAGAACAAAGACCTGGGCCTCCTCAGAGGCCATGCGCTCCCCAACCTTGGAGTATTTGTTCATGCAGAGCCTTCCTACCTTGGAAGGCAGCTGGAGAGGGTGTTCTAGATTCCAGGAGCTCCTTCCTCCCAGAGGCTGCCCGGCACTCACAGCTGAAGGCCGAACGCCTCCCTGCTGGCTCAGGTGTCCCCAGACCCTGTCCCTGGGTCATCAGCAGGGCCCTTTCAGCTCACTCGAGCCTCCCCTTGGCCCTGCCCCAAGCAGCCTGGTATTGTGGTCTAGATCTTCGGGATAGGAAGTGGGATGAGTTCAGAGCTTTGGTCCAGACCTGCCTAGGTCAGAGTGTCTTCCTGAGCTCCCGGGGCACTCGAGGGCCCGTGTGCAGCCACCAAGTACCCTGGTCTCTTCCTTCCCCACCATCCCTGAAGTCCTACCCAGCCCACCCCCCCCCCGAGAGCCTGCTGCCCAGGTTGGCACCAGGTCAGGGCACACAACCCCCTGGACGCTCCCTGGACCCAGATGCCACCCAGAGGCCACTGGGGCTTCCCGCCCTCTCGCCCAAGGGGACTTCCTTCTGCTGGTGAGCATGGGCTGCCCTGGCAGTTGGTGTGGCCAGGGCAGTGGAGAGGGGGAGCTTGGAGTGCCTGTCCAGCCCCCACATCACCCACCCCACTGGTAGCTGTGGCAGAGCCGGCCCCTAGACGGCAGGGTCCTGTCCAGGCCCGGGGGCCCACACAGGCAGCCTGTTCCGTTCTAGGACCTGGGGCTGATGGCGTCGATGGGAGAGAGCAGTGGCCCCTGCAGCCCATCCCCATGCCTCAGACCTCTCCGTCTCCTCCACCCCAGGATCCTCAAAGACAGCCTGGGCCCCAGCTCCGGAAAGGCCTTCCTGGAATTTCTGGAACCACGAGGCCTCTTCCTGCTCCTCCTCCCCCGAGGAGGGTTTCCAGCCAGCAATTGGTGGGAAGTCCGTGTTCATCCAACTCAGGGCCTTTCCCGACACCTCCACCACCCAGGTGGGATGCACCCCTCAACCCCTAGTCACAGAAGCACAGCTGACCCTGCAGAGAGAAACATGGGGTTCCTGGGGGCCACCGGTCCCTCACCGACACTGAGACTTCCCACAGAAGGCGGAGCGTGCACTGATTTTTGTGGTCTCGATACCCTCGGGTGGGTCCCGACCACCCCCAGTGACTTTCCAGCTACATCATTCCCCAGGAAGGCTCCTCCCCTCTGAGCAGGACACCTCTTTTCACCGTCCAGAAATACGGAGGCTCCTTCCTGGTGGGGCAGGGGCGTCTCTGCTCATCCGTGATGGGAAGGGACATGTGACAAGAACCCACAAGGGGCACGCACACCTGCACATAGGCTCCGTTTCTCTCACCGCTCACCACGACATCACCTGCCTTCTCTGGACAAAAGCAGCAAAGGGTACAGAGTGCGATGAGGGGCTGCGGAAGGACCGGGGGACCCCATCTCACTACCTTGAGCCACCCCCAGGGTCTGTGTTCCCCAGCAGGGGTCACCATCTGGAGCATGTATTCACTCACTCGGGGTCACGCAGGTGCCAGTACTGTGGGCCCTTGGGAGTCTTTGTGCTCAAGGGACCCTCAGCTTGCTAACGGGCCGGGCATGTTGGCTCACGCCTGTCACCCCAGCACTTCGGGAGGCCGAGGCAGGTGGATCACGAAGTCAGGACTTCCAGACCAGCCTGGCCAAGATGGTGGAACCCTGTCTCTACAAAAATACAAAAATTAATCGGGCATGGTGGCTCGTGCCTGTAATCCCAGCTGCCCGGGAGGCTGAGGCAGGAGAATCACTTGAACCCAGGAGGTGGAGGTTGCAGTGAGCTGAGATCACGCCGCTGCACTCCAGCCTGGGCGACAGAGCAAAACTCTGAGAAAAAGAGAGAGAGATTAGCACGCAGATAAAAAAAATGCCAGACAAAGCACGGAGGGTCACTGTGGAGGGCCAGCCAGGTAGAGGGAGACGGGATGAGACTGGTGTTTTCCAGAGCCCACGTGGGCTCCTCCACCTGCCAGAAGGGACCCCACGTGGGCCGCAAGGGCCTGATGTCTGAGGGGCCAGCACCTCCCTCACTGCCTGCTGGGGACCTGGGCTCTGCACCCCTGGCTTCACTGCAGGCATAGATGCCTGTGCGCCCAGGTCCCTGGAGGCCTCTCTGCCCAGTGACCTGCAGCCCCAGGATGAACCTCTGTCCTTTCTGCTGTCCGTCGGGCCTGAGCCTCCTCGGAAACTCCCGCACTTGCCCTGATCTTCCATTTGGACCACCTCATCTATAACTACAGGCTTCACAGTCTGGCCAAGGCCCTCTCCCCTCAGCCAGGAGCTGCAGCCCTTGGTCACTGTGTTCTTGGCTCTCACAGCTTATGGAAGGGGTGAGGGGTAGGCCGTGGCTGGCCACTGGCCTGAGAAGGGCGGAAGAGAGGAGGCGCTGGTCCCCAAAGCAACGCCACAGTGAGGCTCAGCTGAGATGCCCCTACCCAGGCTGGGAGGTGGGAGTGGATGAGGCGTCAGTCGGCTGCCCGTGCCACGGTGCAGAGGCCAGATCAGGAGGGGCTTGAAATCCTGTGTTCTTCAAATGCCACGTGGGAGCCAACAGCTTCACCCAAGGAGGGGCCACCAGTGCCACCAGGCTCTGAAGCAGACACTCCCAGTGGATAGGTTGAGACCACACGCAGAGAACCCCTCCTCCAAGGCTGACTGGCTGCCCACCAGCGGCTCACCAAGGCAGGTCCTTGCCTGAGTGCCTAGGAGGTCTTTGGAGGAACGAAGGGAGACGGCGCTGTCGAGGAAGGGATTTCCAAAAACCGGTTCATGTGGTGCCACAGCAGCACAGCTTGGTTCCGTGCCAACAACAGCCACCGGGTCCCACCTGCTGTCCAGGGTCTGCCTAGGTCTACCAGACCCTGCCTGGGGCTCATTCCCTTTGTCTGTCTCCGTGCCAAGCTTGGGGGCCCCAGGCGAAAGTGGGTGCAGGCTCCTCAGAGGATGTGGAGAGTGGGAGGTGCTGTGTGGCAACTAGACCCCCACCCCGAACTTGAGTGGGCTGGGGAGGTGTCCATAATGGCCGGGCCAAGACAGAGCTGGGGAAGGATGCAGAAGCAGGACCCCCAGCCCAGTCGGGAGGGAAGGGCAGTCCTGTCCTTTTCTCTTTCCCTGCATTTGAGAACAAGAAGCAAAGACGGCTTTTTTTTTTTTTTTTGAGTGGGGGAAAGAAAGCCCCTGAGAAAGCTGGAAAGGCGGTGGAGGCTGCTGGACCGCTACAGTCAGTGTGGGAAGGCCCCCATCCCCCGGCCTGGGGCAGTCCGTGTGCAGTCATGCGAGGGCTTCCCTGCACACCTGACGGTTTCACAGCCATTGAACCCACTTAGCCTCTGCCCGGGGCTGAGCAGGGATAGAATGGCTTCTTCCTCACCTGTGTCCTGGCCCCACTCATGGCTCCTCCCACTCACACCCCATCACCCCCTTCCTCCCGCCTCATCCTCGGCTGCTCCCCTTTAGGACTTTGGGGTGGATGCCCCAGCGCCTGTGGGTGGGCGCGGGGCTGGTTCCCACCATCGCCCTCTGCTGCTCAGAGGCCAGAGCTGTGTGCCCCTCTCCAGGCTGGATTCCTGAATCTGGGATGACTCAGTCACCTGTACCCAAGAGCAGCAGAGGGCACAGGCACATCCCTGTCCACCGAGGAGGAAAGACCCACGCCTGTCCAATGGGAGGGTGGGGTTCAGACCTCCATAAAGATCGGTGGATGTTTGGACGGTCTCGCCTTGGTTCAGGGGTAAGGTCGTCCCCTCCGGAGGTCTAGCATAGGCTTGCTTTCTGCAAGAAAACTTGGGACCAAGGAGGATGGCAGCAGAACTGGGAAACTGGGCTGCTGGGCATCTCCAGTTCCCCAGGCTTGGATGGAGGAGCCTCCCGCATACCCCTGTCGAGCCAGAGTCAGCTGCCCTGCATTGCCCGTCACTGGGGACGTGATGCCAGCCAGACCAGGAGTCTCCGGAGGCCTGTCATCCACCCTCCTGGCCCTGCCAGCTGTGCCCACCACAGATGCCTCCGTGCCAAAGCTCAGCCCCCACTGATGGGGGTGGCACATGTCAGGGAACCCCAAGGAGCAGCCGCCCAGCTTGCCCAAGCCTGGGGGCTCATGCCCTCCGAGAGCCATGACCATTTTCCACCTCTTGGGGTCCTGAGGGAGATGCAGGATCCACCCGGAGCCTCACACCTTGGGAACACGTACAGCTCAGAACACATGCTTGTCGGAATTGGGACAGCATACCACATGGCGCGTCTGCTGAGACAGGTCCTGCAGCGCATGCCCAGGTGAGCATCGGGACAGCGGTTCCCACGCTGTGGGGTGTGTGCTGCATCCTCGCTGTTCAACGCAGGGGACAGAGCTGCATCAGGAACGTGGACACGTGTGCTCCACAGCCCTACAGCCCTTGAGACCCCACTCCCAGCCTGCCCCACTGCCAGTGCCAGGGGCTGTCGCCAGGGAAGAAGCTGTGGTACGGGGGAGGCTGTGTCCTCCACCACCCTGCGCAGCCCAGGAAGTGGTGACTTCCCCTCTGGTCACCTAGCGGCACCTGCTGCCCTGGAGCCTGGTCAGAGGCTTTCTGGCTACATGCGGAAATGCAGGGGAGCAGCCTGTCCTTCCAGAAAGGACAACCAGGGTGGCCGTGCTGGGGGCGGCGACAGCCGGACAGCCACTCAGACAGGAGTCGAGGGACCAAGCTGTGGCCACTTAGCTGTAGTGTGACCTTGGCACGGCTCTGCCTCCCTGGCTCCATTTCCTTTGCCGTGGGCCGAGGCCTCCAGCCCTGTGACCCCAGGCTCCCCACTCACCGTCCTAACTCAGCACTCCTTTGGTTGCCCGCGACAGATGCCCTCCGGAAAGTGGCTTCAGCAGCCAGGTGCTTCGCCTAGCTGGAGATGCGTGGGAATGGCTCTCTGGAGCCTCTCTTCTTGGCTTTCCTCCTCTTGCTCGCAGGCTGGCTGCCTCTGCTCCGCAGGCCACACGGGAGACCATGCTACCAGCCTTCCATTTGTACCGGCTGCCGTGTAGGCCTCTAAGGGACCCCAGTCTCCTCTACGGCCGCTCCAGAAAGGATCCAGACGGCTGGAGCCAAGACCCTCCTACCTTCGGCTGGCGTCCTGTCCCAGAAGCCACATGGCCTCTGAGGAGGGGTTCTCCGTGTGTGGTCTCCAGCTGTCCACTGGGAGTGTCAGGAGGCCCAGAGCCAAAGATTCAAATGCACAGGGTGTATTTGGGAGATGATCTCCCAAAACCCCTAAGGGGCAGCATGGAATTGAGGCGGGAAGGCGAAGGAAGCCAATAAAAGGCACATTGTCAGCCTGCTGTTCCCATGGGCAGCTGAGCTTAAATTGTTGGAGGAAGTGTGGACAGTGAGAACCCCTCCAGGGCACCCCGCGGGAGCTGGAGCGTGCACCCACCACCTGTGCCTGTCGCCACCGAGGGACTCTCCTGTACCCTGGTGCTCCTGTGCCACCCACCCGCCTTGCCAGTGGGCTGAGCGGGAAAACAAACAGCCTGCGAGGCTGGCACCTGCGGTTTGGCTGCATCCATGGAACTGGCCTGTAGAGGCCCTTGGGCCTGGGCCTAGGTCGTGATGAGCTAATGGCCACCTCGGACAGTCACCCGTGCATCCACCCGGCCGATGCTGATGAAGCACCTGCCACATGCCTGGAGTTCCTGCTCTGTGGATACAGCCAGGACCAAGCCAGACTGAAGGCCAGCCTTGCCGTGAGCTCACGGCCAGTCCACTGGAGAAGACCACGCAGGAAAAGCCTCACACAGGCCACACTGCGCTGCCTCGGGCGACACCCCTGCCTTCTCACAGCGAGCTGGGGGCCAGGTGGCTTTTGTTTCCTGAGACCCAAGTCTTTGGGAGCCCATCTGCCCACCAGTATTTGGGTCCAAATGGGGGCTATAGAGGACTGGACTTGGCCACGCCCTGCCTTGGGAGAGGCTTCTGGAGGTGAACCCCAAAGGTTCTGAGTGGCAGCAGCAGGCTGGAATAAGCAGGAGCATGGCAGGGATGGGGGACACGAAGGGCAGCACCTTCGGACAGGCGGACCCTCGGGCCAGGCCGACATCTGTCTGCAGTTCACCACTTCATCATCAGGACTTGAAAGACAGTGGGGTCCTCAGGCTCCCAGAACTGCCTTGAGATGTCAGTGGGGCTAAGAGACCGTGGAGGTTCAGCCTCTGTGGACAGGCCTGGGCTGCGGGAGCGGGGAACAGAGCAGGCCAGGAGGCCTTGCACTGGGATGGCGGGAGGGAGGCGGCCTCACCTGCACAGTTTGGGCGAAGGCCTAGAGGTGGGGCCTCTCTGTGTGAGGTGCCCCTGTGCTGTATCTCATGGGAACCGTCTGCCCAGATTCTGCCAAGGATCCCAGCCCAGGGATGGGGGAGAGGCCCAGAAGGGTGGGGAGAATCTGGCCTTTAGACTCTGCCGACCCTTTAGCAGAGGGGATGGGCAACCCCGCACACAGAGGCAGCCTCCACAGCCCAGTCCTCTCCCTGCAGCAGACAGACGAGGCGGCACAGACGGACAGCCAGCCGCTCCACCCCTCCGACCCTACAGAGAAGCAGCAGCCCAAGCGGCTACACGTCTCCAACATCCCCTTCCGGTTCAGGGACCCCGACTTGCGGCAAATGTTCGGGGTGAGTGTGCGCGGCCCCACCCATCCTGCCCTCCACACCTGCCCCAGCTCCAGGGTGGCGCCCACAGGCCCTGCCTTCCTGCCGACACCTGTTCCCCCGGGTTTCCTGCCTCCCACTGCGCAGGGAGCCTCCGGGGCCCCAGGATTCCTTCCCTCCTGGGCCCAGCCCTGCCCTGACCTGAACCTGCTGGGACGGTGGCGGGGAAGAGGAAGGCCTCAAGCTGAGGAGTAGGGGGATCTGTTGCGGCTGCCCCTCAAACCCCACCCCTCCTGCTCCCAGCCAGAAATCCACCCATGCCCCCCAGACCACCTGAGCTCAGGGGTTTCCTAGAGTACCTTGGGACCTCGCAGCCAGTTTGGTTATGACCGCCCTGTTCCCACATTCTGGCTCCTGTCTCCTCGCAAGAGGGTACCTGGAGGGGCAGCTCAACCTCCCATAGAGCAGCAGCCCCAGCCCTGGCCTCTCTTGTGTGCCCGGGGGCCGGGCAGTCAACCTCTCCGGGCCTGTGTCCCCCGGGCCCCCAGGTGGGGAACTTGGAACCGGATGCACAGTCAATGGGAAGTGAAGCCCCTGCTGGACTCCGAGGGCCTGTTCCGGGTTTTGCACTGTAGGCTTCAGCCCCGTGGTGGGGTCACCGTGAGAACGTGCAGGGCTGCCCCTGGGTCCTGGGTCACTTTGTTGTTATTGGACTTGAATGCGCCAGGCAGGTGTTGATGCCTGCAGGGGGCTGGGGCTGCCGAGTGGTGGGTGAGCGGCAGCAGCTGGGTGGCTCAGCCCAGGCTCCCAGGCCTGCCCTGGCCACAGAGGACCACGCAGCCCGGCCGTGTTTCTTCCCTCCCTCCAAACTTCTCTTCCGCCTGCCTGCCACGGTGCCCACCCCACCTCTGCTGCGCAGGTAGACAGCCTCTGGCTCCTGAATCCCAGCCTCTCCCCTCATGCCACCCTGACCCAGCTGGGATTTGTCAGGCAGACTGGAAGCACCTCTGGCAGCCCCAGGGTGGAGAGGTCCCCGTTCACCTACCCCCTGACGTGATCCCTAGAAGTCCACTCCCCGTCTCAGGAGCCCGGCCTGGTTGGATTTGCAGTCTAGACTCATTGGAGGGCTGGCATGACTTAGAATCATCAGATGGCAAGGACTCTGTCCCTTCTCGACTCTGGGTCCTGAGCAAGCTGCCAGGTTTCTCTGGGCCTGGGGCTGCCCCTTAATAGCAGCTGACATTTTGGAGCTCTGGCTGGATGCCCCCTGCAGGGGACCTGTTTACATACACTCAGTCCCTGCAGGACGGGGACACCATCCCCTGTCAGCTCCCTGGGTCCCTACAGGACAGGGGCACCATCCGCCATCAACTCCCTGGGTCCCTGCAGGATGGGGACACTGTCCCCCATCAGCTCCCTGGGTCCCTGCAGAACGGAGGTTACTGTCCCCCTCTTTTCAGCACCTGGCAGAGTTGGGATTTCATTGCTGTCTGGCCCCACTGGGGCTTGCTGCACCCCCCGCCTCCAGGACTGTGTGGAGGTGACTGGGAAACCCCCATCAGTTGCCTGCACTGCAGGCTTCAGGACAGGCCCTGGGGACCTCAGAAGTGTTGTTCGGGGCTGTTCACAGGCTCATGGTCTCAGTACCAGTGAGAGAGACAGGGCTGCCCCATGGGGACTATGGCCAACAATGGGAGGGAAGAAGGCAGCTAGAGCGTCATGGCCCAGCTGGCCCAAACGACCTGAACAGTTGCTCAGCACCGCACGCCAGCACAGCCCCATGACAGGCTGTGCAGGGTCCCGGGGGCCTGGGCGGAAGACCCTCCTATGCTTCCCTCTTGCCCTCACACCCTCAACCCCATTTTCCCCCTGCCCAACCTCCTCCCCATCTCAGGGAGGCCTGAGGGTCCCATTTCCCAACCAGGGGTCCTGCTCTCCGGTGGCCTCAGTCTCCATTTCCTGACCCCAGCACTTTCTCTTCTCTGTGGCACTTTGTCCCTAATGGACACTCATGTCCCTCTGTCTCCCTCTCCCCCATCCTTTAGAGAAGGGTCTCAAAGCAGACCTTTACCCTTTAGTGTGAATTAGGGGTGGGGCAGTCATGCCTTGGGTACCCTATCCCCACTGTAACCCTTTCCAAGTGGCCATGTCCTAGCAGGGTGAGGAGGGGACACTGGTGATGTGCCTACCCCCATGCCCAGCTGGCAGCTGGAGTTAGTGTCCTGGCAGTAAAAGCTCCCCAAGGCAGAAGGGAGAC
The DNA here is from genome assembly GCF_000001405.40 of Homo sapiens. NCBI lineage: Eukaryota > Metazoa > Chordata > Mammalia > Primates > Hominidae > Homo > Homo sapiens. The sequence goes on along the minus strand of NC_000017.11, from coordinate 79,104,417 downwards.
ACGGGCCTCCAGGAGAGGCTGGGAGAGCTGTCCCTGTCCCCACACCACACCAAGGACCCTCTTGGTGATGCCTTGGGCACCCTATCCCCACCATCGCCTTCTCCAAGTGGCCAAGTCCCAGCTGCTCCATGGCCAGGGGTGGGAGGGGGTCCCCGGTCTCCTTTCCCAAGCTGGGGGCCGAGGGCAGAGCACAGGCATGAGCGTCTCAGGAGTGGAGCGGGCAGCTGGGCCAGCAGTCTTAACCCGCACTTTCCTGTCTGCCCCACTCCCTCTTTGTCTCTGTCTCTGCAGCAATTCGGAAAAATTTTAGACGTGGAGATCATTTTTAACGAGCGGGGCTCCAAGGTGGGTGCCGCACGGAGCTGCCGCCTTACAGCGCCGGCTGTAGGTCCCGCCAGGCTAACGTGTGAAATGTGCGTTTCCTTCCTGGAGAGCTTCGCGCCCGAGGACCCCTGAGCGACACGGGTGCTTGTATTCCCCGCTCTTCCGCCCCCACCCGCCCCGCCCCCACCCCAGCTGTCTGTGTTGTTGCTGCCGCTGCCGCTTTTTCTTTCTGAGCCACCAGGACCTCTTGCCTGCACCCCAGAGCCCTGGGCCCCAGGTCCGGGCCCCACCCCCACTGAACACTTACCCCAGGGGACCACTGGCCTTGAAGCTTGAGGGAGGGGCTACAGAGAGGGCAGGCTGGGGAGGGTGTCCGGCGGAGACAAGCCCTACTCCCCTTCCAGGAAGGCACGACCCTCTACCCTGGGCTCCGAGGGTGGAGATGGGTGGGCTGCCCCTGCAGGTCCTGAAGCCCAGCCTGGGCCCCCTACCCCAAGGTGGGGTTCAGGGGGCAGGCCTGGCCTGTGGTCAGGTATGGCGTCTCTTATGTGGCTTTGGCCTGTCCCTTTGGAGATGCCGGGTGATCAGCTCAGGCTGGGCTCAGGCTGGGTCAGCAGCTGCCCCCCTGGGGCCCATACCCCTCCTGGCATCCTGCCGGTGGCCCTAGGACAGACCTCTGGGCTGCCTGCGTCTCTGCCTCAACTCACCTGACTCAACCCCTTCTCTCTCTCTCCCCACTCCCCTGCCCCCCTCCCACTCCTCTTCTTCCTCGTCTTCCTCCTCTTTCTCGCCCTGTGTCCTCCTCTCCGTGCCTGTCCTTCCCTCTCCTCTGCTCACAGGGTTTTGGGTTTGTAACTTTTGAAACTAGCTCAGATGCTGACCGAGCCCGGGAGAAGCTGAATGGGACGATCGTAGAGGGACGGAAAATTGAGGTGCTCAGATAAGTGTGCTGCGGCAGGGATGCCCCAAGATCGCCCACCTGCCCCCCAGCTCCCCCAACCAACCAGCCCTGCCACTGCCGCACCCTTCAGAGAGCCTGGCCAGGGTTCCCTGGGGTGGGAGGAAGGGTCGCACTAAGGCCAGGGTGCTCAGCTGCCGGCTGAGCCCTATCACCTGTCACCCCTTCAGGCTCACCCGAGGTCCCCTCTCCCCTGCCTCTTCCCTCCTTTTCCTAGGAGAGGCGCTGTCCCCAACCAGACACTGGAGGAGCCCCAGAAATCCTGTATTTGGGGCTTGGCAGCTTCAAGGACCATGGCCAGCCCACCCGGCCAAGGAGCCATTAATCCCCAGACCCTGCTCACCATGGAGCAGCGGCTGTCCCCAACCTGTCCCCACATGGCCCAGTCTGGGCCCTGCAGTTTGCCCCCACCTTGGCCCCACTCCACCCCTTGTTTGGGTAGAAGCAGAGGCAGCAGTGGCAATGGCCAGGGCAGAGGAAGAGACCAGGCCCCAAGGAGGAGCAGGGAGAGGGGCCCTGGGTCCCTCCCTGACACCCATCCCGCTCTGTCCCCTCCTTCCCTGCTCCCCAGGGGTCCAGAGTGCCAGTGGGCTGTGTTCCCTTGCTGCGGCCTGGGTGTCTGGAGCTGGGTACCCCAACAGGCAGGGCAGCCAAAGGGTGGCTGGAGGAGGGCTGGGGCCAGCCACCATGACAGAGCCCTCAGGCAGGCAGTGAAGGGCCTGAGAGGAGGTTTCCAGACTTCTGAAGGCACTGGCTTGGCCAGGCTGCAGCCCCACGCCCTCGGGGCTCAATGGAGGACGCAGGGGAGGCAGAACAGCCCAGACCCCTTCCTGGGACCCATCACCCCTGCTATTCTCGACTCCCTCCCACACATGCCTCGTCTTCTCCATCCCAGGCTGCCCCTGGACAGCCTCACCCAGGCATATGTGTGGAAAATAGGTGACTTCGTGCCCAGAGCCCCCCTCCCTGTCGGCCTCGTCCTCCAGGGGCACACGGGCCCCATCAGAGACCTCTGTACTCTGCAGCATTGAGGACTCTGGCCTCGGGGGAGGGGGGCATCATCCAGGAGGGGTATGTGGCCATCTTGGTACCCATGCCTAGGTGGGCCTTGGCAGCCTCAGGGAGGAGGGGGCATCCTGGAGTCCAGCCTCTTAGCTGGTTCTGGTCAGAGAGCACTCTGTGGAGAGTCCACCAGGGAGCTGCTCCAGCTGTCCTGGGGTGCCTGGGAGCCTGGGGCTGGGTTTATGGGAACAGCCACATGAAGGATACAGGCCAGCAGGCCTGGGTCTGGGGTCCTGGGCCAGGCGGGGCTTTAGCCCGTGCTGGGAGCAGTGGGGGCCAAGGCTCCCGGAGGGCAGGCAGCATGGTGGAGAGAGGAGGCTGGGGCGGGGGGTGCCGGGGGCTAACGGAGCAGGGCGGGGAGGAGTGGCCAGTGGGTCTTCCAGGAGGCTAATCCTCCCTCTTCCTCTCTCTCCTTCCCTCTTTGAACAGGTCAATAATGCCACGGCCCGAGTGATGACCAACAAGAAGACGGGGAACCCCTACACCAACGGTAAGGGGCTGGGTCCCCCCACAAGGCTGCTGGGGTCACTGGCTGGGACAGAGGCCCTGGGGGAGCTGAGGCTGCTGCAGGCTGACCTTCCTGGATCCTAGGCAGCCTCCGTCCCCAGTGTCCCAGCCCTGGGGCTGCCGCTCTGCTCCCGGTCAGAAGCGGGTGGGGCAGAAGAGGCGGGAGGAGAGCTGGGGGCCACTCACCCCTCTCATGGCCCCATACAGTCAGCCATAGCTGGAGTCTCACTTTCCCAGGCGTGCCTGGCCCCCAGAGGCCACACGTGCAGGCTTCTGATCCAGGGGGATAGCTGTGCCTTCCTGGATTAGGACTGACTTTCCCCCAGGGCCAGAGTTTGAAGGCTTCTGTGCTGAGACCTGCTGCACCGATTCCCAGTGTAAGCAGGCTCAGGGAGGGCAGTGAGGGCACGGGGGGCCTTGGATGAGCTTCTAGACCTCTCTGAGTTCCAGTCTCTTCATCTGCAAAACAGGAATAGTGACACCATCCCCCAGAGCTGTTCGATGACAAATGACACCTTTAAGCACCATGAGGAAGGGCCCGGGGGGAGGTGCTCAGATTTCGGAGGATGTGATTACAGTAACTGCCTTCCTGGGGCTTTTTGACATGGGTGGCCCTGAGGCCCCAGGCTGAGCCCTGCTGTCCACAGCAAGGGGAGACTGAGGAATCTTGTGTGTGTGCACCCCACTGCAAACGGAGGTGGCCGGTCTTCCTTGGAGATGGATCTGCCGACGCTAAGTGCTGGCTCTGGAGAAGCAGGGGGACCACTGGTGGCCACTGCGAGTCTTAACTCCATCCGGCAAGGGGCCTGCTTTGAGCAGAGCAGGCGTACGTTGGGGGCCTCCGCTCATTCCTGCCAGGGAGCAGCTTCCCACTCGGACCCCTTAGAAGCCTCAGCGCTGCCCCTAGACGGGATGGATCTCCCTGTTGCCGTGGACTTTCAGACGGTGTCACCCCCAGCCTCTCATGGCCCCCCATGTGATCGGCCATACGTGGAGTCAGGTGACAACCAGCATGGAAGCCTGGACAGGACCGCCCGATCCGCCACCTCTCCCCCGAGCTCTTCTCCTGGTGTCCGATGCTGGGGTGGGGCCGGGCCTCTGGCCTGGCCCAAGTTAGACTTGATTCTCATGGCCTCATATCCTGCTTTTCTGAGGACTTACACATCTCAAATTCTTTTTAAAAATTTGGGAGTGTTCCCACTTTGCAAGCATCCCGAGTGCGTCCTGGGTGTGACTCTTCTGTGATCTGGCACTTGGCACAGGAAGTAAAAGCGGTAGACATTTTTATAGGGTACAGGTGATCAACCAGCGGGGCTGCAAAATCTCTGGAACCAGCTGCCCACTCTGCACCCAAGGGCCACACCCACCGCTGTCTGGGCAGAAGTGAGAATTCAGGGGAGCATGGAAATCAGAACAGACCCATCTCTGAATGGCCTCGGGCTATGCGGCTCATGAGGGGCACGGAACCTACACCAGTGAAACATCAGGGAATGGAGGGAGGTGGGAACCTTTGCCCACCTTTGCAGCAAGAGCCGTTTCATCTCAATCTCTTCATCAGCCTGGGCACAGAGGGCTGCAGTGGGACGGCCCTGGGTTCTCTGCAGGTTGGCACCGAAGCCAACCCATGGGCTCTGGTGGCGAGTGCTGCGTGACTTGGCTTCAACACTACCCAACACTCTGGAATTCATCAGTTGGGGGTGGAGGTTTCCATTGTAGAAAACAAACCCACCAGGTTTGCCCAGGTGTTAACTATTTACGGTAGAAACAGGCCAGCCAGGCAGTCTCAGGCTGTCTCTGCCATCTGGGGTTCCAGACAGTGAAATGGAGGCAGCAGAGACAGGTGGAGGCTCCCAGAGAGGCAGAATTGACAGGGGAGGGCACCCAGGAAGCCAGAATCACCGGTGGAGGCATCCAGGAAGCCAGAATTGACAGGTGAAGGTGCCCAGGGCCATCTGAAGCACACATGCAGCCTCCAAGTCTCACTCGCCCAGAGTGGACCCAGAAGAGTCACTGGATGGAGCCCCGGGGAGTCTGGGCTTGGGGTCAGGGTCTCCAGGACTCTGCTCCATCATGGGCCTTCTAGTAAGAAGAGTCAGTTCTTCGGACTGGAGGTCTTCCCAGAAAACAAAACATTTCTTTCAGCCTGATGCAGTGGCTCATGCCTGTAATCCCAGCACTTTGGGAGGCTAAGGTGGCAGGATCCCTTGAGCCCAGGACTTCAAGACCAGCCTGAGCAACACAGGGAGACCCTGTCTCTACAGATAGTTTTTAAAATTAGCTGTGGGTGTAGTGGCAGGCACCTGTGGCCCAAGCTACTCGGGAGGCTGAAGTAGGAGGATCGCTTGAGCCCAGGAGGTCGAGGCTGCAGTGAGCCGTGATCGTCCACTGCACTCCAGCCTGGGCAACAGAGCAAGAAACTGTGCCCCCCTACCCCCAAAAAAAGTTTCTTCCTTCCTAACCTGGGATTTATCTTTTTGGAAGATTCCAAAGTCCCAGCAATGGCGTCCAGACACAAGGTTGTGTGATGGTGGGCCGGGGATGCGGGGTGGGGTGAAGACTTGGCCAGAGGGAGGAACATACCCCGACCCTCCGTCCTCACTGCCTCCAGTCTGCCTGCCCTGCAGTGGGGTTGTTAGAATCTGGGTCAGGGGTTCACACATGGCCTGGGCCCACTGCCACCCTCTCCAGATGTATCTCCCCAGCTGGCCAGTGGGCTCTCGTCCCTGCTGTTCCTCCCCACCCAGTGCAAAGGGACAAGGAGCCGGGCCCACGGGGCATGCTGTAGAGATAAGACCTGGGTACACTGAGGAGGGGTAAGGGGCTGGGCCTCGTCAAGAAGCCCTCCTGCCCAACCTGTCGGAATGCCTGGAGCCGGAGCCCACTGCAAGGCAGCTGGTGTCCCCCGCAGAGGCCTCCAGGTGGAGCAGGTCTTTGCTCTGCTCCTGGGTTCCCCCGGGGAGAGGAAGACTGGCCCACCTGCAGGAAGGGAGAGGCTGGGATGCCGATTACAGGCTGGGATCCCTGGCTCTGCCACTCCCCAGCTGCTGACGGGAGGTTGCTGTGCCTCTCCAGGGCTGTTTCTTCATCTGCAAAATGGGGAGGGTGTGGTGGCTCACTGGGCAGGGAGGACCCCGTGAGTTTCGAACAGTCTGTGTGGCTCACACACAGTGTTGAGGAAAACCAGCCCATCCTTATTATCATTCCCAGTCCAAATGCCCTTTCCTCCTCGACCTGCTCCCAGGCCACCCTCCCGGACAGCCGCTCTGGGGGAAGATGAGGACGGGAGGAAAGTGAGAGCAGGACTCAGCACGGGGAAGAGGGAGCAGGACGGGGACTTTGGCAGGCAGTGGGGAGAGCTTATGGGCAGAGTCCAAGCGCCTTTCCTGCAGCCTCTGGCCACCTGGAGCTCGGATGGTGGGGCTGTGCTGAGTCTGACTCCAGAAACCCTCATCCCAGCTGTGCTCAGGGGGGTAGATAACAAGTTCCACTTTCCCTCTCCAGTTCTCTTCTGGGAGGTGGGTACCCCAGGCTTCGGGGGATGACGCCCAGGGGTGAGGGTTGCTCAGGGGCAGGCTGAGGAGGATCACAATTGGGAAAGAATCCTAGCAGACCCCCAGGCAGAAGAGTCAGGAAGGAGTAGACCCTGGTGTTTTGAACTCAGCACTTGTCCGGGCAGTGTGGGAAAGGGGGGCCCGGCGCGGGGAGGCGCCCTGGGAATGTTCCCAAGGGCTCCACCGGTGTCGCTGGGGTTCCCAGGCATACGTTTTGGTGGGAAAAGGGTCGGGGAAGGCAGTGACTAGGTCTCTGTGCCTTTGTTTTAGGCTGGAAGCTAAATCCAGTGGTCGGCGCAGTCTACGGGCCTGAATTCTATGCAGGTAAAAGCTGGGGCGGGGCGGGGATGGGATGAGACCAGCTACTTGGCCCCGTGGGGCTCCGGGGGCTCTGGGGGCGGGGCATGAGGGGCGGGGCCAGGTGGGCCGTCCCCGCCCTCCCGTCGCCGTGTTGACTGAGTAGCGCTCCGGGGGCGGGGCTTGGGGAGGGGTTGGGGGCTAGGTGCGCGGGGGGGCTAGGTGTACGGGGAGGGGGTGCCAGGTGGGTCCCCTTGTGCCTCTCACACGTGTCTCGGGCCCCGTTTCCTGCAGTGACGGGGTTCCCCTACCCCACCACCGGCACAGCCGTTGCCTACCGGGGCGCACATCTTCGGGGCCGGGGCCGGGCCGTGTATAATACATTTCGGGCTGCGCCACCCCCACCCCCCATCCCGACTTACGGAGCGTGAGTACCTGGGCCGGGGGAGGCGTGGAGGAGGGGGTAGGACGGCGGGGAGGAGGGAAATGGGGAGGCCCTGCGCAGTGCGAGGGGCTAGGCAGCCTTTCCAGACCTGGGGGGGGGGAGGATCGTGGGAGCCCCAGAACTCAGCCCTGCAGCTGCCTCCATTATCTTCACCCCTATCCCCACCACGGCGGGCATCGCGGAGGTCACTGGCATTTAGGGGGACATTCAGAGCCCCAGAACCTTGTCTGGATGCTTTAATGGGGCCGTTGTCCACTCTTGAGGTCAGCGAGGGGCTTCTCTGAGCCCTCTCTGCTCCCATTCCCTGGGGTCTGGTGCCCTCCATCACTAAAGGGGTGGGGGGCACAGCTGCCTGGGGTCGGGTGGGCTATGGGCCCCGGGGTTTGTGGGAGAAAGTTGCTGATCAGCAAGGGTGTTACTCTATTGTTATACCAAAACAGGGCACTGGAGCAAACGCTTGTTAAAATGCCAGTCCCATGGGCGGGGCTGGCACCGTGCCCCCTCCCTCCTCAGCAGACACCGGAGCCGGCCTACCCCACCTCTCCAGCGTTCCCACCACTTTCTTGTCCGTTTGCTTCCAGGGTCGTGTATCAGGATGGATTTTATGGTGCTGAGATTTATGTAAGTGTAGCCCCGCCGGGAGGGAGGGTGGGATCAGGCGTTCTGTGGGTCTCAATGAGAAGTCGGCGTCTCCTCTCTCACTGCCCGCTCCTCCCATCCCATCCCATCCCACCCTTGAAGCCAGGAGGGCGAGGGTGCCACGTCTGCCCAGAGTATGGCATCCCTGAGAATCCCAGCATGGCACAGTTTGGTTGTTGGTACCCATCAAGGGAGCAGTTAATGGGCCGCCCAGCAGCCCTGTGAGCTGAAACCATCTTCCTGTGGGCAAGGCCTCATATAATGGGGGCAGTGGGACTCTGCCACGTCCCTAACCACGCTGCGGTCAGTGAGTGAGCCCCTAAGGCACCCACAGCACGGGCTGCAAGAGGGGCCAGGAGGCAGGGCCCCTGGGTGCCTGTGCTCCAGGGCCTACCCCCCTTGATGGGGTCCGGTGGCCTTTCTCCCCCTTCATGGGGCCACATGTGCTGCTTCCTCTGTCTCAGACTCACTGACGGCCACACCCCATGTACCCAGCCACCCTTCAGTCCTGGGCAGCTGCCTACAATTCAGTTACCTGCCCATTTGAGGCCAGGACATCATCTGAGCTCACGTCCTCTTGTGCCCTTTACCCTTGACCCTTCCTGGTGTCCAGGACACTATCCAGAGTCACTGTGGGTTCTCCCAGCCCCTCAGCATCCAAGTCAGGCCTCAGTGGCCTGGTGGCAGGTCTGTGAGCACCTCTTCCTTGCCAAGGCCTAGCACCCAGCCAGATGAGTCATGGGTACCCGCTAATGTGTGTGGAGTGCACAGATGGATGTGTGAATGAATGAGTGAATGAATGGAGTGGACAGGCAGACCTGCCTCGCCCTGAACTGTGCCACCTAGCCATCTGCAGTCCTCGGTCCTGTGTTAGACCAGAACTAGGTGCCCAGGCCAGGTACCACCTAATCCTTACCCAGCCGAGGCTGGGAGGCTGGGAAGGTCTGTAGTCCCTCCCAGGGCCCCACCCGCACAGGGTCTGTCTCCTCTCCCCACTCAGCCTTTCCCTGGGGAGCCCCACTAAGTCCCTCTGCTCTCTCTCCTCCCACTTACCCTGCAGGGAGGCTACGCAGCCTACAGATACGCTCAGCCCGCTGCAGCGGCGGCAGCCTACAGCGACAGGTGAGGCCGGGGGCCAGCACTGTTCTGGAGCAGGGTGGGGAGAAGATGGACAAGGATCCCTGGGGAGCTGGGCCCAGACAGGCAGGAGGCGTAACCCACTCTTCCAGGCCTGGCGGGAGTAGGGTCGGGACAGGGGAGCAGGTCTGAGTGTGGCCCTTGAGCCAGTGAGCCCCTGACTTCAGTCACTTCCTGCTTACCCCATGGGGAGGCTGTGGAAACCCCAGGTGGAGACCGCATCTCTGATTCCCAGTCCCCCCACCGCCCCCCGCAAGCCCCGTGCCCACAGTGGCTGTCTGTCTTGGAGGCAGACGCTTGAGTGCTTCCTCCTGGAGCAACCTAGCCTAGTGCCTTTCCCCTCAGACATCTGGCCTGTTGGTAGCTGAGCTCCACCACTCTGGTCTGGGGACCGCTTGTACCCCCTCCCTCCTGGCAGCCCCGGCTCCATCTCCCTGAAGTGTGGTGTACAGGGTGCCGTGGCCCAGCTCTGCTCTCTAAGGAGCTGAGAGTTCCCTGCACAGACAAACTGCTGAAGGGAAAGTCGTGAGGGACACAAGTGTCACATTCTTGGGGGCAGTGTTCCTGGTCCCTCCTCGTTGACCCTCTCTCTTCTCTTGAAACCCTCCCCAGTATTTACCACATTCTTTTTGGGGTGGAAGTTTGTTTTCCCTGCAGACGAGCTCCATGAGGACACCATCCCCCTCCACGTAGCACTGAGTGGAACACACCCCCTCCCCCCACCCCGTCAGGGTCAGCACACTGTGGGCATATTGAGAGGGTTGCCTGTTGTGTTCCAGAAGCTTCCTTCTTAACAAGAAGGAGGGGTAGGCCTTGCAGGCCTTGCAGGAGGGGAGGGTGCCTTGCAGATGGGACCTCGGTACAGGGTGCCCATGTAGTGTCTGGGAGGAGGTGGGAGGCCGTTGCTGCCCCTCACCTGCCCCCCTCCCCCACCCTCCTCCCACTCCCCCTCCCACGCTCTTCCCTAGTTACGGCAGAGTCTACGCAGCTGCCGACCCGTACCATCACACCATCGGGCCCGCGGCGACCTACAGCATTGGAACCATGGTAAGGAGCCCAGGCCCGCCCAGCCCTGGGTGCCAGTCCTAACAGCTGGGCATGGGTGGTGAGGCCCTTGGGGGAGAGGCCGAGCCCTCTGACCAATGCCTTGGTCCCGGAGACTTTGGAAGGACCACGGCCTGGATGTGAGTTAGGGTGAGGGGAGGGCTGGCCCCTCACGCCCTCTCAGTTGCGGGGAAGCAGGTTGAATGGCTGGTCAGCCCACCGTACCATCTGGTCCTCTGGAAAGCACCCCAATGTGCCTGATCCGTTTCCCTGAGCTCCCTCACTATAATAAAGTCCCGTTGAGGCCCCTCCATTCCCATTTCCACCAGGAAAACCTCAGAAACCAAACCAGGGCCGCCTCTCCTTCCCAGCAGAGGCTCCCAAGGCCCCGGGGCTGTTTCTGCCCACACCGCATACCCACGGCCCACCCGCACTGCTGCAGCCCCCTCGCATCGCATCCGAGAGGGGAGTGTGGGTTACCGGTTGCTTCTCACCAGGCTCTAGCTCCTGGCTTCCTGGGGGCTCCTGGCGTCCTGGGGAAACAGTGCCTGCTCTGCCCCAGCCTCCTCCCTCAGGCTGTGGGGTGGAAGGGGCGGGGCGGGGAGGTGCGCGGCGTGGCGTGTCTCTGTGTGTGTGTGTGTGTGTGTGTGTGTGTGTGTGTGGCCAGCTGTTGACACGTGCAGCCCAGCTCACTCTGCACCCAGAGCTGCTTCCAGCAGACACCTGCCTCCTGTACCCACTGGCCCCAGCCCCGGGGTGTGAACACGGGTTTTAGCTAGCTTGGCATCCAGCATCAAAGATGAAAACATCTTGGGAGAGTGAGGAGGGAGGAGGTTCAGAGGCAATATGGATTTTTCCCATCTTTCTTGGTTTTGATGACTCCCTCCAATTTTTTTTTTTTTTTTCAATTTTTAACGAGCCTCAGACACCCCCAGCAGCCTGTGGTGGCTGTGGGCAGCCACAGGCGCGGGTCTGGTGCGGCCCCACCCGGATGGAGGTGTGATACCCTGGCTCTTGGGCCCTCCGTGCAGCTGCAAGCTAAAAGCTTTCATTAACGCACGGAGGGTTCCCTCTTGTGTTTTCACTTTGTATTTTTAAGATTTTCTATTTTTCCCCAATTTTTCTTCTCTTGCACTTGCTGTGTTGTTCTTTTCTGGGAAAACTGGGTGGTGGGAGGGTGGGAGGCCCCTTCAGAGCCTTCCCTGACTGGAGGCAGCCCAGGACATGGGAGAGCTGGAGCATCCAGGACCCGCTCTCCCCAGTAGGACAGGGCTGGGCCTCAGGTGGGCCCAGGAGGACCCAGAGACCCCCCCAGAGAGCAAGGCTCTGAACACTATGCCCAGCAGGCTTGCCTCTCCCAGCGTAGCTGGCTTCAGTGGCCCCAGGCTCTTGAGCCAAGGCCCAGGAACCCGCCAGGAGGTCCCTCAGTGCTCTGAAGATGCCCCGTGCCACCCTGCTGGGGTGCGAGGAGGTGGGGCTCAAGCTGGGACCCCCCCTCTGCATAAGGACAGTGAGAGGCCAGGCCTGAGCCCAGAGAAGTGACCCAGACATAACTCAAGCTGTGACCTAGAAGCACTGTTGGCCATGACCCCAGAGCACCCCACACTGGCCCAAGACCACTATGTCAGAGGCAGGTCCTACTCTTCCTGTTGCCATGACAACCCAACTCCTTTCTCCCCAAGGAATATAGGGGGAAAGAAATCGAGACTTGGCTATTTCTCTTTTTGTTTTTCCTTTTTTTTTTTCTTTTTGCTTTTTCCCCTCTTCCAAAAGACGGTACTGATTGGCTGTTTTTCATCTTTGATGTTGCAGGCTAGCCTCTGCCGAGGAGGGTACAGCCGCTTCACCCCCTACTAGCAAGAGACCCAGCCCCTAACAGCATTCACACTGACTGCCTATTACACACCAAACCCAACAGCCCAAAACCAGGCACAGCCACCAGAAGACAGTGCACCCCTCCCGGTCAGCGACACGCACGGCTGGCCCCCTGCAACTCTAAAATCTATAGATTATTTCTCTCCAGCCAGTTGGTCTCCCCACCCCACCTGTGCTGGTGTGTGTGTCTTTGACCCTGGTTTTTCCTGTATGTCTGCAACCGTGATTTCCTATTTTGACTTTGTTGATGTTGTACTACCCAAGCCATTGCAGGTACGGTGTGCACACCGTGGGGTCCAGGCTGGGCCAGGAGACCAGGCAGCCCCCAACCTGGGAGTAGCGGTAGCGCCCTATGAGGGCAAGAGCCACATTTCCTGGCCTCCCAGGCTGCACAGAACAACAGAAACGCCTGGCAGGGCCTCCCCCAAAGCCACCCGACCAGCCCCGTGCCATGGCCCTAGTGTCCAGCACCCTGACGCAGGGAGGGAGGGGCTCCAGGCACCCAGTGTGGGTCTCCCCGGCCTGAGGGTGCTCCCGCAGGCCTTCACCCAGCCAACCACAGGAGTAGCCACTGCCCCTCCTCGCCCCATTCAGCTGAAACTAATATTTTTCATTAAATTTTATTGACGATATTTCTTGCCGACGTAGTCACAAGCGTGTCGCGTGGTGTGCAAACTGCTGTGGTCACGCCAGTCTCTGCGACTCCTTAGCACTGCTGCAGCAGAAAGTGGAAATGTGGAAAGGCACGTCCTGGTCGCTCCTCAGGGAGCCCCTTAGCACCGCAGGGCCAAGGCCAGGCCAGCCTTGCAAGGGGGTTGTCCTGGAGGCACAGCCTACTTTCCCTGTCCCCAAGCTTCGAAATGTCTTTATTGGGGTATATTCCGGAAGGAGGGGTCCTCAGCAGGCAGGAGAGCTGATGAGGGGCAGAATGCACCCTTGCTCAGGCCCTCCCCTGAGCGCAGGCCGGTCAGCCCCAGGTCAGTCCCCTCCCTGCATTAGGGAGACTGCAGGCAGGGCCCTGTGGCCTGCGGGCCACTCCTTCCTCAGCCCTGGGACTGGCCAGCCCGGTGCATGGCGCTTCTGGGGAGACACTGGCTGGGACCTCACTTGAGCACAGCCGTGGGCAGCTTGCTGGCCTGCCTAGGAAAAGCCAGCCAAGACAGGCACAGTCCTTTCCTGGCACTGGCCTGGGGCACACAGATCTGTACCTCCATGACAGGGAAAAGTAGCCTCAGGTTCTGAGTGTGCCACGGCTGGGCTCCTGGGGCTGGAAGGCCAGCTGGAGGGTGTGGGTTCCCCACCAGTGAGGGCTGAAGTCCTGCCGCCCACCAGGCCCTTGCCGTGGGGGGCCCGGCTCCCCCACCTCCCGTGGCCAGACCATCACCCTCTGCCATCTCATCCAGGCCGCCTCGAAGCCTGTGCTGGCCCAGCCTCTCCACTCACCCTGCCCTGCTCAGCTCTGTCTCCTCCTCAGGGCCCCAGGTGTCTCCTCCCATCCTGGGCTGCCTGGGCCCCATCCTGGGATCCACCCACACTCAGCCCTGGAAGATGAGGGTCCTGGAAACCTGGGGGGCAGGTGTGGCGGCGCCAGGACTTTAGGCCAGGGGCCCCGTGCCACGTGGTCCTGTCGCCTTCACACCTGCTGTGCCTCCCCCGAGAAGCTGCAAGTCCTGCCTTTCTGTTTCTGTTGTAGTGAAACCTTCCACCGTTTCCTTCTCGGACCATGAAGGGCAAAAACAAAAAAACAAAAAAAATCACAAAACAAAAAAAACAAAAAAAGATGTTAAGATCCAAGCAACAAAAAAAAAACCAACCAAACCAAGAGGCATCCAACCAAGTCCAAGTCCCGCGTCCTGGCCACACGCCCGCACCGAGGGAGCACGCCGGCAGGGGCGCCGAGGAGCGGCCCCAGGACAGGACGGCCCCACCGCGTCCTGGCTGGCAGCACAGTGGGAACACGCCCCTCCGTCTCAGGCAGTGGGGGAGTTGGAGGGGAAGGGGCCTCCCTTGTGGGACCCGTGGGGGGCTCTGTTTTCCATCCAGTCTTCCTTTCCCAGCCCCCAACTCCCAAGACAGACAGTGTGGAGCCCAGCGGCGGCGGAGCAGGCCCGGGCCTGAGCAGGCAGGCGCTGCTAGCAAGACTTGATCTTTGTGGCCAGCTGTGCCAGGGGGCCGGCGGGGCTGAGGGGTGCGGGCAGCTTTCATCCCAGGGGCTCCACTGGGCCCCGTCACCCTCCTGTCGCGTCCCCTGCGTCCCACCTCCCTCCTGCCCGGCAGTCCCGCCCGTGCCCCCAGCCTGGCGAGGAAGCCGTCCAACAGTAGCCCCGGGGCCAGCTCCCAACAGAAAGGGCTGACGTGGCTCCAGGACTCAGGGGCGCTCCATGGGAGGACGAAGGAAGCCCAGCCAGCCAGGAGCCACTCCTCACACCTCCAAGTGTGGCCAAGTGGGCCCTGAGGCCAAGGACTTACTTGCTCTTCCTGGCCATCTCTCCCTTTCTGGAGGAGGCCCGGGGCCTGTGTACACCAAGGCTGACCTCGTGCTGCCTGCTGGGACCCAGCCCTCCCTGCCGCTCCCCTGTGAGCCCAGTCCACCGTGGGCGCCCAGGGCCAGGGACGGGCCAGCGCCCGGCTGCATCGCGAGGTTGGGAGTCACAGTGGCTGTGGGCCTGGACGGGCACAGCCAGAGCAGGGGCCCATGGGAAGGGCAAGGGATGGGGAAGCCTGGGCCGGCCCCTTCCCTGCTCCCAAGGCAGGTGTCCAGGTGGCGGGAGCAGCACCAAGGACAGCCAGGCTTACCCGGTGGGAGGAGCAGGAGCAGAGCAGGTGGCAGGGAGGAACCCCTGGCGAGGCAGGGAGCACTGAAGTAGGGAAGCAGCAAAAAATACAGGCTCCCAACGTGGCTCCACTGTCTCATGAAGTGTCAAAAATTTAAAAATACACCTCACTTTCTATTCAGCATCAGCTATTGAAATGGAATTCTCCTTTTCTATTCCCGTTGTACATAGCCCCACGCCCTGCCTCCGGCTTTGTCCTCTGTACAGAGCCCCCTGTCCCCTCTGCTGTTCCGGACCCTTTTCTTGCAGCAGCTCAACCCCCCGACTCACTCAGATCCCCAGGACTGCAGCCGAGCCCCGGGCTTCCTTTCTTACCATTCTGTATGCTTCCAAGGTGTGACCATTCAAACTAACAGTATTATTAAGATTATTAATAAAGATTTCTTTCTTCAAACCAGGACAACTCTGTATGCTCTGGCAGCTCCCGGGCATGGTGGGTGGAGGGCATAGCGGCCCAGGGTGCAGGACGGGGGCCAGGACGGGATGCAGCCCTGCCTTGGCCTACAGCCAGGTGGCAATGGTGTCAGAAGGCCCTAGACTTTCCAGTCCCAATCCTCAAGTCCAGGCTGGTCGTCTGCATCCCACCCCAGGATAGGCTGGGTGGGTGGCAGCTCATGGCATATCTGTGCTGCCTGGCCTGCCTCTCGGACTCAGGTCGAGGCCAGCCCTGGTCCCTTCTTTCCTGGTTACAGCATGTGCTGGACACAGCGTGACCTCAGAGCAGAATGCACCCCAGGAAGCAGAAAGGTTAGAACTGGTGACCACACAGCTGTGCTTGGTCGACCCAGTGCAACAAAGAGCACGGAGCTGGGAGGGTGGGGGGACATGGCACAGAGGCATAGATGGCTGGTGCTCCAGCCAGTTCTGCACGCCTGGTGTAGCCTGAGTTGTTGGGGCCCACAAGGAGCCATGTTGCTTCAAGGTAAACCCACTTCGCCAGCCCCAGTCACCCCTCCTGGAAGGTGGGTAGGAGCTAGAGCACAGCTGCAAAGGCTCAGCTGAGCGGGGAGATGGGAAGACGAGTGGCAGAACCTGAACCCAGAGCTCAGAAGCCTGGGGCTGGGGCCAGGGCTGGACAGGGAGCCAGCATCCAGGGCCGGGCTGGTGCTGCCCGCGCCCCATCACACCAGGACTCGACTGCACGCTTCACATTGTCAGATCATTTATTTCAGCGCAGTTACACCCAGCAGAGGGGCACAGGCTTAAACGCCGGCATATTAGTTTTCCCGCACGCGAGCCCTGCATGGCGGTGGGCTGGGGAGCCGGGGCGGTGCGATTCTGCCACACGCCACGCTCTACTAGGCCCCCTTACTCCTAATTAATTGCCTGCTCACCAGACTGTGAGAAAATAATTGCCACTATAAATTTTCCCTCCTCTGCATAAAATATTCGGGGGAACCAGCACTTAAAAAACAGACTTCATGAAAGAAGGGCAGCAAGGCGTGGATGCTGCGCCCCCCACAACCCCCACTGCAGAGGACACAGAGAGGCCAGGAGCCCCTTCCTGGTTCCCCCTGGTTCCAAATGAGACAGAAAGGCTCAAAGAGCTCCCGGGAATGGTCACAGCTGAAAAAAAGTCGAGTGAGTGGCTACATGCGGCAGCCGCTTGTGTTCACCTGCCGTCCACCCAGGACAGTCCCCGGCAGCAGCTTGTGTTCACCTGCCCTCCACCCAGGACAGTCCCCGGGCTGGCTCCAGGCTGCAGGGGGTCAGCAGAGGGAGCCTCCTGCCCCATATCCTTGGCAAACTCACTTCTCCTTCTGGGACCACACAAGAGACATGGGAGAATGTTCCTAATTAGGCAAGAGCACAGAACCCCTAATCCCAGTCTCTGCTTGGCATGAGTACCCAGGCAGGCAAGGAAGATGGAGACAGGTGGATTTCAGCTCCTGGAAGGAGCCCCGGCTCAGAGTGGCTGCTGAGTACCCAGCCTTGCCCTCCTCTGACGTGGGAACGGGTGTGGCTGTGCTGCCACCTGGTGGCCTCTTCCCTCACTGCAGGGTGAAATGATGTGGATGCCAGCCCTTAGGTGTGGGCTCCAGCTGGGGTCACAGAGCATCCCAGCCCTCAGCACTGCCCGACATAGAGGGAACCCCTACCACTGGCCCTATGTGGCCTGGGGGTGAGAGACCCCCCCCCCAAAAGCGAGGGACTTCAGGCCACTGACACCGTGGAAGGACCACAACAGACCCCACCCCAGACCAGCCACAGGATGACCCAAGGCCGTGGGGTCCAGACACCACACCAGGAAGCCTCCCAGGCAGCCCAGGTGTAGCAGAGGCTGTGCAGCTGCAGCGGCCTGGGCAGAGAAGAAAGAGCAGGAAGGACAGAGGAAGGCGCCTGTGGTGAAGACCCTGCCTCCCTCACGCCCCCACGCACCTGTGCTGACTGCTGCTCAAGGGGTCAGCCTGGAGGTCTTCCCGGTGCTTGGACGAGGCTGAGAAGGGAGGACGTGAAGGAACAGAGTAGCTGGAAAAGCCCCCGCGGGTCCTGCAGCTCCTGCACTCAGGCTGGGGCTGGGCTGGCGCGGGGGGCAGGTGCTGCTTCCTGCCTGGACTGACCTGCTACCCCAGCCTGAAGGGCGGCTTGTCCAGAGCCCACGGCCTCTCGCTGGGCAGAGGCAGGGCCACAGCGCAGACTGCCTCAGAGCCACTTCCCTGCATGCCCACAGCCCGGAAGAGACGCCGCAGAGCCAGGGGCTGCTGAAAACGCTCCGGAGATGACCTCACACTCAGCAGCACAGTAAATTGCCAACGCCAGGAAACACGGAGCAGCTGGGGCTGGCCCACGTGGAGGCACGAAGCCAGCGCCGGCTGGCCCAGAATGCCCACTCCTCAGGGAAAAGGGCCTTCCACACTGGGAGGACGGTTCTCCAGGGCATCCTCTCCCGCCATCCCGCAGGCAGCCCCACCCCAGGAGCTGCTGTAGCTCGTCCTCATGCTCAGAAATGTCTCGGCGCCTGCTCCAAAGCCTACCTGCCACAATCTAAGACCCTTTCTAATAGTTTCATCTGCAGGAAAGAAAATCATCATTCTCGGCATCAGCATCTTGCAGCCTATTAGGAAATATCCTTTATGGAATGTTCTGTTCTCAACTTCTCCCCTCCTTTCATTTTCACCTGGGAACCAGGTACCGTGGGGAGGGACAAGGCAGAAACAGAAAGCCCGCCACTCGCCTCGCAGTGACCAACGCTGCGATCCCACTGCTTGGTTTCCTGTTTCCATCGCCCCCCACCAGAAAGCCACAGCACTCAGCCCGGGGTCTCCCACCCCAGCCCCGGGACCGGGACCTCGCTGCCACTGTGGGCACTTAGCAGGTCCAGCGCAGGCCAGGGGCAGACAGCCGGGAAGAGGCCTCAGCCCGAGGCCAGGAGACCACCCGGCCTTAGCATCCGCTCATGCAGGGGCTGAATAAAGCAGAACTGCCCTGCCCCACTCGGCCTGAGGTACCCGGAACCCTTCCTTGGGGACAGGCTCCACCAGAAATTCCATGCGACGATCCTGGCCGGGCCCGGCGGCTTCCACCAGCAGGTCCACTATCCGGTACTGGGTGGCAAAAGCCAACCCCAGGAACATGGGCATCTCTGGCCTCGGCAGCTCCCTGCCCGGAGAGTCATCACTCATCCCTCCCCAGCAGTGGATTCGGAAGCAACGGACTTGTGAGAGGAGGAAGGACCAGTGCAGGGTGCAGCTGAGCTGGAGCAGAGCAGGGGGCCCCTCCCGCTCAGAGGCGGATGGCTGCCAGCGGATGTGAGAGATGGTGACGGCCTGCACCTGGGGCAGAGGGGCCAGCAGGCTGGCAGCGTCCACCACCTGGCAGGAGAGAAGGCTCAGCACGGCTGGACGCCCGGGGGCGGGGAGAGGGTGCCCCCACGCACACATTTCCCCTCCCTGACTCCTCCACCCCAGTTCCCCGCTGAACCCAAGAAGGGGGCGGCCTGGGGCGGCCTCCACCCCCACTCCAGCTGGACAAACAGCCAGCCCAGCCCGAGCCCCTCTGGGAAGCATCACCTGGATCTCTCCAAGCCGACAGGTGAAGCTCTCCTCCTCCCGACTACCCGGCGGCCGTGAGAAGCAAACGAGGAGGTCTAGCAGCAGGCACCCACGCAGGCTCACCTCGTAGCAGCTACGGGGCGAAAGGGCTGATCACTGGCCGGGCTCAGCCCAGAGGCTCCAGGGTGAGCCGTCCAGAGGCCCCAAGCCACAGCAGAAGGGAGATGCATCCCAGGGTCATGGGGGACCCCAGGCCGACAGCAGGGCTCCCAGCAGCTGTCCTGGGCTTCTGTCTCAGAGCTGCCCAAAACCTGGGGGCCAGCCCAGGGCCCCTCCATCCCTCCAGCTCTGGGGTTTCCCAACAGAGACTTGAGTGAGGGAGAAGGACGTGAAGAAGCAGAGGGACTTACTGCTGGACCCAGCCCCCACTCAGCTGCCGGCCGCAGCGGCCCACCCATCTGGCCAGCTTGGTGGGGGGCACCCGGAGGGGTCGGAGGCTGTGTCTTGAGCTTGTTTCTGCTGCAGAAGGAGACACGGAACTTGAAAAAGGAGAATCTCAAAGGAAAAGGCACTGAGAAGGACCACCAAGGGCGCCCCAGGAGTCCAGAGAAGGCTGCCTGATTCGGCCAGACGCTCGCGGGTCCCAAGAAGCAACCAGCAAGGACTCCGGAGGAGCTCGGTGAAGGAAATGCGTGTCTGGGGTCAGCCGCGCCCTCACTCGTCCTGGCGCCCTCCAGCCTGCCGTCTCCCCCACCCCATTTGCTCGCCCCTCTCCACGCCACGGCCAGCAGCAAGGCTGTGCAGCTCAGGTCTCTGGGAGGGGCCCATGTCCACCCTGCACAGGAGCCTCAGCTGCCCGACGAGGACACAGGACAGAGGCTGTGGCTGAGAAGTGAATCCTCCCTGTCCAGGCCTTGACCACAAGCTGCCCTGACTCCGGCAAAGGCAGGATGTACCCCCCCACTGTCCACACCAGCTCCTCCCCACACCCCAGGAGCCTCTCCACACTTCTCTTCCCTGAGCTCTCCGCCCTGGGCAGAGGCAGGCCTGGGCCCCATTACCTCACCGTTCAACACTGAGATGCCACCGATGTGGCAGCTGCCGGCATCCCCTGTGGTCAGCTCCAAAGCAACTGTGACGTCCGTGGGCCCCTCAAGCTTATACACCATGGACAGGTAAATCTTGGGTGGCACTGGGGCCTGCAGGGAAAATAACCTGGGGAAAAAGGTCCTGTGATGGGTGCCGTGGAGAGACCACTGAGAAATCGAAGCCAGCTCCAAATCGCGTCCACCAGCCCCTCCCTCCAGGAACAGGGGGCCTGGGTGCCAAATGCTCCCACATCGTGGTCCTGTCCGTAGCCAGGGGACAAGTCCTCCCCCAAGGCCAGATTCTTTTGTGGGCTGAAACATCTCAGTTCTGAAATACCGTATGGGATTCCCTCATATGGGGCATCTAAAGTATCCAAACTCACAGATGCAGAGTAAAGGGGTGGCTTTGGGGGGCTGGGGGAGGATGGGGGGCTAATGTGCAATGGGGAGAGTCCAGTCCTACAAGATGACACAGTTCTAGGGATCTGTCACGTAGCAACGTACGCAGAGTTAACACTCCTGTACCGTTCACTTCAACAGGGTCAAGATGGTGAATTTCACGTTAATGCATTTTTGATCACAATTTTAAAAAACCCATCTGGGTCTGTCCTCTGTCCTTGTTCTGGCCTCCACTGCCCCATCTGTCCAGTTCCATGGCCACCACGTGTGATGGGAGAAGCTGGTGGGCCCACCGTCCTCCGTCACTCACCCACCTCACAGCC
Source organism: Homo sapiens (assembly GCF_000001405.40). Taxonomy (NCBI): domain Eukaryota; kingdom Metazoa; phylum Chordata; class Mammalia; order Primates; family Hominidae; genus Homo; species Homo sapiens. The sequence continues at coordinate 79,083,942 of NC_000017.11, read as the reverse complement.
ACATTTCCAACCTCCGGTGGGATCACACCCCGGACGAGCAGGGAGCTGCCTCCGTGCCAGGCATCCTCCAGGCAGCAGTGCGTCCTCACCCAGCCCCGGCCATCCCCTCCCAGCCTGTGTTCTCCAAACAAGGGCTGGATCTCCTGGGCGCTCAGGTGGTACCAGGGCCCTACCGCCTCTTCCTGAAGAAAAGGGCAGAACAGGGGCACTCAGCAGAGGCCAACAGAGCAGGGGTGCCCGGAGCGGCAGGGAAGGGTAAGACCACCACCGTGCCTGCTGGCAAGTCCCAGGCTCCTCCCACCTGTCCCAGCTGAGGCCAGAGGACAGACACGGAGGGAAGACACCCACCCACCTGGCCATAGCAGACCCTCCGTGCACCCATGCCCAGGCAGAAGGACGTGACGAAAGGCAAGGAGCAGATGCTATGTGTGGGCAGATAACGCTCCAGTCGGCCCCAGAACCTGCCAGAGACATGGGGGCAACAGCTCGGTCCGGAGGAAGGGAGGGAGCCTCTCAGTGTCCCTCAAACTTGCTGGTGGAAACTCGAGGCTCTCCTGCACCCTCCAAGACAGGACTTCCAGGAGGACTGCAGCCTCCCCGTCTACAGATACGCTGCAAACACGAGTCTGCAGGAAGCGGCCGCTGGGTTTGGTCCCTGCCCGGAAGCAGCCAGGGTGCTGGCTTCCTCCCCTGTCATCCTCCCTTAACCACCCCCCCATAGGAAGGGTCACTAAAGAGCACAAACGTGTCCTATCAGAGACACCAGAAACCCCTCCCTCCCATCAGCCTGCACTAAGCACCCAGGACAGCAGGACTCACTTGTCCTGGTTCTGGAAGAAATCCTTCTTCTCCAGACACTCATACACCCAGCCGGGGGCAAACAAAGCCACGGAGAAGCCATGCTTTCGGATCAGCTCCAACGACTGAAGAGACAGAGGGAGACGCTGGGCACATCAGGACCAGAGTCCAGACAGGCTCCTGGACGCCAGTGACGTGGGTTGGGGCTCTCAGGGCAGCTCAGAAACGGGAGGGGGAAGCTGTCCAACCCCTCCCTCCTAGATGCACCTGGAGGCTGCTGGGCATCACCCCCGTCGTTCCACAAGCCCGCCAGAAGAGGGCGCGGGAGAGGCGGTCAGCGCTGCTGCAAGGGCAGGGGGGCAGGGGCTGGGCCCCAACTGGCTGTGGCTGCGCGGTCCCATTGTCCTCTGGCACACCTCTCATTCGATTATCAGAATCACGGGCAGTAAAGAGGCTCTTTAGTTATTGGATTAATTTACTCATTTAAAGCTAAATTAAGGGCTGAGAACATCCCTGGGGCTCTGGGAACGGGCAGGACTGATAGACCAGAGGCAGGCAGAGCCCTGCGCATCCCACGCCAGGGGCACCGGCCTGGCCCCGCTCCTTCCTCTGTGCTGGTGTGACCTGCCTTGCCAGAAAATGCTCCCTCGTCATGACACCTACCGATCCCCAAACCCTGGGCACCTCCCCCGTCCTCGCCCCTGAGCCGCAGTGAGAGGCGCTGCAGGCCCCTGTGCGTCCCCGCAGGCTTCCCTCACGGGGAAGATCAAGGAACGCAGCTGGGACAGGAGGCCCAGGCCCGCCGAGGACCGGACAGCGGGGGAACGACGCGCCTCTGTCTGGTAACACCCACACAAAAATACATTATCTGATTGTAGAAATAGCCGGGAAAGGGGTTTCAGTGGGGACATAGCTTGGCCGGGGCAGGACACCTGTTTCTCAGTGCCACGGGATCCCCACTCTGGGAAGAACAGCTGCTGTCATTCCTTTGAGGTGCAGACGGGAATGGAAGGTCCATGAGGAAATGAGGTCCCAGGGGAGGCACTGGGCCGCTGGCCCTTGGACGAAAGCCACCACCCACCTTGTCTGTGTCGAATCGGCCTCCGACCACGTTCCCTCGAGCAAACACATCCACGCCCACGTACACATCAGCCCGGCGCTCCCCAGCCTGCCCCAGCATCCGCTCCAAGTGCTCCTCCCGCCAGTTATAGTTAGTGAAGAAGCCGTCGCAGGAATCAAAGAAGACCCTGAGAAGCAACAAGGACCTGCTGTGAGGCCCAGGCCCAGAAGGATGGGGCCACCCCCACCAACCCTGCAGTCTCAGCCTTTCCCCTCCTAGTACTCAGAGGGATGGGCCCACCCCACCCCACCCCACCCCACCCCACCCCACCCCACACAGCCTCAGCCTTTCCCCTCCTAGAGCCCAGAGGGACAGGGCCACCCCCTCCACCTGCACAATCTCAGCCTTTCCCCTCCTAGATCTCAGAGGCACCTGCAACTCACAGGCTGGGAGCTGCCTCCAGGACCTAGGATATGGCCTGTTCCCCAGGGGCAGCGAGCAGCCCAGATGGTGACCTGAAACCCTCGCCCAGCATCCATGGTGTCTGCTGAGGCTCAGGATGTTAAGAGAACTCTGCCTTTTTGAGACAGAGTCTCGCTCTGTCGCTCAGGCTGGAGTGCAGTGGCACGATCTTGGCTCACTGCAAGCTCCGCCTCCCAGGTTCACGCCATTCTCCTGCCTCAGCCTCCCGAGTAGCTGGGGCTACAGGTGCCCACCACCATGCCCAGCTAATTTTTTGTATTTTCAGTAGAGACGGAGTTTCACCGTGTTAGCCAGGATGGTCTCAACTTCCTGACCTCTTGATCTGCCCACCTCGGCGTCCCAAAGTGCTGGGATTACAGACATGAGCCACTGCGCCTGGCCCACCTTCTCCCTCTTTTTACCCAATGCAGTCATATATGCATCACCTCCATGAGGGAGACTGCGCCCGCCCCTTGCGGCACCCACCCCTCACAGTACCCGCCCCCACCACGGCACCTGCCCCCTCACAGCACCTGTCTGCAGGCTCACCTGTTGTGCTGGTTGAGTTCGTCTTGCCATTTGAGCTGCCCACTTTGCACCACGCTGTCATACCAGAGCACCAGGCCCCCTGGGACCTGCCGGTGCAGCTGTGTGGTGAGGTACCGCAGGAAAGGAGGCATGTTCCCCACAGCGGCCAGCTGAAAGAGAAGAACAAGGTGAGAGCCTCAGTGAGCCCCAGATCTATCTATCATGAGAAGTATCCAGCGCTGGACAGACAGGGGGATGCAGAGCAAACAGACCCACAGGCGAAGCTGCAGTTCTGAAAGGCCCTCCCCGCCACAGCCCCGCAAGTGGAGTCCAGCCAAACAGACGACCGTCCTTTCTTATTGCGGCAAGAAGGACATGAACACAGAAGTCAGGAAAAGACAGAGTGCACCGAAAGGGGAGGATGCCCTGAGAAGGAAGCCACACACCCAGCCCAGAGCAGAGCGCGGAAAAGGAAAGGTGTGCTCACAGGCAGGGGCGGGAAACGTGGGAGCCGGCCAAGCACGCTTGCTGGAAACAGTCGGAGGAGATTCTGTCTCACTGCGTGTAACTAAGATTTCAGAGTTGGCACTGCCTGGGAGGCGAGAAGTGGCTCTTACTGCTGCAACCTGCAGCCCAGGCGTGGGGCGAGGTGAGGCCAAGGCAGGAAAGAGGTGGAGGTGGGCGGCAACACAGCAAGGGGCGGGGAGGTGGGTGAGGGCTGGGCACTCACACTCAGCGAGTTCTCGATGTTGATCAGCCAGCCATCAAAACGAAAAAACTGAGTGATCTGGACCAGCCGGTCAGCCACTGCCTGGTACGAGCGCTCATCCCCGGCCAGGAAGGCTTCACAGAGCCTTCCCCCTTCATTCCACTCCGTGATGAAAGTCCCTGTGAGGATAGGAGAGAAACAAGGTCAGCCACGGGAATCACTTTCCCTCCACCCACAGTTTTCAAAGCGAGGTTCTCGAACCAGCAGCTTCAGTATCACCTGACCACTTGGTAGACATTCAAATCCCCATATATCCCGTGAATCAGACACTCTGCCAGTGCAGACCAGCAGTCCTGGTGACGGAAGCCCATCAACGATCGGGATTGAGGCTAAAGCTGAGAAGCATTGTTCTGACCCAGGAATCGGCAAACCGTGGCCCTTGGGCCGATGCCCACTACTACCTGTGTTTGTAAAATGCAATTTTACTGGAACACGGCCCTGCCTATTTGTGTACCTGCCATCACTCCAATAATCACCACAGTGACCCAGTGGTCTGAAATCATGAAAATACTATCTGGTCCTTTCCAGAAAAAGCCTGCAGCTGCCTGTCCTAGCCGACCAAGGCGGCCCCCAGCGAGGGGCTCTGGGCACTGAGAAGCAGGCAAAGCCCGTGCCTCCTAATCACGGGGTCCCCTGGCTGGTGAGCTGAGGAGTCTGGCTGACACAGAGGTGAGTCCTTGGCTCTTACCCAGCACGCAGACCCCATGCCTGTGGGCAGTGTTGGTCCAGCCCACTGGGGGAATGGTGACGGTGTGGTGGCTGAAGTACACAAAGACGTCGATGCACTGCCAGTGGTAGAAAGCATAGGGAGTCTGCACCACCGAGCCCTGAATGAACCTGGGGAAAGAAACAGAACAGGGCTGGCCACGGCAGCTCATGCCTTTATTCCCAGCACTTTGGCAGGCCAAGGCAGGTGGATCACTTGAGCCCAGGAGTTTAAGACCAGCCTGGGCAACATGGCAAAACCCCATCTCTCCCCACAAAAACTGGAAAAATTAGCCAGGTGTGGTGGTGCACACCTGTAGTCCCAGCTACTTGGGAGGCTGAAGTGGGAGAGTTGCTTGAGCCTGGGAGGTCAAGGCTGGAGAGAGCCCAGATTGTACCACTGTACTCCAGCCTGGGTGACAGAGTAAGACCCTGTCTCAAAATACAGAAAAAAAGAAACAGAGTCAGGTCCCAGGAAGCAGAATAAGGACACGGAGACCGCAGGGTGTCCCCAAAGGTTTCTCTTTAGTTCCATTCAGTCAAGACTCCCTGGAAGCCTGCTGTGTCCAGGCAAGGTGCAGGCAGGGAGAGAGGCAGGAACCAGCTGCCACTCCTGTAGCCACAGGCAGAGTGCTCTGACCGGGGCATCAGGCATCTGCCATTGCATCTAATGGACCGAGCACTGCTACCCCCTGTGAGCCAATGAACAAGGGAGAGAAAGGAGGGGAAGCAGGAAGTCTCGTGTCAAAGTCCCGTCTCTGGCTTCCCACTCTATTTGGAGGGGTAGGCAGTCCCTCAGAACAGAGTCTCCCGGAACTCGAAGGTCGGGGTTGAAAGCCCTGTGAGCTGCGCCCAAGGTTTCACCACCTGCTTCTATCTCTACCTTGATGGTTGGCTCTGACTCAAGCCTTCCCATCAATCACAGGGTCCAAGATTGTTTTATGGACATTTAAAAGCGCCGCGCGGACTCCACGGCAACTTTGGATGGGACGTCTGCACCTGGGGTGGGTGGGGCATGTAACATCTCTGTGCATGAAAGCCAGAGCCCAGCGACCCAGAACAGGATCAGAGCTTAAGGGAAGAAGGTGACGAACACCAAACCACGTGAGGGGGTGAGGCTGCGGACAGGCAGCCGAAGAGGACCCCCTGCCTGCTGTGCTCCCTCCAATCTACTACCAGCCTTCAAGTTGAGGAGGTTCAAGGAGTCAAATGATTCTAGAGCTGAAAGGGACATAAGACACTGCCTAATCCAACCTTCCTTTTTTTATTTTTTATTTTTTTGAGACAGAGTCTCACTCTGTTGCCCAGGCTGGAGTGCAGTAGTGCAATCTTGGCTCACTGCAATCTCTGCCTCCCTGGTTCAAGCGATTCTCCTGCATTAGCCCCCTAAGTAGCTGGGATTACAGGCACCTGCCACCATGCCTGGCTAATTTTTCTATTTTTAGTAGGGGCAGAGTTTCGCCATGTTGGCCAGGCTGGTCTCAAACTCCTGAGGTCAGGTGACCCACCTGCCTTGACCTCCCAAAGTGCTGGGATTATAGGTGTGAGCCACCAAGCCCAGCCCAGTCTTCCCTTTTTACAGATGAAACACTGGGGCCTGCCTTCTTCTCGCAGTTAGTGCCATCCCTCCAATGCCCGTCTCCTGACTCCCCGCCCAGTGCTCTTTCTACACATGGCACTCTCTCCCGCCCCTCCAGCCCCCACCCCAGCAAAGGAGAACAATGTAAGCAACATCAATGTAAGGCCAGGTCCTCACCTGTCATCCAGGTACCCGCCCATCATGTCATGACACAACAAAGTCCGGGGCCTCTGGCTGCTCAGAGGGGGCTGGCGACACGCCAGGGGCTCCAGGGCCACATTAAAGCCATCCTCCAAGCGGGGCTTCCACGCCAAGAGCTCCTCCAGCGAAGACAAGTAAAAGCTGATTGGTTTGGTGGTGTCCTTGTCATAATATCTAACTGGTCCGAGGACAGAAACATTGAGCAATTAATGGAAACTATTATAGGATTAATCGAAACATTTTAACAATAACAGAGAAGGAACATGAGAGGGGGCAGGGGCTGACCTGCCCCAAAGCCCCAGGTGTGAAGGTGGATCGGTATTCAGAGCCTCTGTCTCCTCACCTGGCAGGGGGTCCGGGGAAAAACTGACCACCTCTCGAAAGACTGTCTCTTCTTCTTCATCTTTGATGCTAAGCAAAGAGGGAGTTGTACATTTATAAATAAAAACATAAATAGGTAAGAACACTTAGAAGCAAATGGACCAGTTTCATCTAAACACAGAGAGATATTCTCTGCCTTATGTTGTTTAATATTAACTATAGAAACATTGTATAAAGCAAGGAAGTGCCCTGTGATAATCCTAAGGTTTTACCTATATTAGCAACCAGGGCTTGGCTTCCACATGGACACACGTACCAATGATTACTCCTAAGAATAAACCTTACCCTAGGCCAGACGCAGTGGTTCACGCCTGTAATCCCAACACTTTGGGAAGCCAAGGCAGGCGAATCACCTGAGGTCAGGAGTTAAAGACCAGCCTGGCCAACATGGCAAAACCCCATCTCTACTAATACAAAAATTAGCTGGGCATGGTGGCACACGCCTGTAATCCCAGCACCTTGGGAGGCTGAGGCAGGGAGAATCACTTGAACCTGGGAGGCGAAGGTTGCAGTGAGCCGGGACTGTGCCACTACACTCCAACTTGGGCAACAGAACGAGACTCCATCTCAAAAAAATAAATAAATAGAATAAACCTTACCCTCTAAAGCAGCCACCCCAATACCACAAAGACCAGACATAAATACTTCACAGGGTCCCCAGGATTTTCTATGGCCAAGGGGCAATATCCAAATACCCAAAGCACCAGAAAGTTTCAGGTCCTAAGAGAGCAGAGACCAGGCTTCCTCTATAGGCCACACTTCCCTAAGTGCCTTCCGCGCTGTTCATGGATGTATGTTACAGGGAGAAAGAGTTCCTTCGTTCCTTCGGTACATTAACATGGAAAGCTCCTAAATACATCTCAAACCACTTTCTTTTAAAAATTGATTGATTAATTGAGACAGAGTCTCGCTCTGTCGCCCAGGCTGGAGTAAGGTGGTGAAATCTCAGCTCACTGCAACCTCCAGTTCCTGGGTTCAAGTGAGTCTCCTGCCTCAGCCTCCCAAGTAGCTGGGATTACAGGCATCTGCCACCACGCCTGACTAATTTTGTACTTTTAGTAGAGACTGAGTTTCACCATGTTGGCCAGGCTGGTCTCAAACTCCCGAACTCAGGTGATCACACGCCTCAGCCTCCCAAGTGCTGAGATTACAGGCATAAGCCACCATGCCTGGCCTAAAAAATCATTATTATTTTAGGAGCAGTAAGAAGACACCGCAGTGGCTATTTAGAGGCCATGGCACCAACGTTGAGATTCCCTAAATCTACCAACGCCCAAGGCCACTTCTTTGTTCACTGAGTTGTCATCTGCCATCACTCCACTGCCATTCAGAGGCCTGTTGCAAAGAGTCCTCTGTAGCATCTGCCATCACCAAACACTGACCCAGGGCCTCCAGAATGACATTGGGAGACCCTGAGAACTGCAGGGGTCGGGGACGGATTCAAGCAGAGATGCCGCAGTTGTTCCTCTCCACCTTCCTTTTCCAAAGCCCCCTTCCTCGTTGATGTCCTTATTATACTTCAGCCACCCCCTCCCAGACCTTCTCAGAACAATCCCACACCAGGTCACCTTTGTCACCTGTCATTCCTCCACTAGGAGGGAAAGAGCCATCTCCACATTCCTCCTGTCCAAAAATATCTTTCCCAGCAGCCAGCCTTCATCCCATCTTCATGAGGTCTGAAATGCTCAGCAGTCTCACTGCTTTGGGTTTAGAAACAAAGCTACGGCTGCTGTTTCCGGAAGCCATGTCTGTGCTCCTAACTTCTCCCCCTGCAACCTACTGAGGGGGAGTTTACCGGGTGGGCAAGTGCCCCCCAAAGGAAGGAAGCCCAGCCCAGAGGGGCATGTTCGTCCCTTTCTGTCTCTGTGCTTTGGCCCTTTCTGTTCCCCGCCAGTTGGATACCCTACTCCCTATTCTCCACCTACTGAAGGCTTCCTCCTCCCCAAAGACTCAGTTCTAGTGTCACCCCTACAGAAGGCCACCCCTTCCACCAGCCGGCATCCACTGAGCCAGGCATGAGCACCGCCGCCGGGATCTTCCGCATAGACCAGCGACGTGGGAAGCAGGGGTCTGGCCGGGGCGTCGGGATTCCCGCTGGGCCCCGCGGCCACTCGGGTTTGCACCCGTATTTCTGAGATAGGCAGGGGTCACGCACGGGGGCCGGAGGCCGCTGCCCGGCAGTGGCGCGAGGACGGCGGGGCGGACCGGGGCGGAGGGGCGCTGCCACCCTCTGTCCCTTACTGTGCACGGAGCGGACACAGGCGCCGGCCCCCCGCCCCTCGGCGCGCCCGTGCCGGGAAACCTCGGGCCCCGGGGCCACGGACTCTCAGCCCCGCGGATCGGGGTTCACGCGGGCCCCGCAGCCCCACCTCCTTCCCGGCCGCCGCCGCCGCGGCCGCGGCTCCTGATCCTCCTGCTCCTCCTGCGTCCCCGCCTCCGGGGCCGCCAGCCCCTGCAGCTGCCGCCGCCGCCGCCGTGTAGCCGACCGGGTGACCGTCACCGCCGCGGCCTCCATGACACTGTCCGCGCACGCCGAGAGGCAATCGCAGGCCCGGGCCCGCCCCCGCGCCGCGCTCGGCCAATGGGAAGTGCGCAGCGCTGACGCCGCGCTGGGACGGGACTCCGAGCTGACTCCCGGCCAGCGGCCGCGCGGCGGGGACTTTGTTGAGGCGACAGGCCGGGGGCGGGGCCGAGGACGGGGCGGGGCTGTGAGGGGCGGGGCCTGGGCGAGTTCCGAGCCCAGGGTTCGTCGTCGTTCTTGTTGTTGCCCATCATTGGCTATGAGTCCAGGGTGCTAGAAGGCTCTAGAAGGCTTCGGAACGCCCCAATCTTAGAGTTCTCTCTTTAGCCTCACCAGCTTCCTTTGTCAAGCAAACCGAGGTTTATCCCAGAGAGATTAAGCAATCTCCCAGAGGGCACAAAGTCAGCAAATGGTGGCAATGAGATTTTAACTCATGCAGCTAACCCCTATTAAAAGATAATTTTCAGACCGGGCGCGGTGACTCACGTCTGCGATTCCAGCACTTTGGGAGGCCGAGGCGGGCGGATCACCTGAAGTCAGGAGTTCGAGACTACCCTGGCCAACATGGTGAAACCCCGTCTCTACTTAAAATACAAAAATTAGCCGGGCGTGGTGGTGCATGCCTGTAATCCCAGCTACCTGAGAGGCTGAGACTGGAGAATCGCTGGAACCCGGGAGGCAGAGGCTGCAATGAGCCGAGACGGTGCCATTGCACTCCAGCCTGGGCGACAGAGGGAGACTCCGTCTCAAAAAAAAAAAAAAAAAGATGAAAGGTTAGTAGGTTAGTATCGGGCCATGTGGAAGCTGGTGTCCTATGTAGGATGCATAGTTTTCCAGTGAAACACGGATTTCTTTCTACAGCCCCACGCCTGTGCCCAACAGTAGTAGTTGCTCTACCCCTAAGCGTGCAGGGCCTGGAGTGGCACCTCTGCAAGAGTGGCACTGCCCAGCGTCTTAGGCACAAAAGGAGTTCACAGGAAACATGATAGAACAGAGCCCTGAGAAGCCAGAACTCAAGGCTGGGCCCCACAGGGCAAACCAAGGCTCTCCTCCCTCCAGGCCCCAACGCCCCTCCACAGCTAGGAGCTTCCAGTGCTGGGCTGCAGCTGCCGCCCAAGCCAAGTTGACTGGGCCTTTATTATTGTTGCAGACTTTGAACTTTATGAGGCTCCAAGCTTCCATAAACGCCAATGGTGGGAACTATGACTAAGGTTGTTGAATATGGGCCATGGTGCAGGCCAGCCAGTTAGGCAGGAAGGACGGGCCACTCAGAAGCAGGACACGCTGACCCATGGGGAGGACAGAGAAGGCAGAGGGCTCCTCTTTGGGGCTTCAGTCCTGGGAAGCTTACAGTGAGCGAGGGCAGTGGATCCCCAAGTTCCCTCCTGCTGTGTTCAGGGGTGCACCGGACGTGGACAGTCTTGATCTGGGGTGCATGTAACCAGGTGTTCCCAAGCCCTCACCTGCAGCTTAGCAATAAAAATAGATAAACTTTCATCCTACCCAGGTTAGAACACAGTTCTAAGGGATACTTTGAACAGCCTTTGGGTAATGCTCAGTCTCTGGGAGAAAATATGCCCAAACCTCCCTTTTCTTCTCTCCTTTCCAAAGAGTAGGCACCTGGTCTAGAAGAGCAAGAAAGTGAAGGCAGCCTTGCACGCCCCTGAGGACAGAAAGGACTTAGGCCTTGTGGCCTCTTGTTAGCCCCTGTGGCTCGTGGTCTCTCTGGATGTCAGGCCAAGCCTGGAGGGGCCCTGTCTGCCTTGAGCTCACATTGGCTCATACTGGGGCTCTGGATCCGTTTGAGGCCTGAGTGGGCCCTCTAAAACCCTAACCTTCTGGTGTTTTCAGATAACATACAGAGCAATCAGTTAAATTTGAATTCCAAATAAATGATGCCTGGGACATAGGACAAGCTTATATTAAAAAGTTATTGCATATTTATCTAAAATTCAAACTGAACTAGGATGCTGTCTATGCATTTGCTAAATCTGGCATCCCTACCTGTGAATCTGAACTACAGCCTCGGCAGAGCCACCCTGCCCTGTTACAGGGGCCCCTCTGACACCTCCCTGCAGGCTCTTGGCTGTCCTGGGCTCTGCCCACACCAGTACTGGTTGGTTTGGGACAGCTGAGCCTCGGGTCTCCCTGCCTGACCATGCTGTCCCATCAGCTTCCTGTTGCAGGTCGTGACGCAGTGCATGCACTTGCCTCTGCACCCCCCCTCGCCATGCCCAGAGCGCCCGGAGTGGGGACCTAGAGTCACACCTGCTTGCTCTGCCTTCCTCTGCCTCCTCCTTCATGGCCTCCGGGGGAGCCGGAAATGAGAATCAGGTGAGTGGACACCACCTGGTCCCCGGGCTTGGTTGCTGATATGCTGAAGAGTGTGGCAGGAACTAATTGTCCCCAATATTCCTTCCGAGCCTGTCCTTTAGGAACGGAAGCCCCACGTTTTTGCTGACTACATGGTAGCCCAGATGAAGACAGCATTCCCCAGAGGCAGAACTTAGACCTTCCACGTGTACTTACTTACAAGTAAGCTGTGGTTTATGAAACAAGAAACAAAGTGAGAAGTGCAATTCTGGTTGTGCCTGCAAAACAAAGGGGGCATTGCCCTCCACCTTTCCTTCCTGGCTTCTCTTGGTCGCCAGCTGGGTGCAAGGATGTGATGGCAGGAACTGCAGCAACCATCTGAGACCATGAGATGAAAGCCACTTGTGGAAGGGCTGGGAGGGGCCTAGGTCCCCAACAGCAAGACTAGTGTTGCCCTGGACTGCTTATGTCTGGACTTTTTTTTTTTTTGAGACAGAGTCTCACTCTCATCCAGGCTGGAGCTCAGTGGCGTGATCTCCGCACACTAACTGCAACCTCCAGCTCCCGGGTTCAAGCGATTCTCCTGCCTCAGCCTCCCAAGTAGCTGGGATTACAGGCGCCCACCATCACGCCTGGTAATTTTTTGTATTTTCGGTGGAGACAGGGTTTCACCATGTTGGCCAGGCTAGTCTCGAACTCCCACCTCAGTCTCCTGAATAGCTGGGAGTACAGGCGCCCACCACCACGCCAGGCTAATTTTTTTTTTTTTTCTTTGAGATGGAGTCTTGCTCTGTCATCAGGCTGATCTGCCCACCTCAGCCTCCCAAAATGCTGGAATTGCAGGCATGAGCCACTGCTCCCGGCCAGCCCAGACTCTTAAATGACAGAAATACCCTTCTGTCTTATTTAAGCCAATACTCTGTTGGTGTTTTTACAGTAGCTAAATCTAACTAAGATGAGTGGGATAAATCCTGGAATTTAGACAAACCTCTCAAAACAGCAGCCTGCTTGCAAGGCTGGTATCTTTTTTTGTCATTCAAAATCTTCTTACCTTGTTCGTTGTCACTGCATTCCTTCTGCAATAAATCTCACTGTCCCTTCATTCAGATACATGTCTCAGACCAGCTGGAGGAAAAACAAAAAGCACAATGTAAAACTTTCAAGGCTGGACGCAGTGGCTCACGCCTGTAATCTCATCACTTTGGGAGGCCAAGGCAGGAGGACTGATTGCTTGAGCAGGCTTGGAAACCAGCCTGGGCAACATGGAGAAACCCCATCTCTCCAAAAAAATATGAAAAATTAGCCTGGGCCAGGCACGGTGGCTCATGCCTGTAATCCTAGCACTTTGGGAGGTAGAGGTGGGCAGATCACTTGAGGTCAGGAGATCGAGACCATTCTGGCCAAACATGGTGAAACCCAGTCTCTACTGAAATACAAAAAATTAGCCGGGCATGGTGGCATGCACCTGTAGTCCCAGCTACTTGGGAGACTGAGGCAGGGGAATCGCTTGAACCTGAGAGGCAGAGGTTGCAGTGAGCCACGATCATGCCACTGCACTCCAGCCTGACAACACAGCAAGAGTCCATCTCAAACAAACAAACAAAAAATTAGCCAGGTGGTGGCATGCGCCTGTACTCCCAGCTACTCAGGAGGCTGAGGTAGGAGGATCACTTGAGCCCCGGGAGTCGAGGCTGCAGTGAACCATGATTGTGCCACTGCACCTCCATCCCGGGCAACAGATTGAGACCCTGTCTCAAAAAAAAAAAAAAAAAAAAAAGGAAGAAAGAGTAAGAATAACTTTTCAACTGTCACTCCCTTTCTCCTTGGTACTCAGTAAAGGCTTAATGAATGAAAGAAAGCTGTGGCTATGGCTGGCCTCTGGCTCCAGCCCCCCGACTCACCTTTATACCCACTGGAGGCTGCACCCAGGTACCTGCTCGAAAGTCCTGCCTGCCTGCACGCCTCTGTCTGTGAACACACACTCACTCCTCAACAATACATTGACACTACCTGGGATGCCTGCCCTGCCCATTTTCCCTTGTGTTATTATTGCAATTGCACAAGTGTTTGTTAAACAAAAATTATGGGAACCCATTATTTTGGACTGAGCTCCTACACTAGGCTCCAACAGACCACAGCAAAGCAAGATGGAGTCACTCATGCTAAACGCCACATATCATCAAACCGAACCCTTAAGGAAGCAGATAGATCCCAAACAGACAAGTTTTTCCTGAAAACAGGAGATTCCAGTCTACTTAAGTCAGTGTGATAAGGAAGTCCCCTCTGCTTTAACCTTTACCAAAGGAGGTAACACGATGGTGACCAATTGACGTTTTTCCCGTGGTTCCGTTTCCTTGTTCCCATCTCACAAAAGCCGCTGTCTGCCGTTGGCCAATGGAAGCTCTTACTCCATGTTGTAGAAGGGAAGCTGCCCCGATTCATGAATCTCAAATAAAAGCCAATTAGATTTATAACTAAATGTGTTATAATTTTGTCTTTTGACACACGGCATTCATTTTCTCCTTTTAAAATTTCAAAGCATTGCAGATAGAATTCATGCTGCCTTTCATCCACTCCCCCTTGCTTTCCATACTTCCCCCTCAATAGTCCACCCTTCAGTATTCCACCAATATCAGCAATTTGGCCTGTATTTTTCAGATGTTTTAAAATACTTTTCTGGGCCACGCACAGTGGCTTACACCTGTAATCCCAGCACTTTGGGAGGCTGAGGTGGGCAGATCACTTGAGCTCAGGACTTTGAGACCTGAGCAACATGGCAAAACCCTGTCTCTGCTAAAAATACAAAAAATTAGCCAGGCATGGTAGTGCACACCTGTAAGCCCAGCTACTCTGGAGGCTGAGGCAGGAGAATCACTTGAACCCAGGAGGCGGAGATTGCAGTGAGCCAAGATCACGCCACTGCACTCCAGCCTGGGTGACAGAGCAAGACTCTGTCTCAAAAATAAATTAAACTAAACTAAACTAAACTAAAATAAAATACTTTTCTGTACATGTATAGATATTCAAAACATACATGCTTTAAAATATGTGTATGTACCTGGAACTGTATAGGGCTGTTTGTGTTTTATAAAAATCGTATCATATTGTACAGGTTATTCTGCATCTTGCTTTTTACACCTAGCAGTATTTTTTAAATCAAGCCATATTGATTTATGTAACTCTAATTTGTTCATTTTGACTGCTACTTAATATGCCATCATTTCAGTGAATGCTTAAATAGCAACATAACAAACATTTGTTTGCTATTTTTTATGTTAAAATGAATATCTTTGTATAAACCTTTTTGGGTTGTATATATATATGTTTTTTCTTTTTAAGGTAAAAACATGAGTTACTAACAGTAGCATATGCACACTTTCAGTTGTAACAGTCACTACCAAATTGTCATTCAAAATGGTTTCACCACTGACATCTTCCCCAGCACTGGATGAGTGTGTATTACTCTGCAACCTCACAAACAGTGATGTTATCAAACTTTAAGATTTTTTTTTTGCTCACCTGATGTGTGAACATTGAGTTTCATTGTTGTTTTAACTTTAAGTTGCACCAGGCATGGTGGTTCATGCCTGCAATCCCAGCACTTTGGGAAGCCAAGGTGAAAGGATGGCTTGAGTCCAGGAGTTTGAAACCAGCCTGGGCAGCATAATGAGACACCTGCAAGTCTACAAAAAAATTTTAGGCCGGGGCAGTGGCTCACGCCTGTAATCCCAGCACTTTGGGAGGCGGAGGCGGGTGGATCATGGTCAGGCGTTCGAGACCAGCCTGGCCAACATAGTGAAACCCCATCTCTACTAAAAATACAAAAAATTAGCCAGGTGTGGTGGTAGGTGCCTGCAATCCCGGCTACTTGGGAGGCTGAGGCGGGAGAATCGCCTGAACCTGGAAGGCAGAGGTTGCAGTGAGCCAAGATCGGGCCACTGCACTCCAGCCTGGGTGACAGTGTGAGACTCCATCTCAAAAAAAAAATTTATTTTTAAATCAGACAGGCATTGTGGCACACACCTGTATTCCCAGCTACTCTGGAGGCCGAGGCAAGAGGATAGTGTGAACCAGCAGTGAGGCTGCAGTGAGCTATAACTGCATCACTGCACTCCAGCCGGGGTGACAAAGCAAGGCCCTGTCTCTCAAAAGATCTGAACCAGCCAGGCATGGGAGGCTCACTCCTGCAATCTCAGCACTTTAGGAGGCCGAGGTGTATGAATCACTTGAGCCCAGGAGTTCAAGACCAGCCTGGGCAACATGGCAAAACCCCGTCTCTACAAAAAAATACAAAAAATTAGCCAGGCATGGTGGCATTCGCCTGTAGTCCCAGCTACTCGGGAAGCTGAAGTGGGAGGATTGCTTGAGCCCTGGAGGTTAAGGCTGCAGTGAGCCGAGACTGCACCACTGCACTCCAGCCTGGGCGACAGAGTGAGACCCTGTCTCAAAAAAAGAAAAAAAAAAAAAGAAAAAGAAAAAAGCAATTCGACACACACACACAAAAACTTCAAGTTGCACAGCTTGTAATGTCAATTAGCCCTTGGGACATGTGTTACATCTTCTGTGACAATCCCATTAAGCCCTTTGTTCATTTCAATTATGTTATTTTCTTACTGGTGTTTAGGGGTGTATTGCATACCCCAGATACTGATATTTTGCCTTTACTGTATATGAAGGGAGCGAATCTGTGTGCTGCTTGTCTTGAACTCTTTCAAAGTCTCTGGTACTATTGGTATTTCACACTTCAGTATGGTCAGGTGGATTCATATCATCATATATGACTTTCCTGTTTCCCCAGTTTAGCAGAGCTGTCCTGCTGTAAGCTCACAAAGGTATTCTCCTGCATCTTTGGCTAATAATTCTCTAGCTTAATTGTGTTTGTTTGTTTTTTCTTTTTACATCTACAAATTCAGATGCCTTTTGGGAAGTAGGTCTTTAATAGTTCATCTTCCTTCTTGGTTATTGACCTACTCAGACCTTCCTTTCTTTCTGGGCCAATTTTGCTGATTACTGTTTTCCTAGAAAAGTGTCCATTTCATCAAGGTTTTCAAATTTGGGGTATTAAGTTGCTCCTAATCGTCTCTTTTCGTCTCTTGGTTGTGCCGCCTCTTTGTGTTTATTTGTGTCTTCTTCCTTTTTTTCTTCATGCTTTTTTGCTGAAGGACTGTCCATGTTACTCGTCTGTTCAAAAAACAAGCTCTTTATTTTGTTCTATTTTTTGTTTCACTAATTTCTGCTTTTAATATTTTCATGCTCTTTGGATTTATGCTGTTCTTTTTCTGGATTTTTCTTGTTTGGTTTTTTTGGTGTTTGTTTTGTGTGTGTGTGTGTGTGTGTGTGTGTGTGTGTTTGCCAGGGTCTTGCTCTGTCACCAAGGCTGGAGTGCAGTTGGCAAGATCTCAGCTCACTGTAACCTCTGCAACCCCTGGGCTTAAGCGATCCTCCCACCTCGGCCTTGCCGGTAGCTAGGACTACAGGTGCATACCACCACACCTGACTAATTTTTTTGTAGAGACAGGGTTTTACCATGTTGCCCAGCTGGTCTCGTACTCCTGGGCTCAAGTGATGCTCCTGCCTCGGTCTCCCAAAATGCGGGGATTGCAGGCATGAGCCACCTCATCTGTCCATTTTTTTTTTTTTTTTGAGACTGAGTCTCACTCTGTCACCCAGGCTGGAGTGCAGTGGTGCAATCTCGGTTCACTGCAACCTCTGCCTCCTGGGTTCAAGCGATTCTCCTGCCTCAGCCTCCCGAGTAGCTGGGACTACAGGTACATGCCACCACACCCGGCTAATTTTTTATTTTTAGTAGAGATGGGATTTCACTATGTTAACCAGGTTGGTCCCAAACTCCTGACCTCAGGTGATCCACCCGTCTCGGCCTCCCAAAGTGCTGGGATTACAGGCGTGAGTCACTGCGCCTGGCTGCCTGGCCATTTTTCTGGTTTCAAAAGTGGAAACTTAGGTTCACTTATTTTTTTATTTCTATTCTCATTTTTTGATTTTTTATTTTTCCATAGGTTATTGGGGTACAGGTGGTATTTGGTTACATGAGTAAGTTCTTTAGTGGTGATTTCTGAGATGTTGGTGCACACATCACCCAAGCAGTACACACTGTACCCTATTTGTGGTCTTTTATCCATCACCCCTTCCCACCCTTCCCCCCAAATCCCCAAAGTCCATTGTATCATTCTTATGCCTTTGCATTCTCATAGCTTAGCTCCCACTTATGAGTGAGAACATAAGGTGTTTGGTTTCCCATTCCCTAGTAACTTCACTTAGAGTAATACTCTCCAATCTCATCCAGGTCACTGCAAATGCTGTTAACTCATTCCTTTTTATGGCTGAGTGGTATTCCATCCTATATGTGTGTGTGTGTGTATATATATATCACTTACATATCAGATATATGATATATGTGTATCATATGTGATATATATCAGTATGTCATATATATCACTGTATGTATATGATGTATATCTCTCTCACAGTTTCTCTCTTTCACATCATATATATGTATATATCACATGTATTAGTATATATACTGATGTATATCATATATATGTGATATATCAGTATATCATATATATCACAGTATATATCATATATATGGTGTATATTTGGTATATCATATATATCATTTATATATCATATAATCATATCTTATATATCACAGTATATATAATAATTATATCTTATATATCACAGTATATATATGATATACCATATATATACCATATATGATATATATACTGTGATATATATATATCTCTCTCTCTCTCACACACACAGTTTCTTTATCCACTCTTTGATTGATGGGCATTTGGGTTGGTTCCATGATTTTGCAATTGCGAATTGGGGTTCGCTTATTTTTAAATCTTTTTTGTTTTCAAATGCATGCAGTCTCAGGGACACGTGTGCCCCTGAGAATCACTTCTCTTGTTACTCCATAGGTTTTGATGGGGTAGTACTTGCATTTTCATGAAGTTCTAAATACTCTGTAATTTCTACTTTTAGCTCCTCCTTAACCCATCAAAAAAAAGTTCTTAATTTTACTGTAGTAAAGTTCATCAGCCTTTTCTCTTATTATTAGTAGTTTCGTGGATTTTTCTAAAGACACTTCCTTACTTCAAAGTCATGACCTTATGGGCTACGCCATCCTCTGTTATTTTCCGCAAGCGTTACTGTTTTTCCGTTAATCTTCAAATCTGCAGCTCACCTGCAATTGCTTTTATTTATGACGTGAGGGAAGGGGACACGTTTTATTTTATTTTTTATCGTATGTCCCTCCAGTCATCACATGATTTCCAGAAAGTCTCTTTTGTGGCTCTGCAGTGCCCCCTTCTGGAAAGTCACACATCCACACGTGCCTGAGCCCTCTATTCCATTTGTCTTTATTGTGCACATCCCAAAGTCTTAATGTCGAAGCTTTAAAATAAATCTTTATATTTAGCAGAACAAGTTCTCTGACCTTGATCTCCAAGATTAACAGGGATATTCTTGGCCCTTATATTTCCATATAATTTTTATTTTATTTTATTTTATTTTATTTTATTGAGATGGAGTCTAACTGTGTCTCCCAGGCTGGAGTGCAGTGGCACAATCTTGGCTCACTGCAACCTCCACCTCCCAGGTTCAAGCGATTCTCCTACTCAGCCTCCTGAGTAGCTGGGATTACAGGCACACACCACCATGCCCAGCTAATTTTTGTATTTTTAGTAAAGACGGGGTTTTGCCATTTGGCCAGGCTGGTCTTGAACTCCTGACCTCAGGTGATCCTCCCACCTCGGCCTCCCAAAGTGCTGGGATTACAGGTGTGAGCCACTGCGCCCGGCCCCACATAACTTTTAGAATCGTACTTTCAGTTTCTTTCTTCTTTTTTGAGATGGAGTCTCGCTCTGTCGCCCAGGCTGGAGTGCAGTGGCGTGATCTCCACTCACCGCAACCCCTGCCTCCCAGGTTCAAGCGATTCTTGTGCCTCAGCCTCCCAACTAGCTGGGATTACAGGTGTGGGCCATCATGCCCAGCTGAATTTTGTATTTTTAGTAGAGATGGGGTTTCACTCTATTGGCCAGGCTGGTCTGGAACTCCTGACCTCAAGTCACCTGCCTGCCTCGGCCTCCCAAAGTGCTGGGATTACAAGAGTGTGCCACTGAGCCCAGCCTATTCTGTTGATTTCTACTGGAATTTGGATTGAGATATAATTGAAATCCCGGGTTGGGAAAAAATTGACATCATTATATGATTGGGTTTGACAGCACACGAGTATGGCATATTCTTCCACGGAGACCAAGCAGATGCACCACTCAGATCTCCTGCTGGGCACAGGGGAACAGGTGACTGGAGGGCTGAGCTGCTGTCTTTGGGGATTTCACAAAGCCAGGCTGAGGCTGTGCTGCCCACAGTCTGCTCTTAGCCCATGACTGAGCACAGCATTGTGACAAAGGATCATGTTTGCTCAAGGACTACCCATCAGCCTGGCCAAACCTTTCTGGGAACTGTGCTACAGTTTGAGATTCTTCCAACCCAATTCTCCTGCCTTGCCCTCTCTTTCCCACGTAGTCTAAGCTCCCCACTGCAGCCTCCTCCTGCCTTTATCCTTCACAAACACGTCCCCAAATAAATCTCATGGACTTCCAATCCTGTCTTGGCATCTTTTCAGAGAATAAGAACCAACGTGCTGTCCGTGGATTTCAATTTTATACTTCTTAACAGTTATCTGTGTAAAGGTCTTACACATTGATTGTTAGATTTGCCTCTGGGGCTGGGCACAGTGGCTCTTGCCCATAATCCTAGCACTTTGGGAGGCGGAGGTGGGTGGATCACTTGAGGTCAGGAGTTTGAGACCAGCCTGGCCAACATGGTGAAACCCCATCTCTACTAAAAATACAAAAATTAGCTGGGCATGGTGGCAGGTGCCAATAGTCCCAGCTACTTAGCTGAGGCAGGAGAATCACTTGAACTGGGGAGGCAGAGGTTGCAGTGAGCCGAGACTGCACCACTGCATTCCAGCCTGGGTGACAGAGCAAGACTCCATCTTGAAAAAAAAAAAGATTTGCCTCTGGGTAAATGACATTTTGTAAGTGGCCTCTCTGATGTGTTAAAGATGGCTGCAGATTCTCTGCATCTCCTCCCATGACATGGTGAAGTCTGTTACCCACCGCTTCCCTGGGCTGGCCCTGTGACTGGATGGAGGGGCCACCATGTGACTCCCGAGGCCCGGTCCCAGTAGGCCTCATATATTCCTCTCCTACCCTCTTGGAGCACTGTGCTGAGATCACTACACTCCGAAGAAGCCTGGGATGAAAGAGGATGCGGGGAGAGAGACATAGACACCTCAGCCCTTTCAGCTGAGGCCCTAGACACGTGCGTGAGGCCATCATAGGCCACCTGGCTCCAGCTGAACTACCTGCTGCAGAAAGCCTCATGAACAAGCCAAATAAAGCCAGCAGATCCACCTGCCAACCCCCACGATCATGACGGATGAGGAACTGATGTTTTCTTCTTAAGCTATTAGGTAGGTGGTTTGTTATGCAACAATGTAATTAATTTGGTACAGGCTTGCCTCAAAGATATTGCAGATTCAGTTGAGTCCACCAAAGTAAAGTTAATATTGCAATAAAGTGATGATATAGTTTGGCTGTGTCCCCACCCAAATCTCATCTTGAATTCCCACATGTTGTGGGAGGGACCCAATGGGAAGTAACTGAATCATGGGGGCGGGTCTTTCCCGTGCTGCTCTCGTGATAGTGAATAAGTCTCACAAGATCTGATGGTTGTAAAAAGGGGAGTTTCCTTGCATAAGGTCTCTTCTCCTCTCTTGTCTGCCACTACGTGAGATGTAGCTTTCACCTTCTGCCATGGTTGTGAGGCCTCCCCAGCTACGTGGAACTGTAAGTTCGTTAAACGTCTTTCTTTTGTAAATTGCCCAGTGTTGGGTATGTCTTTATCACCAGCGTGAAAACAAACTAATACAAGTGAGTTACAATTTTTTGGTTTCCTGGAGCCTATAAAAGTTATGTTTATGGGCTGGGCACCTTGGCTCATGCCTGTAATCCCAGCACTTTGAGAAGCTGAGGCAGGAGGACCAAGTGAGCCCAGGAGTTCAAGACTAGTCTGGACAACATAGTGAGACCCTGTCTCTACAACAACAACAAAAAAAATACAAAAATTAGCCGGGCGTGGTGGTGCATGCCTGCGGTCCCAGCTTCTCAGGAGGCTGGAGGAGTACTGCTTGAGTCTGGGAGTTGGAGGTTGAAGTGAGCTGTGTTGGCACCATGGATCTGCAGCCTGCACAACAGAGTGAGACCCCCCATCTCTAAAATAAAAAAAAAATTAATTAATTATAAAGTAATGTTTACATTATACTGTAGTTTATTAAGTGTGCAATACCATTATGTCTTAAGAAACAAGGTACACACGTTAATTTAAAAATACATTATTGTGGCCGGGCTCGGTGGCCTATGCCTGTAATCCCAGCACTTTGGGAGGCCGAGGTGGGTGGATTGCCTGATGTCAGGATTTCAAGACCAGCCTGGCCAACATGGTGAAACCCTGTCTCTACAAAAAAATACAAAATTAGCCGGGCATAGTGGCAGATGCCTGTAATAGAAGGCTAAGGCAGGAGAACCACTTGAACCCAGGAGGCAGAAGTTACAGTGAGCTGAGATCATGCCACTGCATTCCAGCCTGGGCAACAAGAGCAAAACTCCATCTCAAAAAAAAAAAAAAAAAAAAAAAAAAAAAAAAATATATATATATATATATATATATATATATATAGCTAAAAATTACTAGTGATTATCTAAGCCTTCAGCAAGTCTAGTTGTCATCATTTTGCTGGTGGAGGATCTTGCCTCAATGTTGGTGACTGCTGACTGTCCAGGGTGGTGGTTACTGAAGATTAGGGTGGCTGTGGCAATTTCTTTTTTTTTTTTTTTTTTTTTTTTTTGAGATGGAGTCTAGCTCTGTCGCCAGGCTGGAGTGCAGTGGCACGATCTCGGCTCACTGCAACCCCTGCCTCCCGGATTCAAGCGATTCTCCTGCCTCAGCCTCCCGAGCAGCTGGGACTACAGGCATGCGCCACCATGCCCAGCTAATTTTTGTATTTTTTAGTAGAGACGGGGTTTCACCATGTTGGCTTGGATGGTCTTGATCTCTTGACCTCGTGATCCACCCACCTTGGCCTCCCAAAATACTGGGATTACAGGCATGAGACACCATGCCCAGCTGGCTGTGGCAATTTCTTAAAATATGACAACAGGGCTGGGCACCATGGCTCACGCCTGTAATCCCAGCACTTTGGGAGGTCAGGGCAGGAGGATTGCTTGAGCCCAGGAGTTCAAGACCAGCCTGGGCAACATGGCAAAACCGCCTCTCTACAAAAAAAAAAAAAAATTAGGCATGCTGAAACACGCCTGTAGTCCCAGCTACTAGGGAGGCTGAGGTGAGAGGATCACCTGAGCTTGGGGAGGTCAAGGCTGCAGTGAGCCATGATTGTGCTACTGCACAACCTGGGCAACAGAGTGAGACTCTGCCTCAAAAAAAAAAAAAAAAAAAAAAAGACAATGATGAAATTTGCCACACCGAGGGACTCTTCCATCCAGGAAAGATTTCTCCGCAGCATGCAATAATATTTGATAGCATTTTACCCACAGAAGAACCTCTTTCAAAATTATAATCAGGCCAGGCATGGTGGCTTGGCCTGTAATCCCAGCTCTTTGGGATTTAAAGTGATCAGTTAAGGTCAGAAGTTGGAGCCCAGCCTGGGCAACATGATGAAACCCCGCCTCTACTAAAAATACAAAAATTAGCCAGGCACTGTGGCGGGTACCTGTAATCCCAGCCACTTGGGAGGCTGAGGCATGAGCATCGCTTGAACCCGGGAGGCAGAGGTTGCAGTGAGCCAAGATCATGCCGTTGTACTCCAGCCTGGGTGACAGAGCAAAACTCCATCTAAAAAAAAAAATTAGAATCAGTCCTCTCAAACCCTGCCACTGTTGTATCAATTACATTTATGGAATATTCTAAATCCTGTGTTGTCATTTTAACAATGTTCATGGCATCTTCACCAGGAGTAGATTCCATCTCAAGAAACCACTTTCTTTGCTCATCCCTAAGAAGCAGCTCTCATCCATTTAAGTTTGATCATGAGATTGTGGCAACTCAGTCCCATCTCCAAGCTCCGCTTCTTGTTCTAGTTCTCTGCTATTTCCACCACCTCTATAGTTCCTTCCTCCACTGGAATTTTGGACCCTCCAAGCCATCCATGAGGGTTGGCATCAAGCTCTTCCAAACTCCTGTGAATGTTGGCCTCCCATGAATCATGAATGTTCTTAATGTCATCTAGAATGGGGAATCTCTTCCAGAAGGTTTTCAGTTGACTTGCCCAGATCCATCAGAGGAATCTCTAGCTATGGCAACTAAAGCTTTACTATTAATATATATATGATATATGTTTTCTTAATCTGAGAGATAATTTATTTTATTTTTTTGAGATAGTCTTGCTCTGTCACCCAGGCTGGAGTCCAGTGGTGCTATCTCAGCTCACTGCAACCTCTGCCTCCCAGGTTCAAAGGGTTCTCCTGCCTCAGCCTCCCAAGTAGCTGGGATTACAGGCATGTGCTGCCACGCCGGGCTTTTTTTTTTTTTTTTCGTATTTTTAGTAGACACGGGGTTTCACCATGTTGGCCAGGCTGGTCTCGAACTCCTGACCTCAGGTGATCCGCCCCTCCTCGGCCCCCCTCAGCCTCCCAAAGTGCTGGGATTACAGGCACGAGCCACCGCGCCTGGCCCGATACTTTACTTTAAACTAAAATAACCAGCTTCTATTTGAATATTTTTCTATAATAAAGACATATAGCTTTTTGTGCTAGTTTGGTTTTACTTGTTTTTGTTTGTTTTATTTTGCTTTTCTGAGACAAGGTCTGGCTCTGTCACCCAGGCTGGAGCGCAGTTGGCAGGATCGTAGCTCACTGCGACCTCAACTTCCTGGGCTCGATACTGTCTCAAAAAAAAAAAAAAAAGACAAGAATGAAGTTTGCCACACCTCCCCCTTCAGCCTCCTGAGCAGCTGGGACCACAAGCGCATGACACCATGCCCAGCTACTTTTTGCATTTTTTGTAGAGATGGGTTTTCACCATGTTACCCAGGCTGGTCTTGAACTTACGGGCTCAAATAATCCACCTGCCTTGGCCTCCCAGAGTGCTGGGATTACAGGCATTAGCCACCATGCCCGGCTGCTAGCTTGGTTTTTCATACTAAAAAGGTAGCATGTGCACCTCACACAATGCACATTATGTAGAATTTAAAATACAAATGTGGCCAGGCACAGTGGGTCACGCCTATAATCCCAGCACTTTGGGAGGCCGAGGCTGGTGGATCACGAGGTCAGGAGTTTGAGACCAGCCTGACCAACATGGTGAAACCCTGTTTCTACTAAAAATACAAAAATTACCCAGGCATGGTGGCACGTGCCTGTAATCCCAACTACTCAGGAGGCCGAGGCAGCAGATCGCTTGAACCCAGGAGGTGGAGGTTGCGGTGAGCCAGGGTCGCGCCACTGCATTCCAACCTGGGTGACAGACGGAGACTCTGTCACACATACACACACACACACACACACACACACACACACACACAAATACAAATGTACTCATTGCCCAACCCCAACCACCGTCCACTTCTCCGCTTCCTGTTTTTTTTTTTCCAGATTTTTTACTGTGATAAAACACACATAAGATTTGCTAAATTGCCCATTTTAAGTGTACTGCTCAGTGGTGGTGTGATTTTCCTCTAATTTGGCCTTCAGGTCTCTTCTGGAGGGTGCCTGTAAACTCGCCCTGACAAGGCTCCAGGGGAAGTGCTGGTGGGCGTTTGCAGTATGCCTTTCACAGGAGGCTTCTTTTTTTGAGACAGAGTCTCTCTCTGTCGCCCAGCCTGGAGTGCAGTGGCATGATCTCAGCTCACTGCAACCTCCACCTCTCGGGTTGGAGCATTTCTCCTGCCTCAGCTTCCCAAGTAGCTGGGATTAAAGGCATGCGCCACCACACTGAGCTAATTTTTGTATTTTTTAGTAGAAATGGGGTTTCACTGTGTTGGCCAGACTGGTCTCCAACTCCTGACCTCAGGTGATCTGTCCCACTTGGCTTCCCAAAGCGCTGGGATTAGAGGTGTGAGCCACCACGCCTGGCCATAAGAGCCTTCTTTATTCTGGTAGATGGCCTAATGCCTATGTGTCACCAGGTGTTCCTCTCCCAGGAAACTTGTTTCCACTGGAAGCCCTTGTGGCTTTTGTGTGACCTGTGTCCCTACCAAGACAGTGACTCTCTAGAAGAGCCCTGACCAGGAGGCATCATTACAGAACACATGACGGAAGAGAAGCAGTTTATTACTCACAGACCCTGGAGAGAACAACGTGCCTGAGAGGGCGATGGGCAGTCCAGAGACAGCAGGGAGCTCACCCAGCGGGGGAGGTGTATATGTGTACGTGGCGGTGGGGTGGGTGGGGACCTGTGAGATCAGGCCCTCGTTAAGGCCCATGGGCATTATCTTATTCTTTCTTGTGGGGGTTGTGGATTGCTCGTTTAAAGAAAACACACACAAAAGGGGAACTTATTGCCATGACTCTGGTGTTGGCCACTAAGTTTTTGTCACAGTCGGCAATGGTGGGATGTGTTGGGTTTGGGGTCAGTGGGGTGAGGAATAAGCGGGTGTAACACAAATAACCACATGAGGAGGGGAGTTTTAAGGCCAAGGGTGACATGGTATGTTTCAGAAAAAAACCATGCTGCATCCAGTATTAGATTCTAGCCCTGTTCATTTTCTTTGAAGAGTTTTGGTTTTGTTTTTTGTTTGTTTTGTTTTGTTTGAGACAGAGTCTGGCTCTGTCACCCAGGCTGAAGTGCAGTGGTGCAATCTCAGCTCACTGCAACCTCCACCTCCCAGGTTCAAGCAATTCTCCTGCCTCAGCCACCCTAGTAGCTGGGATTACAGGTGCCCACCACCACGCCTGGCTAATTTTTGTATTTTTAGCAGAGACAGGGTTTCACCATGTTGGCCAGGCTGTTCTCGAATTCCTCACCTCAGGTGACGTCGGCCTCCCAAAGTTGTGTTGTTGTTGTTATTATTATTATTATTATGGTTATTATTATTATTTGAGATAGAGTCTGGCTCTGTCACCCAGGCTGGAGTGCAGAGATGCTATCATGGCTCACTGCAGCCTCAACCTCCCTGGGCTCAGGTGATCCTCCCACCTCAGCCTCCCGAGTAGCTGGGACCACAGCCGTGTGCCACTCTGCCTGGCTAAATTTTTTCTATTTTTTGTAGAGATAGGTGATAGGTGCCCTTACTTTGCTGCACAGGTTGGTCTCGAATTCCTAAGCTCAAGCAATCCTCCTACCTTGACCTCCTAAAGCGCTGAGATTACAGGTGTGAGCCACTGTACCTAGCCAATAAAGTATTCTTATTATTATTATTGTTTTTTGAGACACAGTCTCACTCTGTCATCCAGGGTTGAGTGCAGTGGTGCAATCTCAGCTCACTGCAGCCTTGACCTCCCTGGGCTCAAGTGGTCCTCCCACCTCAGCCTCCCAAGTAGCTAGGAGTACTGGCATGTGCCACCATGCCCAGCTAACTTTTTGTAGAGATGGGGTTTCACCACGTTGCCCAGGCTGGTCTTGAACTCCTGGGCTCAAGAAATCCACCTGCCTCAGCCTCCCAAAGTGCTGAGATGACAGGCGTGAGCCACTATGCCTGGGCCAATAAAGTATTTTTTAAATTAAGGTATGTACATTTTTGATAAGAATTAATGCTGTTGCACACTTAATAGACTATAGTATAGCGTAAACATAACTTATACATGCACTGGGAAGCAGTGCTGACTCACAGCCCAGCATTCCCTACAGATGCTGCCACAATAAAAACCTAATGGTTATAGCCAGAACCCCCTCACCCCGATGTTTCCTCCTAGGAATTTTCCACCCACTGACCCCCACCCTGCTCCCCGGCTATAAATCCCCACTTGCCCAAGCTGTATTCTGGGTTACACCCAATCCCTTTCCTCCACCACAAGACCCCATTGCAATGGTCCCTGTACCTGTCTCAACAGTCCTGATAAGGTCTGCCTTACCATGCCTTAACAAGAGTCACTAAATAAGGTCTTCTTTAACAGTTCGGCCAGGCGTGGTGGCTCATACCTGTAATCCCAGCACTTCGGGAGGTCGAGGTGGGTGGATCACCTGAGGTCAGGAGTTCAAGACCAGCCTGACAAACATGGTGAAACCCTGTCTCACTAAAAATACAAAAATTAGCCAGGCATGGTGGCGCACACCTGTAATCCCAGCTACTCGGGAGGCTGAGGCAGGAGAATCACTTGAGCCCAGGAGGTGGAGGTCGCAGTGAGCTGAGATCGTACCACTGCACTCTAGCCTGGGTGACAGAGCGAGACTCTGTCTCCAAAAACAAACAAACAACAACAACAACAAGACAATTAACAGAGTTGTGCAGCTATCACCACAATCTAGTTTTAGAACAGTTTGTCTCAGCCGGCCATGGTGGCTCACGCCTGTAATCCCAGCACTTTGGGAGGCCGGGGCTGGTGGATCACAAGGTCAGGAGTTTGAGACCAGGCTGACCAACATAGTGAAACCCTGTCTCTACTAAAAATACAAAAAAATTAGCCAGGCGTGGTGGCATGCACCTGTAATCCCAGCTACTTGGGAGGCTGAGGCAGGAGAATCACTTGAACCTGGGAGGCAGAGGTTGCAGTGAGCCAAGATCATGCCACTGCCCTCCAGCCTGGGCAACAGTGCAAGACTCCATCTCAAAAAAACAAACAAACAAACAGTTTGTCTCCCCAAAAAGAAACCAACTAGCAGTCGTATTCTAATCCCCCCACCACACACAAGCAGCCTTGGAAACTTCTCGTCTGCTTTCTGTCTCCATGGATGTGCCTCCCCTGGAGATTTCATATAAATGGAATCCCACAATATGTGGTCTTCATGTCTGGTTTCTCGCACACAGTGTAATGTTTTGAGGTTCATTCCATGCTGTAGCATGCATCACTAATTCATTCCTTTTATAGCCAAATAATAGCCCATCATATGGACACACCACATTTTATTTATTCCGTTACCCACTGATGGACATTTGGGTTGCTTCCATTTTTTGGCTATTATGAATACTACTAGGAACATTGGAGTACAAGCTTTTGTGTGGGAGCTTGTCCTTATTTCTCTTGGGTATACACTTAGTGGAAGTACTGAGTCATGTGGAAACTCTATGTTTAACATTCTGAGAATTTTCCGACTGGTTTCCAAGATTATTATTTTCTTACTGGCGACATCCGTTGAGAATCGCCACCAAATTCACCATTATTCTAGGCCTGGATTCCTCCCTGCATCTCTCACCTTTCCTCTGCATTCATTTTCTCTCAGTGCAGGTTTTCCAGTGACAGAGTCTCCCAATTTTTGTTTGTTTGAAAATATCTTTTTAAAAATATTTTAATTGGAAATAGAACTGAGATGGACAGTTATTTCTAGCCCTTTAAACATTCCATTCCGCTATCTTGTGGCTTCTGCTCTTTTGCTTGTATTTGTTCATTCTCTTGTTGCTATAAAGAACTGCCTGAGACTGGGCAATTTACAAAGAAAAGAGGTTTAATTGGCTCACAGTTCTTCAGGCTGTAGAGGAAGCATGATGGCTTCTGGAGAGGCCTCAGGAAACTTTCAATCATGGCAGAAGGCAAAGGGGAAGCAGGCTGGTCTTGCATGGCCAGAGCAGGAGGAAGAGAGAGACGGGGAAGACATTTTGACACAACCAGATCTCATGTGAACTCTATCACAAGAACAGGGGGACTCAAGGGGGAACCACCCCCATGACCCAATCACCTCCCACCAGGCCCCATCTCCAACATTGGGAATTACAATTTGACATGCTTGGGTGAGGACACAAATCCAAACCACAGCAGAGGTCAGTTGTGATACTTATTATTGCTCCTGTGAAAGAAAATATTTTCCCCTCTGCTTTTAAGACTTTCTCTTGGTCTTTGGTTTTTAGTAGTTGTACCATGATATGCCATGCTGGCTGTGACCTTGGTTTTATTTGTCTTGCTTGGGATTCACTGAGTTTCTTGAATCTGTACCTTAGAGACTGATCAATTGGGTGATTTTTCTCAGCTATTTTATCTTCCAATATTTCTGTTGCCTTTTCTCTCTCATGTTGCCTCCTGGGACTCCAGTTGCACGTGTATTGGGCCTTCTTATTGTCACTTCTGTACTTTTGTTCTGTGTTTTCATCCTTTTGTCTTTCCATACTTCTTTCTAAATATTTTCTTCTGATTTCTCTTCTAATTCACTGATTTTTCTTTTCAGCTGTGTACAGTATGATGGTATATTTATCCACCAAATTCTTAGTTTATTTTTTTTTTTCTTTTTCTTTTTTTTTTTTTCTGAGACAGGGTCCCACTCTGTACCCCAGGCTGGAATGCAGTGGTGCAAGCATGGCTCACTGCAGCTTCCACCTCCCAGTTTCAAGTGGTCCTCCTGCCTCAGCCACCCAAGTAGCTGGGACTACAGGCATGTGCCACGATGCCCGGCTAGCTTTTGTATTTTTTTGTAAAGATGGGATTTTGCCATGTTGCCCAGGCTCTTAAATTCATTTGTTTTGTTTTTCACTTCTAGAGCTTCCATTTGCTTCTTTATTATCACCACCATCATCACCATCATTAAAGTTTTCTGCCACAAATATCAATCCTTTTTTTTTACCTCCCTGAATGTAGCAAGCATAGTTATTTTATATTCTGATTGTGATAACTCTAAATGGTAAGAGTTTTTTCCCTCATGTGGTAGGCATTTAATACATTCTTGTGGAATATCTCAGTAAGCAGGATCTCAAGTTGCTTGGAGAACTAACTTAGTGGCTATGTCAATTGAGCGGTTGGAACATTTCCTGTCTTTAGGCAAGGAGGTTTCCAAATTTTCCAGAGCATATGGACTTCTAATCCTATCTATAAAAGTGTCTGAAGTAGAAATTCCTTGTCCTTGCCTGGCCATCTGCATAATGAGAAATGGGCTTACTCCATTCTGCCCTAGGAAGGGCAGGATATGGGAGCACTTGAGGTCACCATAGTTTCCCATCCCTGCCCCAGCTGTGGAAGGACTTTAGAGAGGAAGACATGGTCCTCAATTAGTCATTCCTTGTGGAATGCTTCCCCTGGCACCTGCATCAGCCTCCTGCTGACTCTGTGATCTCACCCACCAGTTGATTCAAAAATGCTTGTTCAACAATGTCCTTGGAAAAACTAACCCTGACACTCCCATCCCATCTCACTGGCCCTTGGCCCCTGTGCCATCGTAAGCCAAGCCCAGAACAATGGGACCAACTCTGAAGGTCATGACTCTGGAGCTCCAGGACTTTCCAGCCTTGAATAGAGAAGGCTGCGGCAGCCTAATTTTTTGGTTTTGTGTTACTTGTTTTGATAACTGCTGTTTATTGAGATATTATTTACATACCATAGAATCATCCATTTAAAGTGTAGAATTCAGTAATTTTTAGTTTAGATTTGCTTATTCTGGTCATTTCATATAAATGGAATCATGCAACGTATGGCCTTTTCTGTCTGGCTTCTTTCCCTTTTGATAATGTTTCTGAGGTTTACCAATGTTGTAGTAGGTAATAGCACTTCATTCCTTTTTTTTTTTTTTTTTTTTTTTTTGAGATGGAGTGAGTCTTGCTCTGTCACCCAGGCTCTGGAATGCAGTGGCACGATCTCCGCTCACTGCAACCTCTGCCTCCCAGGTTCAAGCAATTCTCCTGCCTCAGACTCCCAAGTAGCTGGGATTACAGGCACACACCACTACGCCTGGCTAATTTTTGTATTTTTTTAGTAGAAACAGGGCTTCACCATGTTGGCCAGGCTGGTCTCGAACTCCTGACCTTGTGATCTGCCTGCTTTGTATAGACACACTGCATTTGTTTACCTGTTCATCAGCTGAGTGGGCACTTGGGTTGTACCTGCTTCTTTGTTATTACTAATAATGCTGCTATGAACATCTATCTATAAGCTTTTCATAGACATATATTTTCATGTCTTTTGGGTATATACCTAGAAGTGTTATGGCTGGGTCAGCTGTAGCTCTATGCTTAACATTTTGAGGAACTGCCAGGCTGTCTTCTAAAGGGGACTCACCATTTTGTATTCCTGACAGCAGTTCCAGCAGCTCCATATCCTCAGCAACACATGTTATCATCTGTCTTCTTGACAACAGCCTTCCCATTGGTTGTAGAGTTGTCTCACTGTGGTTTTGATTTGCGTTTCCCTGATGATACACCTGTTCATGTGTGTATTGGTGGTTGTAGAGTTGTGTCTCACTGTGGTTTTGACTTGCATTTCTCTGATGATTACACCTGTTCATGTGTGTATTGGTTACTTGTATATCTCCTCTGGAGAAGTGTGGGCTGCTTTGCCCATTTTTAATTAGATTATTTGTCTTTTTATTATTGAGTTGCAAGAGTTCTTTATATATTCTAGATATAAGTCCCTTATCAGATATATGATGGCAAATATTTTCTCCCATTCTGTGAGTTGTCTTTTCACTTACTTGATGGTGTCCTTTGAAACACAGAAATTTACAAGTTTGATGATGTGCAGTTGATCTATTTTTTTCTTTTGTTGCTTGTACCTTTGATATCATACCTAAGAAATCATCACCTAATCCAAGGTCATGAAGATGTATGCCTGGGCTTTCTTCTAAGAATTTTGTAGTTTTGGCTCTAATATTTAGGCCTTTGATCCAAGGCCTAATTTTCGTATATGGTGTGAGGTAGGGGCCCAACTCCATTCTTTTGCATGTTGGGACATCGATATCTTGCATTATTTATTATTTTCTGTTACATTCTATTTTTTTTTAATAATCTGGGCAACAATGTCTCATCTTATGCTAGTCATTATGGCCCAATAAAATCAGCTTGCCATCACGCCACTGCGTTCCCATAGTGGACCTTACAGAAAATTATCATTGAGGACTAGTGTGGGCCATGACCTCCTCATCCCCATCCCTGGCTACAAAAGCTCCTGAAAGTCCTAACATAGGCAGTTATTTCGTTGGGCTGAGTCATCAGCCATTACTAAGTCCTTTTGCTAAAACACTGATATTTGTATTGCAACTGAGTTTTCTAGACCCTTTAGTGAGATGGCTAGCCAATTTCTCACCAGCTTGGGACAGGAAACCGGGAGAGGATCCCGTCAAGATCAACTGCTTGGGGAGGCATCAGGTGGAGCAGATCACTTGGTACCAAGCGTGCAGCTCTTCTGAGAAGGCTGACCTCTGTCAGACGGCAGTCGAAACCCTGGGAAAGTCCTCAGGAAGGCAAGGACCATATCTTATCTGTCCTTATGCCTCCAGTGCCTAGCACACGATCTGCCACAAAGCAGGAGCAAGGGAAATATTTGGAGGAAGAATGGGTGGAGCATAAATGCCAGCCTGAAAATATTGGGGGTGGGGAAACCCCAAAGATAGAGGGATGTTAAAAGGAGCATGGAGCGGACTGGAGCAGACCCTGCCTCTTTTCCCATGGGAATTTGGCCAGCAGAGAAACAGGTATTATATGGTCCACGTGACTCCGTCTCCAGAGAGGGTTGTCATTGGGCACCTGTATGAAGCTGGCTGGTTCCCTCCAGGCACCTCTGGGAAGGGCACTTAGCCCTTGCTCCCCACTGCCTGGGAAGCACATCCTCTGCTGAGTGGCCTGAACTCCGCGGAGGTAGGAGCCTGCTCCTTCTCCCGTACAGAGCAGGATTGCAGGGTCCCCTTGATCCAGTCTGGCTCTAGCACAAGGCCAAGCATGAACACATGGCCTCACCCCAGGAGCGGGCAGAGGAAGGAGATCAGCTGTTTGCAGCCTGCTGGCACCAGAGAGAGCAAGGTAGCTTCTGTGCTCCCCGCTGGCAGCTGGATGCAGTGCCTGGCTGTTAACCCAGTTGGCAAGCGATGGAGAGAAGAAGGAACATCTGCTCTGCACCACTGGAGAACAGAGGGGGCTGCTGATGGGTGTATTCAAGCTGCAAGCCATGGTAGAGGTTGAACTGTATCCCCCAAAAAAAGATATGTCCAAGTCCTCACCTCTGCTATCTGTGAATGTCACCTTATTTGGAAATAGTCTTTGCAGACGTAATTAAGTTAGGATCTAGAGAGAAGACCATCCTGGATTTACAGTGGGCCCTAAATATTTACCTGATTCTCTAAATCCAGCAACAGGTGTTATAGTAAGGGAAGGGAGAGGAAGATTTGAGACACACGGAGGGGAAGGCCACATGAAGACGGAAGCAGAACCTGAGGAGATGCAGCCGCAAGCCAAGGAGTGCCTGGGGCTACCAATAGCTGGAAGGGGCAGGAAGGACCCTCCGCTAGAGGCTTATGCCACCCACGCCCCAACCCCAGTTTCCACGGCAGCCCTAGGAAAGGAATAGTGTCCAGGCTGCAGAGCCATGGCCAAGCTGCTACCTCCACAGTTTCTCTCCCTCCCGGGGGACAGTGCGGTCCTGCTCAGGAGATCAAGCCCCTGCCTCCCACCCACCTCTCACAAGTCCCCAGACCCACCCAGGCCCCAGGCGCCCGACTCAGGCACACGTTCAGCTGCAGCTGAGACACGCTGTCGCTGCCCCACCCATGGGAGGCTGCACCCCCTGGAGGAGCGAGGCAACTCAGGGTCCAGCATGCACCTGCTGGGTACCAATGTCCCCAGGTATGAAGCTGAGGGCCTCCCAGGCAGGAGTGGGCCTTGGGTGGAGAGGAGAAGACGAAAAGGATTCAGTTTAATGAGCAAACTGACGAGGCAGGATGCTGAAAACACAATTCTGAGTTTAATGTTTTCTGGAAAGAGCTGGGGGAGCTTAAGCAGCGAGTGTGGCGCTCTGCTTCCGGGCACGCCCACAGCAACTCGGCTTCAGAGTCTGACCCGCAGAAGTTCTTTAAAGAGAGGGACTTAGGGACCCCAGATCCCGGCAGCCAGGCCCAGAGAGGGAAGCAGGATTAGTCAAAACCAGGTGGGGGATGGGGGGAAGGAAGAGAGGCAGCGGGGGTTTGGGGGCCCAGCGGGTAGCAAGAGTGACCCTGGGCATCAACATGGGGTGAGGTGGAGAGGGGCTATGGGGTTCCTGGAGATCAGAGTCTGGGGTGGCCATGGGCAGGGCGAGAGCACCGTGGAGACACCGCAACCCTGCTCCAGCTGGTCCTGCAATTGCCACAGGGGCTATTGCCTCTCCTGCCACCCAGCTCCTGAGAGTGAATCCTGACACGGGTGATTGGGACGTGTACTTCCTCTTGACTCTGGTCTCAGGACTGAGGCTCACAGGAGCCTGAGAAACAGACAAGCGGGAGCTTTCTAGCCCCTTCCAGCTCTCCCCTGCTCTGAAGCCTAGAAAAAGCCCCTCTCAGGCTACTGGTCAGAGGCCTGGATGAGGGCAGTGGGGGCAGAAGGGGTCTGGATCAGCCTTGCTGCCAACCAACACAACACACGTGGAAGCGGTGATGCTTAGCCCACGAGGAGATGGGAGACTGCAGTGCTGCTTGAGGTGTTTTATAAAAAACAGAAGCCAAGGCCCCGGGGCCTTCTGGGGCTGATTTGTGTGGGAGGCGGCACAGAAAGCCGATGCCAGGGTGGCAGGCATGGAGACCACCCCCCAGGGCTCTGGGGTGGCACAGGGGTGGAGCAGAGCCACACATGGATGTACCAGGAGCTCTGCCCCTCATAGAAACATCTGCAGGCCTGGGGGACCCAGGGGTCCCTGGCCACTGTCAGGAGCCCTTCGGCTGCTTCTACCAACCTGGAGCCAAGGCAGGGGGCTCAGCTGTCCCTCTGGGAGGCTGACGCCTGGGGCCCCAGCCCCCATCACCTCGCAGCTGTGACTCAGAAAGACCAGCAGAGCCCTTGGGCAAGGCCACAGGGATGTCAGGGTCCACCTATCCCTCAAGAAAGTTCCTACGTGGCTTAAAAGAATTAAGCCAGAGGTAGTTTCCTGCCCCCGGCCCCTCCCCTGACCCCAGAGCTTTAACTTTGGATCTTCTCTTAAGCAGAGTCTCAACTGAAAAGGCCTCTCTCTTGGGAGCCAGCAGGCTGGCTGGAAAGACAAAAATAACAACCCTTTTCTTTGTCCTCCACGGTTTACTTTGCTCCTTTTGAGACCTTTAGAATTTGCCTAATTATTTCCAAGGACTGGAGCCGCGGTGCCGCACCCTGGGACGCCCTGCCGCCACCCGCGTCTCGCCGTGCGGGGTCACTTGAGGATGTGTGCAGAGAGGGCCGCGGAAGGTCCCAGAGGGTTCTCGCGGGTGCCCCGCCCTGGTGATTTCATCTGCCGTCAGCTCTCTCCAGAGGCTGCGGGATCTGGGAGCACCGATCGCTTTGGCTTTCTGTGTGTGCAGGGCGTCTCACTGAATGCCAAAGCCAGGGAGTCGGAGTCCAGGGATCGGGGAAGAGGCGGTGGGGTCAGCACAGCGCAGGGGTGGAAGGTGGCGAGAGGAAAGGAGGTGGCCGGCCAGCTAGGGCTCGGTGGCGTGCTTGACCAGGTAGCCACTGAAGGTGATGTAGGTGTCCAGCTCCTCGCTGAAGATGGCGTTCTCACGTTCGCCCTTGTAGAGGCGTACCCACACCTGGTCCTGCTCTCGCAGCTCCAGCATCAGGCTCTGGCTTTGCATGATGCTGCGGTCGCCCACCTGCGCGAACAAGATCACCACCTCCTCCTCGTTCTTCATGATGTGCAGGTAGGTCTCCTTCTGGTTCCAGGTGTGCACGTTGAGGCTGAAGAAGTAGAGGCCGGGCACGTAGCAGTAGAACTTGCCGGTGAACATGTTGAAGTGGTCGTAGAGGTTCACGAACTCCGTGTCGAAGATCACCGTCTGGTAGTAGTGGTTGCTGTGCATGGGCTTCTTCCGGCCCACCGAAAAGGCGGCGTAGTGGCTCTTGCACCGCTCCCCAGGGGCCCCCATGGAGCCCTTCTGCCCTTTGGGTCCAGTGTGGCCCCTGGCCCCTGCTGAGCCTGTTTTGCCATATTTCCCTTGGAGGCCTCGATCTCCGCGGTCACCCTTCTCCCCTAAAAGGGATGGGAAAACGCGTGCTGTTAATGGAGCAATCCGGTAGTGTCCTGAGCCTTGGCTGCTCACTCTCCGGTCCCTGGCGCTGTCCTGATTCGTCCTCACAGCCCTGACCTGGCAGAAGCTTCACTCCTGCCCCCAGCCCCCTGCCACGGGCGGCGTCCCAGCCTGGCACAGAGGTATTGTGATTCCCAAAATGGCCAAGCAAACAGACTCAACCTCAAGGATGGTTCTATTTTCGCCCAGAAGCAATAATTTTTTTTTCCTTCTGGAAAGCCCTGGTAAAAAAAAAAAAAAAGAAAAGAAAAAAAAGAAAATGGAACATACGGGTTCGTCCAAAAGCAATGGGCTCTGCGGCCAGACCGACGGCTCGCTCTGAGCAAATGAACTCCAGATGTCGGGGCCAGCTGGGGATCTAGGCTGCAAGTGTTTCCAGTTCGATTTCACGGGGCTGTGCAGGGTTATCTGCCGTGTGCAGGACCGGAGCGAGCAGGTGGCATTTCAGAAAGCAGGCTGGGGGACCAAGCCCCAAAGCAAAGGGCCTAGAAGCCTGGCGTCCACATACAACTGGAGGGACGAGACCCCGAGTAGCCTCTGGGCTCCCTCTCCTGCTCTTGGTCCTGTGGGCCCCTTTCCAACCCCTCCTCTTGGAGAGGGGCCAGAGCCTCAAAATCAGAATTTCCTGTGCCTTCCCCTCTAGATGACAGCCTGCCTGCCTCTGCTCCCTGTCCCGAGGGAGCCATTCTGCTCTCGCCTAGCCCCACCCTAACGACTCCATCCCTTCCTCCGGATCAGCACAGAGCAGCCCGGCCACCCCGTGCTTGTCTTTGCAGCCATCTGACCTTTCAAGATAGTGATGTTGATCTGGGGCACGGCGGTCGCCGGGTACATGGAGGTACCGGGGTCACAGCAGCGCAAGCACCGGGAAGCAGGGAGCCCCTGGTCCTGACTGGGCCTGTATTTTTCATGTTGTTCTTCAGCCCTGAGGGAATAAAGAATCACAGTGAAAGTCAGCCACTCTCAGGCCTGGAAACGCTGCTCTCTCCTGCTGCCAGTGGTTCTGGCATGCCTGACCTGCCTTCTCACTCTCTCACCTGGACCCACAAGGCTCTGTGTTCACGCTGGTGGGCTCACGGCCCACTCTGGGATCCTCACTACCGAACGAGCCCCCTGCCCTCTGTTAAAGGCAATGACAGTCCTGGAAACACACGCAGCGATCAATTGAGTGCCACGCAAGATGGGGGCTGCTCGGGAGAAATCCACACTTCTAAGAGAGGGTCTTTGGGTGACACAAGACAATGCCGGGACTCCCTATCGTATATCCGTGATGCTAGAAAATAACATATGAAGCTGACTCGTCTGCAAATAAGAAGGTTCAACTGGATCTTTAGGATTCCCCTCAGCTGTAGCCGCTGGAGAGACTCTTATGTTTCCAACCTGATTGGAAGGACAAGCCCGCAGGCAGGATGGACGGCGGCGGCTCCTGGCTGCCACCTCGCGGCCCCTCATGGCATCACATGTGCTCTGGCTTGTGGCTCTTCTTGCCCAGGCTGTAGAGCTGCGCAGACCCACGGGGGCAGCAAAGTCCCCCTGGATGGGCCAGCTCCTCATCTAATGCTGCTCCCACTTCTGCACCCCAGACTATCCAGGAAACGGATCTCTGTGCCCTAAGTTCAGCTACCCATAAGCCCAGGACTCCCAGATGGACATCTCACCCCTACCTCTCTCCTAAGCCCCAGACCTTGACTTCAAACTTCTCACCAGAAGTCTCCATCTGGAGATGCAACAGGCCCCACAGATGTCATGTATGCAAAACCGAAACCCCTGTCCCCATCCCTTCGCCCCTGGAATCTTCTCTTTCTGAGCTCTGTTCCTGGCATCAACAGCGGGTGCCCAGGGTGGAGCCTTCGGCATCACCCCCGACTCCCTCCGCCAACCCCCTGGCACAACTTTCAGCAGAGTCCTGGGCTCCCAGCCAAAAGGCACCTCCAGAACTGAGCCCAGGGCCCTCATCATCTCTGATGCACCCCTGCCATTTCGACTCTCACTTGGAATCTGCCCCTCCCCGCACCAGCTCATCCTCTCTGCTGCCTCCCTCTGGCATTCTTCCGAGAACACCGTCCAATTCAAGCTTTCCCATGATTCCTCTTGTTCTTTGTAGGATTGAGTTCAGGTGAGACCCTCCCCAACTAGACCCAGCTGCCTCCAGGCTCAACTGCCCTACTGTCCTCCAGCCTCCAGCCTCCAGCACTGGGTCTCACCATCCCAAACCACCCACCAGCCCAACAAACACCACCAGCCATGCCTTTGCACACCCCATTCTGGCTACCAGGTAGCTTTCCCCTCCTTCTGCACCTGGGAGGCCCGCAGGTGTCCTTCAAGACCTAGTTCACTCCTTTCAGTCTTCCTGGGACCCGCTCCTCCCTCTCCTGGCCCTGCCTCCAGCGTCATGGGTACACCCCTACTACAAAGCCCACCACGCTGCCCTGTCTCTCATGTGTCTATCTCCCTCTCGGCCTCAGAGCTCCTGGAGGCCAGGACTGTGCCACTCATGTGTCCCCCCGTGCCTGGGGGATGGCCTGACTGATAGGAGGGGCTCAATCAAAGAAAGAGGAGGGAGAGGAAGAAAGAACGGAATGATGTGACTCAACCTCAAATCCTGTCCAATCCCATCGTACACTGAAGTTAGTCTGAAGCCTCAAGTATCAAGTCAGCCCAACGCTCAAAATAATGAAGAGACTCCAAGCCAGGCTTGAGCTGTCGCCGGGTCTCCAGGACCTCACTCTGGGTACATGGCAGTTGGATGAAGCACTCGGCTTCCCTAGGAAATGTCCCAGGTCGGCTGGAGTCTCTCTGTCATTGCAGGTCGTAGACACGAAGGCCATCCAGAGTCCTTCACAACCTTTCAAGGGAAGCCGACACTTGGCCCACCCAGTCTCCGCTGTCCTCTCCTGTCCTGCAGTGTGATAAGACGCGTGGGCCATGGACACCAGCTCTTGGTCCAGCATCTCTCCTAAGGCCATGCTCCACTTCTCCCTGCCTCCAAGTGGTGCCTAGGTCCCCAGCAGATATTCTCAGCGGACAAAGTGAGAATGGAAAGACAAACTGGAGGGCAGGTTGGGAGCTTGGTCTGCTCTTAAGGAGGCAGCTGCAAAGCCACTTGCAGACCCCACTCCTTTAGGCTCGTGGTGAGGCTGGATCACTGTCCGCAGTTTCAGGTGAGGTGCCCAAGCCACTGAAAGGAGGAATCGCTCGTCTGTCCTGCAGGACCAGCCTCCAGCAGGGCCACGGCTCAGCTTCAGCTTTCTTGCCTTCACATCTCACAGTGAACTAGCTCCCCCAGGGGCCCCAAGGCCCAGGCTCAGCCTGGCCAGAGCCAGAGCTCCTGCTATTACACCCTCGTGGCCCCTCACCTCTCGGCATGGTCCGGAGGCGACGGCAGCTCCTCAGTCCCCTCCCACTCCTGCTGTTCCCCCTGGACATGGGGCACACGACTCAGGACCAGGCCAGAGGCAAAGGCAAGGAGCAGGCAGTACGCCAGCAAGAGTCCCTGTCCACGGGAGCCCATCTTCCTGCCGGGCCCTGGTGGGAAAGAAACACACAGGGAAGGCACCGAGTTAGGAAGGAGCTGCACAGAGAAACAGCCTGAAAATTGGGGAGAGAAACAGCCTGGAAATCGGAGGTGCTTCCCCAGCCTCACGCCACTGGGAAATGCTGCAGTTACACAGCTTCTGGGAGGACAATCACTCTCACACACCCATGCATGCATACACGCACTCACGACGCACTCACGTGCACACACGCACATGCACACACATTCACATAC
This sequence comes from Homo sapiens, assembly GCF_000001405.40. NCBI lineage: Eukaryota > Metazoa > Chordata > Mammalia > Primates > Hominidae > Homo > Homo sapiens. Next base: position 79,043,710 of record NC_000017.11, on the reverse strand, counting down.
ATGCAACCCCCACACATGCACACACTCAACACACATGCAATCCACACATGCACACACAGTCACATACACTCACATGCAACCCACACATTCACATGCACCCAACACACATGCAATCCACACACATGTAATCCACACACATGTACACACAATACACATGCACAGTCTCAACAATGAAACCTACACACATGCATACATATACCCACATCACATGCACACTCATGCAATCCACGCACCCATATGCACACTCTTAACACACATGGAATCCACACGCTCACATGCACACAGTCAACACACATACACTCACACTCACATGCACATACATGCACATACACAGTCCACACACATGCACTCACACATGCAATCCACATGCTCACATGCACTCAACACACATGCACAACTCACATGCACACATACCCAAATCACATGCACACTCTCAACACACATGCACACACATGCATACATATACCCATATCACATGCACACAGATTCACACACACATGCAATCCACACACATGCACACTTTTACATGCACTCACACACATATACCATCACATGCACTCACATGCAATCCAACATGCACACACATTCACATACATGCAATCCATGCACACATGCACACACATACACACATGCAACCCACACACACATGCAACCCACACATGCACACACATTCATATACATGCAATCCACACACATGCACATTCGCATACATGCAATCCACACATGCACACTTTCAACACACGTGCACACATTAACATGCACACATATACCCACATCACATGCACACTCACGTGCACGCCCGCATACTCTCAACACATTCACATGCATGCACATCCACTCATGCACACATGCGCTCACATGTACACACACCTTCACATGTGCGCACACACTCTGCCCCCAGAGCCTCAGCCAGTCAGGCTGGTGTTGAGGGGTTGCTGAGCAAGGTGCTGTCTCTGCCCACCCAGCCTCTCGGGAAGGAGAGTCCATCAGCCGCTGGCCCCACAGACAATTGTATACCACCCCTCTTAGGACAGTAAGAAAAATCCCAAGCAAGCTTTGAATGATCATCATCCCTTAACTCAAAGCAAAGCTGGCTCAATGACCAGGTCCTTCACCGGTGGGTAGGTGGGTAGGAAGGTGGCTGCAAGCTGCTTTCTGGCCACCAGGCGGCGCATCAGCAGGTGTCCTTGGCATCTACTTTAGGGATGTGCCAAGCCCAGCCCCACAGAGCAGTCATCCTTCCAGGAAGCCAACCCCACGTCTCACTCCCAGAGCTTTTGGCAAAAGCTTGGGGCAGGACCCCCTCCATCCAGTATTGGGACAGTCCTTCTAGAAAGGGGTGCTCACGGAGGTGGGGAGTCCAGGGAGCCCGCGAGGGGCGGCACTTGGGCCCACATTAGGCGAACGCCCACCTGCCACCCTGTGAGCGGCTTGCTCCCCTCGCCCAGGAATCTGGCATCAGGAGTCGCAGGCCCAGCCGTTTCAGGTGGGCCGAAAACCTCCCCACCGAGGGGCACAGCGACTGTGGTCAACTCTAACCCCTCTTTGTTCACCAAAATGTAAAACTCGAAATGTCGCAGGCCCCGTGGGAACACCTCATTCAACACACAGCCGCCCAGTGAGAAGGTGGGTGAGAAGCGTCCCTCACTCCTGGCTGCCAGGCCGGCGTGGACTCCAGCTCTTTCTTGAGAGGCAAACAGTGAAAGCAAGGGCTCATCTCCAAAGGCCCTGGGCCAGACTCTTTCTCCTCTAACTCCTCTTATGTCTAAGGAAAGTTAAAATCCTGACAGATTTCTTTCTCTGCCCATATTACACACCAAGATGACCGCGACGTCTTACTCATCTTGGGAAGCCGGGAATTTCTTCCACACACACCGTCGCTCGGGGGCTTTGGAGCCTCTGCGGGGGATGTCTGTAGCGGGCTTTTTTTTTTTTTTTTTGAGATGGAGTCTTGCTCTGTCACCCAGGCTGGAGTGCAGCAGTGTGATCTCGGCTCACTCCGCCTCCTAGGTTCAAGTGATTCTCCTGCCTCAGCCTCCCAAGCAGCTGGGATTACAAGCATGCGCCACCACGCCCAGCTAATTTTTGTATTTTTAGTAGAGACGGGGTTTCACCACGTTGGCCAGGCTGGTCTGGAACTTCTGACCTCAAGTGATCCACCCACCTCGGCCTCCCGAGGTGCTGGGATTCCAGGCGTGAGCCACGGCCCAGGACTTTAGTGGGCTCTTGAGTGAAGTCTGAAGGGCTCCCCGCAGAGCCCTCACGCCAAGTCAACATTGCAGGGGAAGATCTGGAGTCCAGGGCTCTCCCGATAGAGCCTCCGAGGTGACAGTGAGGAGAGCAAGGCTGGCCCCCCCGAACCTCTCTCCTCCCCTGTCACACATACCTACACCCAGTCTTCACCACCTTGCATGGCCCACGCCCCATCTCTGCAGTGGCTTAGCTGGAGCCCCCACCTCCAAGTGTCCTACCAGCCAGCTGTCCCTCCCATGCGTCAGGGCCCAGAGACCGTCCCAATGACCAAGGAGCTGCTTAGGCCACAGCCCCCACCCAGAATCTCTGATACCTCCCACCACTTGCCAAAAAAAGGGTGTATGTGCACATGGTAATTTATAAAATACACATCTAAGTTCTCTCTCCAGCTATCCGTCTAGTTAGGTTTGAGAACATTTCCTCATTAATAATTTTTATCCCATCACGGATGGCCCCACAATCCTCTAGGGAGACAATATACATTCATGACTGTAGCAGATATGTAAATGAGAAAACAGAGACTTGGAGAAGCTAATTAGCCTAAAATTCTGATTTTTTTTTTTGACAGGATCTCACTCTGTGAGTGAGTGCAGTGGTGCAATCTCGGCTCACTGCAGCCTCTGCCTCCTGGACTTGAGCCATCCTCCCACCTCAGCCTCACAAGTAGAAGGGACTGCAGGTATGCACTACCACACCCAGCTAATTTTTTTTTTTTTTTTTTTTTTTTGTAGAGACAAATTTTCACCATGTTGCCCAGGCTGGTCTCAAACTCCCGGGCTCAAGTGATCTGCCCACCTCAGCCTCCCAAAGTGCTGGGATTACAGGCGTGATCCTCCACGCCGGGCCAAGACTGATTTTTGAGCAGGGGGGCTGCATTTGGACTCAGACAGGCTGACAACAGATGACAATAAAATCCTGCCCGCCTTGTCTTCAACACCCAACTCAAGGTCTCATAGTCTTCCTGAAGCCTTCCCAGGCCCCTCAACTGGGAAAAATTCTCCATCCTCGGTCTTAGTTTTCTTTTTTGATACAGGGTCTCACTCTGCCTCCCTGTAGCCTCAACCCTCCCGGCTCAGGCCATCTGCCCACCTCAACCTCTCAAGCAGCTGGGACTACAGGCATGCGCCACCACGCCCAGCTAAATTTTTTTGTTGTTTTTTCGTAAAGACACGGTTTCACCGTGTTTCCCCGGCTCGTCTCAAACTCCTGAGCTCAAGCAATTCACCTGCCTTGGCCTCCCAAAGTACTGGGATTATAGGTGGGCGCCATAATTTTATTTTTCCTATTGTCTCCTACTGCAGAGAGTTTGTCTAGCCTATGAGAGTCTACTCAGCAGACCGTGGGTGACCTCCTCCAGGGCTGGGACGTCCCCTAGCCAAGCATCCTGCAGCACCCTGAATCACTGGTGCTCAGCAAATATTTGTCAGACTGAATTCTCTAAATTTGTTTATTTCTCCATTTCTGTATTTCCTCTGTTTCTCCTTGGTGCCTTAATAATTATTCTGTTTTTTCCTTTTAAGTGGCAAACTTGTACCAGTTAAAAGGAAAAGAGATTTTCCTTTCTTTAAATATTTTTTTCCTGAATCCCAAATTTTATATATACACATACACATGTTTACATATATATACATATATACATATTTACATATATATATATATACACACACACACACATATTTATTTAAGAGAGGTTGGAAAGTAACTACAAAACGCATTAAAAAGCTACCTTGGATTATTCTACTCTGTGGTTTCTCAACCCTGGCACCATTGAAGGATTGCTGGGTTTTTTTGTTTTATTTTATTTTGAGACAGAGTCTCGCTCTGTCACCCAGGCTGGAGTGAAGTGGCGCGATCTTGGCTCACTGCAACCTCCGCCTCCCAGGTTCAAGTTATTCTCCTGCCTCAGTCTCCCTAGTAACTGAGATTATATGCGTGTGCCTCCACACCCGGCTAATTTTTGTATTTTTAGTAGAGACAGGGTTTCGCCATGTTGGCCAGGCTGGTCTTGAACTACTCCTGACCTCAGGTGATCCATCTGCCTCGGCCTCCCAAAGTGCTGGGATTACGGGCGTTTGCCACCGCGCCAGCCAACCCTGGCACCATTGAGGTTTGGGCCTAGATAATCCCCTGTGGTGGGGGGCTAGCCTGTGTGCTGTAGGATGCTTAGCAGTAACCCTGGACTGTCCCCACCAGATGCCATTAGCACCACTACCTCTAGTTATGACAACAAAAAATGTCTCCAAACATGGTAATATGCCTGTTCCTCAGGGGCAAAATTGCCCCTAGCTAAGCACCAGCATTTGTTTTTATGTTGGTCTATCTCTTTCTAGTCTAGCAAAGGGATTTTCCACACCTTGGTCAGAAGAGACGGGGTCCAGGATGCAGCTGGGTTAGGAACGATGCTGTCACTGGGGTGGGGTGGGGCTGGGAAACCCCAGCAGAGAGCCCCAGGCTCAGGCTGGTAGGGACAAGGCCACTTTGGCGGTGGTGGCTCTCCTCAAAAGCCTGCTGTTCGGAGTCAGAGCAAACCCAGGTTGAAATCTTTCCTTCCTGAAAAGATCTTAAGAAGCATTTTACCAAATCCCACAGCAAAGCCAGCGTCATAAC